>NC_000014.9:59308682-59611713 GCF_000001405.40 Homo sapiens
TGGCTTTGGTTAAAAACATGCACATGTTTTATTAAAACATTAGGAAAAATGGAGAAGGTTTACTCTTTCTTCCATAATTTCTCCTGCTGCATGTGAGAGCCACTGTTATTGCAAGTCATCATTCAGTCTTTCCAGAAAAATGACTGACATTCTGAGGCTTAGGAGGAGGTGGTGGATTTCCTGGCAGATGAAGAAGCCACTGTTCTGTAATCATTCTTTGTGTGGGCCCAACCGGATTTTGGTAACAGATGTACTTGATATATAATTGTGGCAGTGGCCAAAAAATGTAACCAGGATTGGCAGTCCCAGGGACCACATGGCTATCTTGGAATGTGACAACACAGGAATTATTTTCTGAAACCAATTGCCCTTCTTTTGGCAAGCTTCAGATATAGAATATAGTTTTGCTCACCACCAGGGGTTAAAGTTAGGTATTGGAGGGAATGAGGAAAGCAACAATCTCCAAACTCCAAGTTTTAAATCTCCTACTACTTTTTTGCCCCCAAAAAGGAAGAGCCAGATGGAAAGAGTTGGGGGCAAATATCAGGATTTAAAGGACCTAATGATGCTTTGCTATTTTCAAAAAGTAGGATTAAATATAGATTCAGGGAGCAGTGAGCTTGGCAAGAAGGTACACTTCACAGGCATGGTAGGTCACTGCTTCTCTAGAAAAAGTTCAGGTTACTGGGCAAATTCCAAACACTTTATGAGCTTATCTTAATTTATAGCGGCAGCTTGATACATGAAAAATAGTTGGTGACCAAGTTAGGATTTTGATGTAATCCAGCCCTCTTGAGAGCCAAGCTTAATCTAGCACACAGGGGTTGACAAACTATGGCCCGTGGGCTAATTTGGCCAGTCACTTGTTTTAGTAAATAAAGTGTTGCTGAAATGTGGCATTGCCTATTCATTCAAGTGTTCTCTGTGGCTGATTTCTTACTACACAACAGCAGAGTTGAATAGCTACAACAGACTGTGTGGTCTACAAAGCCTAAAATATTTCCTGTCTGGCTCCTTACAGGAAAAGTTTGCGACCCTTGGTTGTTCCAGATTGTTCCACACTTTATCGTAGCCATCTTCGAGAAGATGCTGTTTAC
Source organism: Homo sapiens (assembly GCF_000001405.40). NCBI lineage: Eukaryota > Metazoa > Chordata > Mammalia > Primates > Hominidae > Homo > Homo sapiens. The sequence goes on from NC_000014.9 coordinate 59,309,780, forward strand.
ACCGTTATGAGCCAGAGGGGGAAGTTAGCAGAAATTACTAGCAAGGCCGCCCACAAATATTTTTACATCTTCCATCTTCTGTGCTTCTCTTTCTCTGTTGCTTGGACCTGGTCTTATGTTGGCACCTATTCTCTAACATAAGAGTTCTTTTGGATGCCACACATCATGGAGTTATAACCTAACACAATAAACTATTTTGGCCTATCTGCCCTTTTCTGCCTAGGTTTCTGTATAAATTTTAGGTGTAGAGTGAATTTATTTAATGTTTGTTGTATTCATTAGTGTATGGGATTGGACTGGTGTTACCTAGAATAGTAGTGACAAATTTTTTCCTTTTTTTTTTTTTTTTGAGACAGGGTCTTGCTCTGTGGCCCAGGCTGGAGTGCAGTGGTGCGATCTCGGCTTACTGCAACCTCCGCCTCCCGGTTCAAGCGATTCTCACGCCTTAGCCTCCTGAGTAGCTAGGATTACAGGCATGCGCCGCCATGCCCAGCTAACTTTTTTAAAATTATTATTATTTTATTTTTATTTTTAGTAGAGATGGGGTTTCACCATATTGGCCAGGCTGGTATCGAACTCCCAGCCTCAAGTGATCCACCCACCTCAGTCTCCCAAAGTGCTGGGATTACAGGTGTGAGCCACCGTGCCTGGCCAGTAGTGACAAATTAATGAACAAGGTGACTATTTTGCTTATTAACAATGGATAGAATTTTTTCATTCTATATATGATTACGGTTCACTTGAAATTTCTAAAAGCAGGTTCTTTGCAAAGAGAGCAGGTTTTTATTAGCAATTATTTGCCTTTCCCCTGTAATGAAAATGATCACAATAAAATTCACTTTGTGTCATACTGAAACAGTATTCTTCTGCTGTTGACATTTGTTTGGTTAAGCCTTACTGTATCTCCACTATATTTGAGATGATGGTATTAGTATACATTGCTAGAAGAGTTTCAGCCAGTCTAGACAGTTAAAGAGTGTGTCTTTCTTCCTTGACAGATATTATCTAAGAACCTCCTCAATTCGTAACAGCACACATAGAGATTTATGGCTTTAGCTGACTAAATGAATGTTGCTTCAGCCTGTGATTTGTGGTCTAGCGAACAACCGCAGAGCATGTCCTTTACAATTGATTGACCTTTGCATAGCTTATTTTGGGCCTTACTAAGAACATCTTAAACTGAAAAAAAACAAAAAAAACAAACAAAAAAACTCTGACATACTTATGTATTATTATTTGGGAAATGATCCTATTAAGAAAGTGTCCTGTGCTAACTTCAGAAGAAGTTATTCTTCCTTAAAGACTTAATTTTCTAACTGCATTTTGAGTCTCACCTATATCAACAGAAGACTTCAGCTGCTACGAAGAAATTTTTGTCACACAAATTTCTAAATATATGAGTATAGAAATTTTGAAAATTTTAGCATGCTTTGGGTATACAAATCTTGTCCCAAATCAGAGATTCTCTCTCTGCATAAACAGCTGATATTGACATTATGGTGAGTTTTAAAAATAGAAATCCAGTAAGAGAAGACAATTAGTAGAGAAATGGTTTAAATTATTTGCTGTGGGAGGTGGAGGGGTGCCCCAGGAGTGGAGGACAGAGACATTCCAGATGCTGAAGGGTCTTGATGCATTCCATGTCACCCCAAACGTCAAACAAAGCAAAGCTCTTGTCCTGACAATGCATAATGCTTTAGAACTTACTTCTAATTGTAAAAATAGTGTATGTTCTTGGTAAAATAAAAATTTGCATGGTATAGAAGTTTATAAGTTAAAAAAAAAAAAAAAGAAAACCTTCCCTTCTGTTATCCAGAGGTAGCCATTGTTAAGTTTTATTTATATTTCTGGAAATGTTTGTGTGTAGTGTATACATATTTTTCCCTACAGATGGGAAAGATGATATTCTGAAGCATTCTCTCCCCGACAGTATATTTGCTTGTCTTTTCTTTATTGTTTGTGAGATAGGATCTTGCTATGTCACCCTGGCTGGTGAACTCCTAGGCTCAAGTGATCCTCCCACCTCAGCCTCCTGAGTAGCTAGGGCTACAGGCATGTGTCAACAAGCCTGGCTAATTGTTTTATTTATTTATTTATTTTGGAGAGATGGGGTCTTGCTATGTTGCCCAGGCTCATCTTGAACTCCGGGCCTCAAGTGATCCTCCCACCTTGGCCTCCCAAAGTGCCGGGATTACAGGTGTGAGCCACTGCACCTAGCCCCTCTCTATATATTTATTCCCCTTTGTATTGTTTGTTAATTCAAACAGTGCTATAGTGAAAAATTTTCGTGATTATATATCTGTACAAGTGTGAACATGTAATTATAGGCTAAATTCCTGAAAGTAAACTTACAGGGTCAAAGGCTATCTGGATTTTAAATGTGAACAATTACTACCAAAATTTACTTCCAAACTGGTTGCTGTAATTTTTACAGTCCCAGTTACTGTAAGGACACTGAATGGACATAACTGGAGACTCTGGAACAGTATCATTATTGTCAGAGCTAGCATTTATTGAGCGTGTTTTGTGTATACTCTTCCCAGTGCTTGCTTTATTTGTATCAACTTTTTAAGTTCTCACAAAGATGCTATGAGGAGGCAGGCACCTATTTCACAGGTAAGGAAATGAAAACTGAGTCACAAAGAGGTTACTTAAGAGTCACATAGCTAGTGAGAGACTAAGGATTCAAATGCTGTTGGTGGTGAGAGAAGTGTATCACAGTCATCTTCGAGGTGAGTAGAGATGATAGTGAAGTCCCAGATATAGCTGTGAATGTCTACCTCAGTAAGAAGAAGAATGAAGAAACAATGTAAAATGTATTCTCAACAAAGTGATGTTGAGAAAAATAAATGCATCCTTGTACATTTAAAGAGGATGGGAGAGGATCTCTTAGAATTTTTTACTAGCCACTGACCAGAAATTTGGAATGAAAAATGTGCTATTTGGAAATAAGGTGAAACTAGAAAGATTGTATATTTCTTTATCTTTTAAAAGAGTTGGATGTTTAAAAAAACAAAAGTCAGTGTTCTTGAAGGCACTTTGTACTGTACAAGTTCTCTTTCCTAGTGAAGGGCTCCCCCATCCACAGAATTTGGGATAATGGGAGCAAAGTATATACAATCTAGAACAGAAGTTAAAACAGTAGTCAGTGCAGGCTGAGAGCAAGAAGTGTCAAGGTGAATTGCATCCAGCAGGAAATCTTGTCCATGAATATTCTCTTATAGATGTCTATTAACCTCCTAAGAAAAAGGGAAGAGTTGGATTAGAGAAATAATAAAATTAATGTTCAGATCCCCTGTCTCCTCCTGCCAGAGAACAATTGCATTCATCTCCTTCTGGCCTATGTTTCTACAGAGCAACAAACTCTTAATGCCTCACAAAGGAGGAGGAGAGAGAGTTTTGGTTCAGAGATGGGAGTTTCACATGGCTCCTGCAGCACACATCTGCATGCAGGGACCAGTATTGCACAGGGGAAACTGGAGATACATTGCCCAAATTAAGAACTCTGAGGATCACGTTAGTACATTTACAAGAAACTTTCACATACTCTAGCTTGTTTGGTTTTCTCAGCACTGAGGCATGTGAAATGAAAATGAAGCCTTCTTCCCCTTATTGTGATGACAATATCTACGTGTGCTGTTAATCTATTCGCATTATTAAAACATTTCCAAACTGTAAAGACTTCTCTCTGTGTACCAATCTTCAGTTTCAAGAATGGTCTCTCTTCTGTAACTGTTAAATATTAAGCTTACAACAGACAGGCTCTTGTGGGACCTCAGTCATGGGACTTGATTTTGTTTTAGTTTTGGAAATTTGCCCTACTTTGGGGGAATGGAGAGATCTGGCACCTTCTGCTTCATTTTATAGGTTCAAATACCATTGAATATCACTGTGAGTTTTGGCTTGTTAAATACATTGGTAAGAGTGGGGTTTTGCTAATACTCCCTTTTAAGAGGAAAGAAGGGTTTAGCATTTATACTACCACTATAGCTATTTTATTAACATGTTAAAGTATAACCAAGGCCTGTTTTTAAAAACTCATCAGATTTCCTAAACGTTGTGAAACTATGGGAGTGTAATCCAGTCTAACTTCAAAGCCTCTGCTGTAGCCTTAGTCCCCATCATCTGGCTTCTTCAATCTCCAGATGAAATTCACACAACTGCCTGAGTTGAGATATCAGTTACTGCCAGCTTTTAAGGCACTGTAAGCAATAGTTACTTTGCCCCCTTGTTGTGACTACTTAAAAAATAGTTTTGAAATTGCATTTCTTTTATTCCACCTGTGTAGACCTGTCTGGAAAGATTTGCTTACAGAAAGTGTTTTTTCGAGGCACAGTATAGGACTGAAATTAAATGCCCCACCTTGAAACCACTCTCCTGAGGGTTGGGATTCTGACATCAGGATATAGAGCTCTACTAAAAGAGATGTTAAAACCTAGTAGGTAGTCACTGCTTCATTATGAGACAGTAGCTGTGTGTACATGGCATAACATCTTCTCCACTAGGGTGGGATATCCATTGTCCTCAGGTGGTCTTTGAATGTGAAGCTAAAGAACCAAAATTTTCCTTTTCAGGTCTGTTTGATCACACAAGTGACTCACATAGATGTGCAAATACGCATAGAAATCCCTGACCACAGTGCCATCTTCTGCTGGGCTCAGTGTTCAGGTGGAGCCAGAGGCCACAGCCACTGATAACTGATTTTTTTTTTTTTTTTGAGATTTGGCTTCAGGTTGGCACAGATCTCCCATCCACAGAAGCCCTGGGGGGCTTAGGGGCTGGCTCCAGGTCACCCTGCTCTGTAAGAGGCAAGGCTGGCTGGGACAGTTTAGGAATCGGTGCCTGAATTCTTTGGGTTTCAGTTCTTTTCCACTCAGAGGCACTACCTTTTCTATCAAAACTCCTGAGCTGTCACAGCATGAGGGCTGCGCCTGGAACTAATGTGAGTTCATTTTACTACCTTCCATTCAATGTCAGGCTTTATTCTTCTACCTCTTCATCTGAAGCAGTACTTAATTTTTGCCACATCAAATGAAACCCTTCTTCAAGTTTTTACTGTCTGATGGAGTCTGAATACACTAACTGAAAAAGTTTGGTTAATAACTGGCTGAATCCTATGGTCACCTAAGGCAAGTTTCCTTCTCTCATGGATTCCATCCAGGTGTATAGTCTAACAGTACTGTCCAGTGTGACATAGCCCCTGAAGGAAAACAACTTTACACCACTTAAATTCTTCTTGATCCACGCTTCAGAAAATGTCCCCTTGTTATACCTAACTCACACTTCAGCATTCTCTGTGGAAATTGAGCTGGGAAGACCACCCTAGTCAAGTAGGCAGTCTGATCATTTATAGCCAACATTTAAAAATAAATACGTCATACCTTCGTGTCTTCTAAAGGCTTGAGTGGGTCATTGTCTGGGTGCTCTGGAAGTCGGATGTGTTTCTAGGTGCTGTGTGTATATGTTGGGTGGTATGTCACTTTTTTTCCCCCCTTTTTAGGACCAGGAAGAAAACAAGGGAGCTACAAGTTGGCCTGAATTCTACATTGATCAGCTCAATTCCATGGCTGCTGTAAGTAGACTTTTATGTTCTTTGACACACTGTTTAAAATGCAAGTGTAGTACAAAGTACACAGTTGCACAATAAATTCGATTGAGTATGACCTACCAAATGTCAGTACCTTTCCAAACTCCATCCTAAACATTCAATGCTGGGGAAAGGAAAGAGGGTAGGAGGGATACTTGGCAAAGTGATTTTTCCAGTATGTTTTAAATAAAATCAGCACACACTGCAATATAATTGAGTTTAATGTTGTAAGTGAAAATGTAGTTTGAAATCTGGCTTGTGTTCAACTTTAACTTGCAATTGCTCTTACCAGTCACTCGGAGCTTGGTTATGGCAGCACTATTTTAAAAGTTAATACCATTTTAAAATAATATGATTAAGCGATTTCTTTACTATATCCCTCCCATTCTCTTTCTTACTGAGAACTTGGTTATTTCCTGGCATCATGATTTTGCAGGGGACCAAGTACTCTTTACTCATATAATAGATCAGGAATTCATAAAGCAAGTGGTTTAATGAAAAGGCGTCATAATAATAGTGCTGAGATGTCCTCGGAAAATCTTTAGTACATGGATTGTTGGTTCAGTAATTGCTTAATATGTATTCTCAATGCCTAAAATATGAATTCTAATCACATGGATGTCTGTGATGTCAGCATTGCCAGCAGCTTGAGGGACACCTATTCATCACAGCTAAAATTCACAGCAGAAAATAAGTCATCAACCTTTGAGCCTTAGTAGCTTAAATCCCATCCCTGTTGATAAGAATTAGAGGTTGCCCATAGTAGAATGCAGTCTTTGTCTCAGTGGGCACACTCATGGTTTTAAGAGTCAATCTGTTATATTCATGTTTATAACATGCAAGTAGATGATAGCTTCTAGAATACTTTCTTCTACCTCCTTCCTGCCTTCTCTCTTTATGGAGAATAAATTTCTTATCACTCAAAACAAGCATTTTAAATGGTCTCATAACATTTTCCTGCTGCTGGAATAGTTAAAAACTGATTAGAATATGTGAGTCGTTCACATGTTTCCTAAACTTTTAGAGGTCTTGACTTTTAGTAACTTCCTCTTTTTTAGCTTTTTTCTTACAAGATGCTTCTTCTGTTGTCATACAATGAATAATAAACAGCCTATATATATAAATTATAGAAGAAACTACATAAGTTTTTCCCCAAGGGTTTCTAGTCTAAAAGCATAGCAGAAATGGACAGAAAATAACCACCAAATCCTTCTTATTCAAGGCATCTCACACAATGCCAAAGATGAGAAAAGGGTGATCTCAGCATTTGTATGAATATGCTAACAGAATGTGAGATTTGTGATGACCACCAGGGATTTTCTGTGCATCTGCCTAAGCAATAATAATTTGGAGCCATTTATATTTCCTGCATATAAAGGCTATTTTCTGAATTCTTGTTCCTGGCTGTTAGGAAAAAAAGAATTGTTTCTCTTTCTAATTAAATTTGCATGTTTGTTATCTAATGAGAAGTTGCTTATTTGTTAATGAATTCCCTTCTATAAATGGGGAACTACTAAGTACTGTATGGATTTTTCCTTTCTTCAAGTATAGGACAGTTAGATTAATTTGTCCTTTAGTGACTTAATCCCTGCCTTGTCTGAAGTAGACCTGGTTCATTTGTGTGCTACAGGGTCTGTGATGTGCCAACATGTGGCCCTTCTTTAAGGGCCTCCTCTCTCCTCCATCCAGCTCCTTGGACAATTCTTTGCCACATTCTTGAGTGATCTACATTTTAACTGCTGTGTGTTTGGTTCCCAATCCAAAATCCTTCCCAAGAGCACCACAAGTCTATTAAATTGTCAGTGACTTTGCTATACTTTTTGTGTCAAACACCTAAGAAAGCTTTCTAATGTTCCTTTTAGGACTGAGCCAACATCTTTCCAGGGTCAAAGGTAAAAGGCATTAATAGTCCATGAATTAGTGAGGCCTCAAAATTCCTGCATACTTCAGGGAATAAGGAGATCTGATGAGACCAGAAACCCTATGCTGAGTTTTCTGTTTTTCTCAACATTCTGATTGCCACCACCGCCTTGCATAGTTCTGGCTAATCACTATGATGTCTGTACTGGAGAATTCTTGATAACACACAGCAGAAATCCTGAGATATTGTACCTGGAGCAGTGGAAAGGCACACAAGTTCTCCAAATCCTTTCATGGCCCAGCAGCTAGACTCTTTGGTTGTCTGCTTAGGGCATTCTTGAAGGAGTGTTTGTCCACATTGTCATCACCCATTGTCTGCAGAATCAGCAGCAACTACTACATGACAAGCAGGGTAACAGGCACTTCATATGTTGTTTGCGGTCCCACCAGCATCCTATGCTGTAAGTGCTATTTATAGATAAGGAGTCTGAGACTCCAGAAAGGTTACCTTGCCCAAGGTTATCTAATTAGGAGGTGGTCATCTAATTGGGAATTTAAATGTATCCGTCTAAGCCCAAAGACTCCTTTCCAATTTGCCTCTCACTAATTCAGTTTTTGAAACCCTGTGGCATGTGAAAGAGCCCTGGTTATCCCACCTTCTCCCCACCCCCAGGCCTAGCAAGCCTGACTTTTCTGAGATGGGATAGGCTTCTGTTTTCTTTAATGTCTTAAGAGTCTGATAAACAGTCCAGGTGGAGAACTGCAGCACTTACTAGTCTGTGAAGCCAGCCTTTTTGGAACAAGTTCAATTACTTTATGTAAGCCTCATTACAAGAATGCTTTGTTCTTTAAAGGACCCCTGAGTGATCTGTTGGCTTTTAAAGAGTGAAAAATAGTATAATAAAGAGTGTGGCCTAACATCTAGAAGGACCTGGGCTTTCTTTATATGTGGTTTCTCCATGCTTTCTCAAGGAGGAAGACTGTGAGGTGAAGTTCAGTATGCTTAGTGGACTGGCTTATTGATTTCCCACCAAAGAAACGATTCAAACGGGAGCTAAGTTCCAGACTCCCAGCAGGAATGACCTCTGGGCCACATTTGTGCCTCTCTGTCAGACCCGCGTGTTCCAATGTACACCTTAGCAGCTTTGACAGAAAGACCCTCTGCAAGGATGCGCTTTGTCCTTTGCCTGCTTCTCATGTGAGCAGGTATTTAGTAAGTGCATAGAGCATTCAAAGAAGCCTCCACAAGGCCTGTGCATACTAGATATTTGGCATAGTAATCATCTTCAGAAATCTAGGCATCTCCCTTATCTACTAAAAGTTGCAAATTAAACCTTCTTCCTAAATGTGAGGCTTGAAAGCTTTAAACTTTGTAGAAATTATTTTATTTTGAAAAGTCACATTTAGAACATCAAGTTCAGCTACATATCCTCAGTTATCTCAGCACGATAAATATAATCTCAGAACCAAATCTGAAAAATCACACATAGAAAATGTTGTAGTCTTTTCTGTTTTGAAAGGTTATGTTCCTTACACAGTATTGGGAAAGGAATTTCCAACTTAATTTTCTTTGACATTTCATAAATCTCCCAACTCTAGTATGGAGAAACTTAATATAGACTGCTGCTATTCAAATGTGCCACCCTCTCCAGGATTTTTAAAAGGATAAATACATGCAGTTTTATTTGTACTAGTGACCCGCAGTAAAATGTGTAGTCATTAATTTGGGGATAGTTTTGTGTCATTAAGCTTAGGAACAAGGAATGATCTTCATAAAAGGCTGGATTCTGAGCTACAGATTCAAAGTGATTGCATAAGAGTCCAAACGAGTTCAGCTATGTCATTGGAGATTAAACGTTCTTGGCTGGATTTGTGTGAGTTTTCCAGGGGATGGGTCTCAGGGAGCTTTGGGAGAATTCATTGGCTGTCTCTGCACCCAGCTTCCTTACTCACCATCCCCTGGTGACAGCTGTCTGTGAGCATCACCAGCAAGAGGACAACTTTGCAGAAACAATAACAAGATTTTAAAGACCGAAAAAACTACTGGGTTTTATTTCAGTTGCCATAAATGATACTGATGTATTATATTTATTTTGCTTTGATCTTTACCCTTCTCATTATGAAATCATATTTAGCTTTTAGTTAACATTAGTTACTTAATGCTGATACTATTGATTGTCACTCTTGATGAGTTATGGTCCTGAAAGAAAGGCTGAGACTGGGTCATTGAGACCCATGGATATGAGTCAAGCTTTTCTTTTTCAATACAGTCACCCCAATCTGTTTCTCAGCCAAGCATTTCTATCAGAATTTGTAATAGGTAAAAAGATTAAACTAGACAAGCGTGTGTTCAGAATAGGATGAAGAAAAGGGACCAGGAGCTCCATGGATGGAGGATCCTGGAGTCATAAGACTTGGGGTACTTTAGTGCAACCAGGTGATCACAGAGTGAAAGGGAATGGAAAGGTCTAGACACCTTACTGGCATTCTCAATTTTATAATAACAACTGCAATCTTACATGGAACCTTGCTTCTGCGGCATCAGCATTGCCTAGAAATTTGTCAGGAATGCAACATCTCAGACCTCACCCCAGACATACCAAACCAGGCTCCATAGTTTAACACTATCCTCAGGTGATTTTCATATCCATATTAAAGTTTGAGAAGCACTGCTCTAGCAGATCCCTGGGTAGAAACACACACACACACACACACACACTCACTCCATATCCTGATTTCTAAATGATGTTGAATAATTTCTAGAAGTTACGCATTTACTCTGAAGGAATTGTCTATCCTAGTAATAGCTCCAAATTAATTTTTCCTCTTAAAAAATAATTAGATGTAACAAAATCCCTTTGGTCTTGATTACACTTTTTGGCTGAGGAATAGGAATGGTAGCATAGGAGGACTGCTGCCCACCTCCTGTTTTTGATAATGTGATGGTATTATTATCTTTAATTGCCAGAATGTTGTATTCAACTACAGGTTCAGTCTTATTTCTATCAAATACAAGTAGTAGTATCTACATCAAAGTGTAATTATAGAATAGTTATACAAGCATTTGGGCAACGTCATCTCTACGAAGATTTCTAAACTTTTCCCTAAGGCTTTATTTAAAATTTGAAAGACTTAACTTACTTAATCATAGATTTGTTGTTTATATTTAAAGTGATAGTGACAAATAATCTGTAGGTTTGTCTTGTTTGTACTGTAATTAAAAAATAGAATTTGAAGAAGTAACTTCTGTTTTCTTTGCATAGAGAAAATCTCTGCTGGCTTTAGAGAAGGAAGAAGAAGAAGAAAGAAGTAAAACTATAGAGAGTTTAAAGACAGCACTGAGGACAAAACCAATGAGGTAATTTTCCCCTGGATGGCATGTTTTTTTTTTTTCTCTCCTTCCTTCCTTTTTTTGCAATAGTCAAACCTTCTAGGAAGTCTTAAGTTAAAACCATAAAATTAAACCATAACATACTTTAATCATTAACATTTAATAAAGTTATTTTCTTCTGTGAAAAGGTATGTAGGCAGCCACTAGGATGGCTAAAAAAAAACAAAACAGAGAGAGACTTTAACAATGGTAAGTTAGTAGACAAGAATGTAGAAAAATTGGGACCCTCATTCATTGCTGCTAGGAATGTAAAATTGTGAAGCCACTTTGGAAAAGGGTTTTAACAGTTTCTCAGAATGTTAAATATAGTGTTGCCATATGACTCAATAATTCTGCTCCTCGGAATGTAGCCAAGGGAAATGAAGACATGTCTCCCAAAAACATGTATGCAGATGTTCATATCGGCATTATTCATGATAGCCAAGAAGTGAAAATAACCCGTATATTGATCAGCTGATGAATGGATAAATGAAATGTTATATATCCACATAATGGAATATAATTTGGCTACAAAAAAAAGGAATGAAGTACTGATACATGCTACAACATGAAATGACCTTGAAATATGCTAAGTGGGAGAAGCCAGTAACAAAGGAGACCACACACTGTATGATTCTATTTATAAGAAATTCCCAGAATAGGCCAATCCATAGAAACAGAAAGTAGATTAGTGGTTGCCAGGAGCTGAGGAAGTGGGGAAAATGTTCTCTTTGGGTGATTAAACTGTTCTAAAATTAGCTAGTGTTGTTGGTCACACAGCTCTGTGAATATACTAAAAGCTACTGAATTGTACACTTTAAAAGGGTGAATTTTATGGCATGTGAATTATTTCTCAATACAAGTATTACTTTTCTTTAAAGATGGGTACACTTTCTGGCAACAGTGATTCATTTCCTCTCTGATAATCAGCTTCTATGTTGTGCCTCCTGCACTTTCATTCCTTTAATGCCTCTAGGATTTGCTGAGATGCTGAGGTTCTTATAAGTACATTACATGAGCACAGGTGCTATGAATGAAGCCAACTGGTTTAACGAGCTTGGCTACATCTGGGTCATGTGGTTGGGTGAAAAGCCTAGAAAATAAAGATTCCCTTTCTTTATTTGACTATAAAATGCAAACTAAGAAAAGTCTGACTCATGAAAAATACTGTGTAGTTATATGACAGAGATCTAGACTATCCTAACTGTATCAGCATTTCTCTCAATATGTTCTGCACTCTCAGATGTTAATCGATATCCAAGCCTAAATAAGTTTGGAAAATTTATCACATAAACAGGTTATGTTACTTCTGAACTTTTCGGTGGCTTTAATATGTACATGTGCATTGTGAGTTAGTCTCATTGATTAACTTAAGTGTAAGAAATATTAATAACGTTAGTATGCAACAATAAAGTATTGCTTTATTATTGTATTCAGTGTACATGGAATATTGAGATTCCATGTAGCATGTCATATAAGAGAAGAATTTTGTCACAAAACCTTAGGGATGTAGATTATCATTTGTTCAACAAGCAAATATCCTGGAATTTAAGGAAGCTTTTGACTTTCATTGATAGGGTGTTTGGGTCAGTGATCAGCACTTAAAAGTGCGTCAGCAATCAACATATAAAAGCGCATGGGCCAGACATGGTCACTCACTATCCCAGCTACTTGGGAGGCTGAGACAGGAGGTTTGCTTGAGGCCACAAGTTCAAGACCAGTCTGGGCAACATAGCAAGTCTCCACCTCTTAAAAAAAAAAGTTAAAAAGAAAAAATTGACTGGGAATGGTGGCACGCACCTGTAGTCCCGGCTACTTGGGAGGCTGGGGTGGAAGGATCACTTGAGCCCAAGAGTTCAAGGCTGCAGTGAGCTATGACAGAGCAAGACCCTGTCTCTCTTAAAGAAAAAAAAAAAAAGGATTGGGGTGGGGGCATGGGAACTGTATGCTAAATAACACAGGAACAGCAGATGGTTTTAATCTAAGACAAGATATGTATTCCGAGTATTCTCTTGCTTCTAATTTTTTATGAATATATGATCTGTTGTTTGGTTCTTTGTACCCATTGAGATATGTTTATCACAAATGGAGGGGTTTTTTTTCACACTTTTGGTTAGAACTGACTATTGGGTCTGTGCCAAGGAAGAGGCAAAGAATTAAAAAGACTTCATCAATGTAAGCCTTTTGGCACTTTAGGAACTAAATCTTTCTTTCCCCTGCCCTCTAGACTTTTCTGTTAGGGGCTATTATAAAACCCAAAGGCACTTAAGCATGGTGCATTTCTCTTCATGACAGGTTTGTAACCAGATTCATCGACTTGGATGGCCTATCATGTATCCTCAACTTTCTAAAGACCATGGACTACGAGACCTCAGAGTCTCGAATACATACTTCTCTCATTGGCTGTATAAAGGCGTTAATGAACAACTCTCAAGGCCGGGCTCACGTCCTGGCTCATTCTGAGAGTATTAATGTAATTGCTCAGAGTCTGAGCACAGAGAACATTAAAACGAAGGTGGCCGTGCTGGAAATCTTGGGCGCCGTGTGCCTGGTTCCCGGGGGCCACAAGAAGGTTCTGCAGGCCATGCTGCACTACCAGAAGTATGCCAGCGAAAGGACCCGCTTTCAGGTGGGTGTTCGCTCAGCCTTCTTCACTCACCCCTTCTTTAAAGTCTGCTCAAACACGTGCTTTTCCTGTCCCTGAAAGGGGAATGTTACTTGAGATGTCCTCTTGTGGTGATTACTCACAGTGTGACTTTAAACATTCCCTTCTTCTTAGGTTTAAGAACCAGAGAATAGAGTATACTTTCAATAGTTGATGAATCTGGGCCTTTAGATTTGCAGAACTTGAAAATGTGGTCTTGCATCCTATATGTCATATAGCACACATCTTTTGAACCCACCAAACTGGGTGTTCCCTGAAAATTTTACAGCTTGCCATTCTTGAATTAGGATCAATATTAATAATTTTTCATATTTCACTATATTACTTGGATGTAAAAAGCAAGCAGAGATAATGAAGCAAAGGCTTTTGTATACATGTATGTATGATGTAAGAATTTTGAAATTAGAGTTTTTAGGACTGTTCTTAAGGAGAAAAAGGGTGGCTTTCTATGGGTCAGTGTAATCCTGTCTAAACGTAAGATTTTAAAAGTTAACTTTTTGGTGGCTCACACCTCTAATCCCAGCACTTTGGGAGGCTGAGGCAGGCGGATCGCAAGGTCAGGAGATCGAGACTGTCCTGGCTAACACAGTGAAACCCCGTCTCTACTAAAAATACAAAAAATTAGCTGGGTGTGATGGTGGGCGCCTGTAGTCCCAGCTACTCGGGAGGCTGAGGCAAGAGAATGGCGTGAACCCGGGAGGTGGAGGTTGCCGTGAGCTGAGATCATGCCACCGCACTCCAGCCTGGGCAACAGAGCAAGACTCCGTCTGAAAAAAAAAAAAAGTTAACTTTTGAGTATAAAAAAATTCATAAAATGAGCATAAGGTTAGTAACGTTTCAGTCCTTTGTTTTTCTATTTTTGATAGACATTAATTAACGACTTGGATAAAAGCACTGGGCGGTATCGAGATGAAGTGAGTCTCAAGACTGCCATCATGTCCTTCATTAATGCAGTGCTCAGCCAAGGTGCAGGAGTGGTAAGAACCTTCTACAAATTAAAAATATATTAGTAAATAATAATTTATAAAAAGTGATTATTATGTAGTCTAAAAACCACAAATATGTATTTTATTGCCATTTTACTTTCAGGAGAGTTTGGACTTTAGACTTCATCTTCGCTATGAATTTCTGATGTTAGGAATTCAACCTGTAATAGATAAATTAAGGGAACACGAAAATTCAACATTAGATAGGTAAGTCAGACTATTATGATGTGAGAAAGTTTCTGTGTTTCCCATCTGTGTAATGCAATACCTCATCAAGTGCTGGCCTGTGGTTACTTGTGCCCTGTCTGTAACATAAAGAGCTTGTATCAGAATGTTAGTTCAGCTAATGATGTTTTCATAGTAAGACTTTGTTGATGAGGGAAGCAGCACATTATGTAGAGAACTTAATGTGGGTTTTAGCATTAGACCTGAATTCATATCCTATCCTAGTCCTGCCTCTTATTCCTGTGTATCCTGGTGAAGTTACTCAATTTTTCTGAATTTTGCTGTTTTTATAACTGCAAAAGATAGTGCTGGTGGTGATGATGATAATGACAGTGATTTTCCAGGAATGATGTAAAAATTGACTATAAAACCTATGGAATTACTTAGCCCCTTTGATAGGCATTCTGTGAATGTTAATTTCCACTACCTGTTCATTTCATCGTTTGCTATCATTTCACTGAGTCTAAGCTATCCCAACTTGCTTTCAGAGCTTTTCTCTACCACGGCTCTCCTCTCCTGTATATTCATATACTCCAACATGCTCTTCTTCTTGATATTCTGTGAACACTCTTGCATCAGTGCCTTTGCGCTTGCTGTTTCCTCAGCTTCAAAAGATCTTTCACAGATGTCCAAATTGTTGGTTCCCTAGTTCCCTGGAGAGAGACCTGTTCTAACCACTGTGTGTACATTATTCACCTCATCTGCCATCATTTTCTATTTCCTTTACCCTGATGTGTTTGTCTTCATAAAATGTATCCTGGGTGTGTAGAATACATAGTAGGAGCTCAATACATATGTGACTGAATAAATGAATGGCATGATCATTTCTTTTGTGATCTTTAATTCAGCTGGAAGTTAAGTGTAGGTATATGGGCATGTTTTTCCATAAAGGGAATCCATAGTGGAATCTGAACTTGATTGTTTTTAGATTTAGTTTTAATTTAATAATTGCCTACTGTATGCTAGGCATCGTAGACTTTTAAATTTTTCTCATATTGTGATCTGTTTCGCTCAGGTGATGTCTTTTTTTCTTAGAAAGAACAAAGTTGAAGCTTTCAAATTTTGTTACATTGTTCCTTTTTGAGATATCTCTGAAAAGTCAGGAAAAACCATGATATTAATGTCCTCAGTCTTATGCACCTGTGTTTATAGGATGTTCTACTTAATAACTTTTCTTTCATTATTTTTCAGGCATTTAGACTTTTTTGAAATGCTCCGAAATGAAGATGAACTAGAATTTGCCAAAAGATTTGAACTGGTACGTATGCTTACAATTATTCTGGTTTGATTC
Organism: Homo sapiens; assembly: GCF_000001405.40. Taxonomy (NCBI): domain Eukaryota; kingdom Metazoa; phylum Chordata; class Mammalia; order Primates; family Hominidae; genus Homo; species Homo sapiens. The sequence goes on from NC_000014.9 coordinate 59,325,764, forward strand.
ATCAGTTCACATTATTTCTGTCTGTAATGTGTGTTGTAGAGTCCACATGGACTTTAGGGCAACCTAAAAGCAAACTCAAAGCTCTATTTTGTTTCCTAAGTGGCAGGATTAGCTTCTGTTTGCTTTGAGTTTACTTTACACTGGGGAAACTGAGGAACTTAGATGTTTGATTTGATTTCTTTTTCCTGTGAAATAGGTTCACATAGACACAAAAAGTGCAACTCAGATGTTTGAGCTGACCAGGAAGAGGCTGACACATAGTGAAGCTTACCCGCATTTCATGTCCATCCTGCACCACTGCCTCCAAATGCCTTGTAAGTGTGTTCGTGACTCACATGTGTGCTTCTGAATGTTTGGACATTGTCCTAATGGGTTCTGGCTCCTGCACAGTGCTGATTACATTGGGTGCACACCAGGGATTCCAAGCCTTGGTTTTATGACAGCCAAGTATGTGTGTCTACATGGCTTAAAGGGTGTTACAAAATTTTTTAAATGAAACAAATTAAAATTTTGATTTTAAAAATAAAAAATATGCCTTACAACCTGTTCAGAAAGGGGTAGAGGGTACCTCTCAATCAAATAAATGATCATTGCATGTCAAAATTCCATAACTTTGGGAAGCATTGGTGCAGATGTTATAAACATCTCTGGTTTGGTGGCTTTAAAGGGTGACCACCATTGACAAATATTCATCCTAGCTTAGAAACAACTTGAAGATTTTTTTTCACTATTCTTTTCTTTTTTAGACAAGAGGAGTGGCAACACTGTTCAGTACTGGCTACTACTAGATAGAATTATACAGCAGATAGTTATCCAGAATGACAAAGGACAGGACCCTGACTCCACACCTTTGGAAAACTTTAATATTAAGAATGTCGTACGAATGTAAGTCTCTTCTTATTCTGCTGCTGTGAGATAATGGTGACAATGTAAGATATTTATTTTATCCTACTTCAGAGTAACAGCTGGGAGAGCTGAAATGTTCTAGGGGTCAAATATGAGTTACTGTACACATGCACTATAGCTAAGTAACATCTGGTCTTAAATGGGTTTCAAGCATGCACTGAGGATTTTCTCTGCAGTAGACTATTTTTGTACCTGGGGAGAATGCAGTTAGCAGTGGACCTTTTATATTTTTTGTAATAAATGCTCCTTGAACTCTTACACAGGTTGGTTAATGAAAATGAAGTTAAGCAGTGGAAAGAACAAGCGGAAAAAATGAGAAAAGGTAAATAATGAGGCCCTGATAAGAGGCTGTGTTATTGGTTATTGGGTGACCTTGATTTCCATATATTTTGGAAATTTACATTGATGTTTCTTGTTAGCTTGGTGCAGGCAGCCTTTCTTTTTCCATCTTTTAAGGGCATTTTGCACTGAGTTTCTTAAATTGAGCTATTTTAGTTGTCATACTGATTCTCAAATATTTTATCCTTTTATTATAATCATGTAAATGTTTTGAAAAGCTTATAGCATTTGCTGTTCAGTATTCCTTAAATCAAATTTTCTTAACTACTAATAATTCAAACCCTTCCCCTACTCCGTCATGGCTCTTTAAATCATACTGGGTTTTAAGAAATGTAATAAGGGACTTGAGGAATTATCCAAAATTTTAAAAGAGAAGAACAGGTCACTTGGTTTCTTTTTTTTTTTTTTTTTTTTTTTTGAGATGGAGTCTTGCTCTGTCACCCAGGCTGGAATCAGTGGCGCCATCTCGGCTCACTGCAAGTTCCACCTCCTAAGTTCACGTCATTCTCCTGCCTCAGCCTCCCGAGTAGCTGGGACTACCGGCGCCCGCCATCACATCCGGCTAATTTTTTGTATTTTTATTAGAGATGGGGTTTCACTATGTTAGTCAGGATGGTCTCAATCTCCTGACCTCGTGATCCACCCGCCTTGGCTGCCCAAAGTGCTGGGATTGCAGGCGTGAGCCACCGCGCCCGGCCTACTTGGTTTCAATAACCCAATTCTGTCCATGACCTTGATTTGGTACCAGTTATAAAAAGAGAAGTCATTCAGAAAATCAGTGACCATTGCTGAGATATGTGTTACGAAACATTAGCTGGCCAGCTATTAGTGTGTATTTGAATATGTCTTTGATATTATCTCTTAGTATCAAATGATAGGAGAGACATTTATGTCCATCAGTGTACCAGCCATACAGAGAAATGTATGTAATTTTCCTTCCTGTTTTAAAATATTAACAAATTGAAGTTGGCCTCTTTGTGGAAATAATCATACTGCCAGCTACCATGCTCTCACCATACTGGTTAACTGACTTCCTTTTCCTTGTCCAAGTTATTCACTCACAGCCAATGAAATACAATAGCATTCACCCCAATATTTAATGTGCTGAAAAGCAGGTCCCAGAGATGCCTAAGCATTTCCTTTTCTCTCATCACATTTCCACTGAGCAGAAAAGCAGGGCCATAACTGATATCAGAAAATACCAATTGTGAACTAACTACTGTTATGTTACGAGTTCCTCATATGTATTCAGATTGCTCCCAAATAAGTGACATTGCACATGCATTTTAAAAAATAAATTTCAGAAACTGCTACAAAAATGATAGAAACATTGACTAAAAATCAGGGTAAAGAGATTAAACCAAAGAGAAAATAGTCAATGAGTGGATATTTTAGGAATACACTCTAGAGCATGGAGACTCAAGTGTGCAGGTTGAGGAGAGCACTTAGGATGTAAGCTTTCGAGTCATTCATTCATTCGTTCATTCAGTGAATACCTGTTGAATGCCTGTATGTGTCAGGCACTGTGCTGAGCTCTGGGTCTGAGTCTCAGCTCTCCCCCTTTCTCACTGTGTGGATGGGCTAAGTGATTTCCTCTCTTCTCCCCCAGTCTCGACCTTTGCAACCTGAGGATTAATCCTGACTCACAGCGTGGTTGTGAAGATTAAATGACAAAACAAATATAAGATCATTAGCATAGTGTCTGGCACATACTAGTTGCACAATAAATGATAGCCACTGTTGCAGGATTTAGGTGGCTGAGATGGTACAAAAGAAAATCACCAATGTCAGTGGGAGGAACAGGTTGTTTTAGTGTTTTAAAGTGAAATGATGGGTAGAGTCTAAAAGAGGAAAGATTATAGTTAAATGTTAGTTTTTTTCTAGAAGCTTCAGGTGGCAAAATTGTATTCAAGAGGGCATATTTTGTTAAAATAGTCCAAGGGTAGAAGTGATAAGGAGACAGAAGTTCTGTGGACCTAAAATGTAGAGAATATTTGGGGAGAATTCTCTTTAGGGCAGCACACCCAGGAAGTGCTCAATAAAAGCTTAGTGACTGAATGGTAAATAGATACCATTTGTGGAGAGAGTCATTTAGGCTGGAGCTTCCCAAACCTGGCATACATCAGGATCATCTAAGCCCTGTAGTCGACCTACAAAATAGACTTCTTGGAATAGTGTCTGGGGAGTCTTGAAATGCTGAAAGTTCTCAGGTAATTCTGAGACACAGCCAGCTTCATCAAAAGCTAATGACCAGTGAGAGGAAGGCAAGTTTCTAGTCCTGAAATTGTGAAAGAAGAATGAAATGGAGATAAAAGAAGGAAAATGGGATATAGAGAGGTCATTTTTGGATGTATTTCTGGAGAAGTTAGGGAGGCAACAACAGAGTGGTAGAAGTGGATTGCTGACAAAATCCAGGGATTTTAGTGGCTTGAACTCCTCTCTGTAAACTCTAATTTGGGGGAACTCAGGAGAGAGAAGGTCAGAGACAGAGAAAACAAGAATTTAAATGTGTTAGCAAATTCAGAAATAGAGACCAGCTCTATTAGTATAGCTCGGCCCCAGTGGGTTATACCTCTAGTGGATTTATTGATATAAAAAGAATAGGAATTGGGGACATGTATTTGAAATAAAAATCCGCAGCCTAAACTTTGTTAGTTCTCTTTTCCAAAACTCATCACTCCTTTCAGCAAGCTTGTATTCATTGGCAATGTGAATATGCATTATGCTGAATTGGATGCCCTGTTTTATTATAGCAGGATTGAGGAAGTCAGTAAAACTACAGCTAAGAGTCAATATTTTTCTCCCCTGTGTTACCATGATTTTCGCGTTCTACTGACCCCACTCCCCTTAAGATATTTAATACTGAGATGATAACATTTGCTTTCATATGCCTTAATAATTGTTTACTGAAAGCATAAAATACTTCAAGTAGCCTTCTGAGGGGAGATGGGAGAAGTGATTCCATCTGGGGACAAACCCTGGGTCTGACAGCAGCTCTTCCTCACAGGTGAGACCCTCCCTTCCAGCCCTTCGGCTGGTTGGATGTGAGCTGGCAAACCTAATTCATAAAAGCTGAACTACTCTTTGTCTCACTTCTAATTTGTGAAAAGAGGCCATTTGAATATTTATTTTTTTCCTTGTATTGCTAAAGGACCATTTTAATGACAAGATTCTGAATCAACTACCAAACAGTTACCATTCTCCTCCACAAGAAGTCACTCAAACTTTTGTTCTGTGTTTAGAACTGTGAGTGTAGGCTCTCTTCTTCAGTCTCTTACGTAGTTAATAATAACATTGTTCATCCGAAGCCCACTCCAAGCACAAACATCATTTAGCCTTTGAGTTGCTCCCTTTGATGGAGAAGAGGAATAATATTTACCTAATAAAGATCCTCATAATCTCTGCCATCATCCTCAGTCAATTTTCTTTTAGAGAAAATGCTTCAGCTTTGAAGACTCTCCTGTTTTCATGTCCAATTGTTTTCTCGTGTAGAGCACAATGAGCTACAACAGAAACTGGAAAAGAAAGAACGAGAATGTGATGCTAAGACTCAAGAGAAGGAAGAGATGATGCAGACCTTAAATAAAATGAAAGAGAAACTTGAAAAGGAGACTACTGAGCATAAGCAAGTCAAGCAGCAGGTGGCGGACCTCACAGCACAGCTCCATGAGCTCAGCAGGGTGAGGTCTTCCGCTCAGCTCACGGGCAGCTGCCAAGGCCTCACTGACCCTAGAGCCCCTCACCCTTAAGTAGAGAACTTCATACTGGGGGAATAAAATCTGAAATGGCTCATGATTCATCACAATTAGGAGACTCACTCCCTCTGCTATCATGTAGGCAGCAGAGGCTGTTTGGGGGTGCATTTTTAAATACTGTACAAATCTAAGAGCAAAGGAAATTGCATTAGCTTCTTAAAGTGAAAACTGACTTCATGAAAACCAGACTGTCTGTGATGGTGCAAGAAGTGAGAGAGATATGAATGCATCCCAGACAAGTACTTGAGTGTCAGGTACAAAAGGTTGATGCACTGGAGTCCATAAAGGCCCAAAAGAGTCCATTCGACTTTACCGATCCTTTAAACATTCTCAGAAGGGTGAATTTCTCTATAATAAACATTTTAGGCCAAGTTACAGACTCTTAAATCATTCAATGAATTTACTTCTTCCATTGATCTTTCTTTTCCTATTTTTATCTTTTCAGAGGGCCGTCTGTGCTTCAATCCCAGGTGGACCCTCGCCTGGAGCACCAGGAGGGCCCTTTCCTTCCTCTGTGCCTGGATCTCTCCTTCCTCCCCCACCACCCCCACCTCTACCAGGTGGGATGCTTCCCCCTCCACCGCCTCCCCTCCCTCCAGGTGGCCCTCCTCCTCCCCCAGGGCCTCCTCCCTTAGGGGCAATCATGCCACCTCCTGGTGCTCCAATGGGCCTAGCACTGAAGAAGAAAAGCATTCCTCAGCCCACAAATGCCCTGAAATCCTTCAACTGGTCTAAACTGCCCGAGGTGAGCCATTTGTTCCAGTTTTCCCTTTAATGGATAGCATTAGCAGCTCATTGTGTTATCACTGAAAGGGAAAACAGCCCTGGCTGTTAAATGATTTCATTTTCTAATGTGGACCAAGAGTTCTCACTAGCTCAGATATTTAAGTGATAAAGCTTCTGAAATAAATGACACATTGTTTGAAACCCGTCACTTTGAGTGTCTGGTAGACTGAAAAATTTGGGATAGAAGCACTTTTTAAATAACCATCCCTGTTCTTTTTATGTATAACTGTAAACTATAGCACTTATTACATTGATGTTTCTAGAACAAACTGGAAGGAACAGTATGGACCGAAATTGATGATACAAAAGTCTTCAAAATTCTAGATCTTGAAGACCTGGAAAGAACCTTCTCTGCCTATCAAAGACAGCAGGTAACAGCATATGCCCTCCAGACACCAAAAAGGTAGAAAAATCATGTCTTATGCATGATCTCTGGCCCATCAGCCATGGCCGTGATGTGACCGGCATATGAATTCTAGGCTGTTGGATCTACCCTGTGCATGTCCGTGTCTCCGTCCAAGTGCCTGTTAGTTGTATGTGAACAGTCGAAGATATATAAGCTCCTTGTTAGGGAGTTTCATATCTGGTATATGTCTAAGACCTTGTCTCTATTGGTGTAAAGAGTTTTGTATGCTGTCACTTGTATTTAGTCAAAATGGTTCACCAGGAGAAAGTAGAAGAGTTAAGTAACTTAAATTGTCACCCCACAATGTTTGTATCTAAAGCTATTTTGGTTCATCTGAATTTTTTAAAAATACATATCAAATGGTTACCATTTGAAGCAGAATTCTTTGTGAAATGGATGGAATTTTTAGAAGTATGGAGGTTTTTAAATGACTATAATTTGGCCAGTAGATGGAACTTAGGAGTTTTTACTATATGTCATGAACAGAAGTGGGGTTGTAAAGACCGAGCAAGTGGGGAGATGGTAATGGTGCAAATAGGACCAGAGACGCTACTGAAAAGTGAGCAAAGCTTTTGTAATAGTAGCAAAAACATGTGATTTGGTGCCTGCTGGCACTCCACATTGACAAGGCATCACTATGTGAGCCCCAGTCACATCTGTGTGGTACCTCTTGTTCTTCAAGAGGGCATCGTGATACAGCCTCTTAAAGTTAGACCAGAAGAGAACACAGCAAGGTGGCCAGGTCTGGAGAGTTTCAGAAGAAAAAAGAAAAGGTGGAGTAGGATCCCAAATAATCAAAGCCTTGAGAAGAGAAAACTTGAGTCCAGTAGTGTGAGAAGAAAGATTCTTAAGTATGACTGAAGAGGTGGAATGATGGAGAGAGCAGAGTTCATCCTAAACAGGAACACACGAATGCTGGGCCTCTTACGGGGCTTTCCTTGGGCTTTACTGAGAGGCCCTTAACTCCCAGATGAATCATGGGTGGAGCATCCTTAAACAAGCAGCAGACTTCCTAGTTGGTTTCCTTGGCTTAGTCCCCAAGAAAGAGTGTATCAGAAAAGAAATACTGAGCACCAAAAGAGTAGATGGACTCAGGCTAGGGGGAGAAACAAAAACTAAGGGTTTCTTGTTTCATTTTGTTTTGTTTTTCAAAATGGCCTTTGATACATCTGAAATGGGGGGGAAAAGCCAATATTTAAATGAATATTTTTCCTTAAGAAAGGGAAAGCTTTTCTGCAATGCCTTTTATGCTACTTTAATAAAATACAAAAATAGAGGCGGTTGCCTGCCATAGTGACATGAACCCTTAAAACAGGAGCCCTCAGCTGCCCACCCCTACTGTAAGTAGAAAGGCAAACTTGGGCAATGCTATACACACCAAATAAGGGAAGATGAAAAAAACACAATGAAGATAAGGCATTGGCCAATAGAAAGCAAAACAATTTATCCTTCAAAGGACAAAAGTTGTCTTTAGAGTCCTCACGTGGCAGGGACTGTGACCAGACTCATTCCTGATTGGCTGCAACATGCTGCCTCTTTCTCTGTCTGCTGTCCTGAGAAGGTGTCTCCTTGGCCTTGACATGGAATCTTGATCCATTTTAGCAAATTTCCTGATAATTCAAATAATCTTCTAACCTGGCTACATGTCCCATTGCTTTCCCACTTCAGTTTTGATCGCTGATACTGTTCCATGCTGGTTGCCTAATATGAAGATTTGAGAACGTAGAGAAGTAAATTAAAGGAAGGAAAAGCAGCAGTTGTTCCAAATGATGCTATTCAAGTCTGAGCATGTGGGTTGCATTTATTATAAAGGCAGGTGGTTGAAAGACCTAAGTTTACAAGACTCATAATTAACTGGCTTTCAGCAGAAGGTGCAGAAGGATACTGCCAAAATGCTCTGGGACAAATATGTGGACAGTTCTCAAGAGCTCTGGGAGACAAGATTGCAGAAAGCCTAGCAATTGGGTAATTGTCTCCTAGCAACCAACACTGTTTAAGTAATCAGTATGCATTCCAGTCAGGAGAGTCCAGAACATTTCAGTTATACTTAACACTAAGTAGACCAGTAAGTAGAATCAGTTGTGACCATATTTTCAATAGCACTTCCTGGAGAAACATTTCAGCATACCTGATCAGCTTGAGTAATTCAAGTAGGTTTTCTCTTTTGGTGCAAGAATTTGAAATGAGAATTTTTTAACTGTAAATATATTTTCTAAATAAGGATAATTTGAGCCATTTTATTGAAATTACTGAATTCTGATAGAAAATCCAAAGATGTGGACACTTTAGTTGGAATATATAGGACACAGTAAAGAAAATGGGTTGCCTGTCATTAAATGTCCCCTTATCTCATGACCAATGGAAATACTCAAGACCTATGCATTTTCATTTCAGTCTTGGCAGTGCATTATATAATTCACTTGAACTGCTCTCTTTTCTACTCGCAAATGAATACTCGGGATCTATTTTTTTCCATGATGTCTCCTTTTTCCTCCCTCCAGAGTCATGACACCCTGTTCAAACTCTCTGGACTTCAGCCAGTTGTTTGGCTAGATACAATTCTCAGAGAGGCAAAGGAACATTACAAAGGTAATGGCATGAATACCATTACCTGTATGCATGCAACAGGAACCCTGCACAGAGTAAGATTTTGGAAAAATCTCAGTAGTGTCGGATTAGTATAATTTAGATGAATACTGAGAAATGACACTTAGGGGATATATACAAACATAAGTGTATATGCACACACATATATGCTTACACATATCTGCATAAAATATATCCAGTTGATGTGAGGAATCATTAAAATGAGAACTTATATTGTCTGCTTTGTATACAAAGTACTTCAAAGGATGAAAATGTGTTAAATTTTTGCACAGGCCCACAGTGTAACTTACAGTATAAAAGCAGAGATGAGAAAAAGCTGTAAATAACTATAATATGGACTACAAGATGATAATATTAAGCATCCATTACATTCCTGATGCCAAGTATGATATGCACAGTTCCCAATCTCATCAACCTTAAGATTTAGTTCTCAATGGAGCTCTTATACTTATTTTCTTCCTTAATGCTCACCCCCAACTCTATGAGTAGATATTCATATTTTATAGATAATAAAAACATGGCTTGGTGTGTATTTAGTAACTCCAAAGGGACATAATTCCCAATTTCACTTTGCTCTTCCCCATGGTTTTTACTCATTATAAATGTCAGACTTTGTATAGGATTTTCTTTCACTCCAGCTTTAAGAACAAGACTACTCCTATTCAGAATTTTTTTTCAGTGTAAATATCAAAGGTGTGCAGAGCTGATTATGTAAGCTTATGTGCCACATGAAATGGGATCTAATAGCAGGCAGTTATTTCTCCACTCACATTCCAAAAGTTCATTTGAAAGTCAATGTCTTGAATCTCAGGTCCTCTTTTTCTCATTGAAACTACATTATACATGATTTCCAGGTCAGCCACAAAAGACTGATTTAAATGGTAGCACATTGCATAGCAGTACTTTTCAGATACAATTAAACAATATTCATCTCCGTTTTATGGGAAATTTTCATCCCTAGATGCTATAAATTCATTTCTCTCTATCCATACAATTGAATAGAGGGGAAATGAGCTAAAGGCACTACATTTACCTAAAGGGAGTCATATCTCTGTAGCAACAAATTCACAGTTCACTATCTCTTCCTTCCCCCTGATCTTTGCTTGAGGACAGCCCTTCCTTAAGGATCCTATTGTCATCACATTGTAAAACTTCTCAAAGCCTCTACTCTGGGTTAGGAACAAAGAATAACGGTGGTCTCAGGCTCCAGAATCCAACCTCTCCTGCTTATATGTAATACACAAGACATTTTGGGGGCTCCATTTAGAGCATTCAATGATACCTTCTGATTTTTTATAAATTATCAAAGAATTTTCCTTTTTTATTCTCTTTACAATTTTTATTCTATAGGTATAATTTTCACATTGAAAAATGTTATGATTTAAGATATTTATTTCAGTAGGCTTGATCCTTAGCCATGGCACATGAAAACAGAAGAGAGAAATATAAATAGTGGTGTTGTTTTTTTTTTTTCTTAAGACCAAATGTAAGTTCTGTAACTGAGCTTCATGATAAGAGTTAATCAGATGTGGGGTTTTATATAAATATAGTGTTTGAATTTTCCTGGATAGAGATTCATAATTTTTACCAGATTTACAAAAGTCTCAAAAAGATTAAAAACCATTCATGTAAAAGTTATGATTATCTGTGAAGTGTTGAGTCATTATCCCATTGTGGAATTCAATCTATAGCACTATCAGCACTGCTTCCTGAAAATGCAAGTCCCAACTTCCTATTTATACTCCAAGCCCTAAGCTTTATGCCAGAAATTGCCTGGAAAAACCAGACATCCTGTTAGGTGAAGCCAAATATAAGTGATTCTACCACATTTGACCCAAGCCAATTAGAAGTATCTTTTGTTACTTCTCTCTGATTTTTCAGTGAATAAGCTTTCAAAAAGAATGTTAACCTACTTGAAATAGGCCTGGAAGCATCATTATTTCTAACATGCCCCTTTGAATGAAACTCATAAGCTTTATGATTTTATTTCTAATGTGCCAAGTAAAGGACTTTTAAAAGAAGTGGAATCTTTAGGGTAATAATTGAAGAAACTCTTGCTTGGCATTCTTCATCCTCACCTCTAGAAAGAAAATGTATTACATAGTTATTAACTATTACACTTATTGCTGATGGTGGTCACAAATTGGAGATCTTGACCAGCTGTTTTTTCAGCTCAACTGAAAGCAGAGCCAAAGGGGAATAAGTGGACTTGATCATCAGGTTGAAAGATGAAATAATTGTATTACTGTAGCTTCCAAGTACTGAGCTCATACATATGTGTCAGATACCTATGTGTCAGGTACTATACACAACGCATTACGTGATTGTCATGTTTAATCTTCACACCAATCAGTTGTTAATTAACCACATTTTACAGACAGATAGACTGAGCCCCAAGCCACACACCCGGTAAATAACAGTTGCCTGATTCCACAGGCCTCTACACTAGAGGTCAGAAGTCTTAATTTCCTGCCACTGGGAACTCATAAAATAGGATGAGTTGCCAGTGAACTTCAAAAAAGTTTCTTCTTTGAGGGTCAGACAGTAAGAGCAGAATCTCTAAGTTCAACTAGCAACTCTCTCTTTAAGAGAAAAAAAATAGGTTAAGATGACTTCATGGAGTTCACTTCGCCATAGTCTTTTTTGCCCTTGAAAGGAAACTGCTTTTACAGGAAGAGTCCTAAGGAGCTTCAGAGTAGACAACTTGGCAGTTATAACAGAGACAAAAGAAAACTGGGATATCAGAGGAGTATCCATTGTTTTTTAAATGCCATTCTAGAAAAGCAGTCCCCCCTTGTATGGCTAGAGCAAGGGGAGGACACATTCTGTTTCTCACTAGAGGAATTGTGTGAAACAGCTCATCTGTGTAAAATTGGCCTTGGCAGTGCTGCTGAGACCAGTGAGACCTTAAGGAATCTGCTGAGCAAATGCTGGTTGTGCAAGCTGTTGGCCCGAAAACTGGGGCGTGTTTTGCACACCAAAGCCTTATTCATTTCAGCATTGCAAAAATATGCAACGTATGCTGTAACTTTCTCACAGCATGTCAGTTACCTCTTCCTCGTTCCCTTTTTCATTCCAAGTCTTTTCTAAAAACTATTTCCAGAAGAGACTGTTGACCTTGTATGCTTGAACAGTCCTGGGGCAGTTAGGACAGGGCCACGAATGGCTGCACAACACACGTATCACTGATTTTCTCTTAATTGCATGTTCTTTTTCCTCATACCTACCTGTAGCACCTACAGGCATTATTTGCACTTTATAGGGGTGCTGAGGGTTAATATTACTGACTTGAGTTGTTCAACCTGTCTTTTCTCAATCCTTCCTTATAACACAAGATGACAGGAGATTATTTTCATCAAAAAAAGTTTATTTATTTATGTATTTTTGGTTTTCCTATTAACAGTAGGAATAGTTTCCTCAAGTTGATGGGATTGATTTTCTCCTGCTTCAAGTAAAATCATCATGTTGAATAAATGGAGCCAGTGGTCATTTCAAAGAGGATTTATTCCTTTCCCAGCTTGGGTCTTTCTCAGGTGTTTTAAGCCCTGTCTTTTCTGAATTTGATTTTCCACCATTGAAAATTGGGTACAGCAAATGTCATCGTCTTTCTCTACCCTGAATGCTTAGTATTGTGCTCTTCATGGTATTCAGCCAAATTTTCTCATCTTCATCAACTCTCATTGATGATCCCAGGGGCATAAATCATCTCTTACCCTACATCACTTGTTTCCTTGACTGCTTTGACTTTCCCCCATTTGTTGCTGTGACTTCTGAACTGCATATATCTGATTTGCCTTTTCCATGCCTCTGCCATGGCTGTAGGATTTCTTTGTGAACAGTAACTCCAAGCAGGTAAGTGAGCTACTACCTAAAGCTTGCTTAATATAACTCCTTGGCTCACTGTAAGCTTGAAATCTCTTCGTTATCCAGGGTTTTGTTTTTGTTTTTGTTTTTTTACATAGTGTAATCTAATGCCTAGGTAACTCCACTTTGGATTTCAACTCTTAAATGAGTATCTAGAGGTTCGCCTGAAATTTTAGCATGAGACAGTTGACATTTGATCACCTAGTGCCTCACAGTATAAATTCCATATTGCCTTTGTTTTCTAAACTGTTACACAGTTCTAGAGTTCTTTGGTTTCTTTACTTTTTTTTTAATGCTACCGTTATTGGTACAATAATTTATATAATTGTTTTTTTCCTCCTAATTCCTGAGTGGGAAATATATGAAAAAGGCTTGATGGTGTATATAAGACTTGGACTATTGTCTTCTGATAGTTATCAAGTACTTTTTATAGATTGCATAGGCTGCAGTTGAATTTAGATGCTTGATATGCTTAGTGTCTGAGCAAGCCAGATTGCAGTCACGTCACTACAAATTCATTTTCTTTTTAAGCTGCAAAAATTTAAACAGTAGTACAGACTCATGTTAAAAACAGCAGTCTGATCCAAGATTTTGTAGTTTGTAGAACTGATAATGTTAGATGTTCTCCATAAATTCACGAGGCTTAGTAGGAAAGTACGTAGAATTTTTAGAACTTAAACAGACTTTAGAGGTACTACTTTAATTCAGCCCCCTCATCAAATGAGGAAACTCTGTAGGTAAGTTGAATGAATAATTCAGCTAAGATTCTTTATCTTTGTGTAAAATGTAGATACAACTTTGCAAAAGAAAGAGCTACTTAATCAGTTTTCTTACATTTTTAAAACACTGTAACGTTTTTAATTGATTCTCACTGCTAATGAAATCAAACTTGCTATTTATCAAGTTAGCCTTGAACTTTTTATTATTACCAATACTCCTGATGCTCAGTTCACTCTAACAGTATATTATACATATTTTTGGTCTGTTCCACCTGAAATTATAACTGGCCATCATAGCTTACAGATTTCTATACAGCAACAGAATATGCAAGTAGCCTTTTATTGTTAGTTCAGGTAACTGAACTCATGCCTCAAACTGCCCCTTCCCATTGTCCATCAGGCTCTGGAGTAATGAAAGTTACCATCTGGCTTTGGGAGCTTCCTGTTGTACATGAAGATGTTTGGGAGGTTTTATCGTTTAGCTTTTTTGAGTGCTCACAATGCAGATGGTTCTGGGGTGAATGGGCCTTGCAAGTGGCTGGACCGGCAATGGCAAGCCTCAGCTGAGCCTGATTCATAGTGACAGTTCTTCTGTCTGCAATCCATAGGAATTTGGGGGACAAAAGGAGGGCACCACTCACTGATAATTTATGCACACTTAGCATCTTCAACTTAGAAGCACTTTGTTCTTCCAAATAATGCTTTTTCAAATGTGGGTGGTCAGCTTTTCTTATTATTTCCCTTTACCAACTAGACTGTAGCCTTTGTTTCAATTCCATCATTCTCCACACTTCCCACCATTTCAGCCTTGCCCATGTGTATACGAGTGTGTGTATGTGTATATGAACAACAATGTAAAGGAAAGTGTGTATCTGAAGTCTGAATGTCCCTGTTGGACTTTGATGGATTTCTTTCATGCTCTTTACAGAAAGAAGCAGATGCCATTGATGACACTCTGAGTTCCAAACTTAAAGTTAAAGAGCTTTCGGTGATTGATGGTCGGAGAGCTCAGAATTGCAACATCCTTCTATCGAGGTATTGTTGATGTTGAATAAACATTTCTAGTAGGACCAACATTTCCATTCTGTGGCTCAAAACCACATGTTAGTGATTTTGTTTTAATTGTACTCTGCTGAGGTACAGTTCTTTGGATCCCCTTCTGTTAAAATGAGAACAGCTCTTGGTGCTTACTTTCCCTAGTGGAACATATCAGAGCTGGATGCCTTCTTTCTCAAAGTTTAATTTCCACAGACCTCTAAATGTAAAGGCAGAACACCCTGAGTCAATCTTTTCTTCCCAGAAAGCCTGTAACATCGACTTGACTTTTATTTACACTTCTTGGCCTTAGAGATATTTTGGTCATTTAGTAGCATTGTCACAGAATCAGGACCAACAGATGAAGGCTCTTTGTTTTATTTTGCTTTCTAATGTCACCTTTTTTCATTTCAAGGTTATATGATTTCATGTTCTTTTTGAGCATTTTTATAGCTAAAAGGATATGTAAATCTCAAACCTCCGTGAAAAGCTAATTTATCCAGTTCAGCCCTGTTCAGAAATCTTTCTCATAATTAGTGAACCATCACAGCCTTGGAACTTGAAAAGAAGAAAGGAAATTTGGGAGCCTGGAATCTGATTGCAACTTCGGGCAATGTTGTCAGGTTTTTCTGGGCATTTCAAATAGCTTTTCTGTATCTAGTTTCTTCTTTTCTGTAAAAGGAACTTTCACATTAGGCAAAGATACCTAATGCTTATGGAGTGAGTGAAGATGTAAAGAATCCCGAGTTTGGGGCTTTAAAGATAAGTTACATTCTGGAAGGAATGTTGTATATGCATTGAGGCTGGTATAAGGTGACTTCTTTTTCAGGGACTATGAAGAGAGGGAAAGTAGTAGTCCTTATTATTTAGATGTTCTTAGAATGAATTTCTTTTAACACAAAGAGCTAGTGCTTGGTTTTCATGGAAGTTGATTCTTAGCCAGATATGTATTACTTCAGGGAGCAAATGTTTCTTTTAATGAAGAGAAATTTAACCTTAGTGAGATCTTTGAATTGTAATGCAACTAGTAAGGTAACCTGAACCATCCTGTTAACATTTTACTTCTGCCTCTGGCTGAAAGCTGTGTAAATGGCCGTACCCTGTGTTTATTCTGACTTTTGTTCCATGAACTATGCTCAGGTTAAATAAAATATCTATCTGCCTCAGGAAGCCACCACTTAAAATAACTTGAAGGTCTACTTATTTTTCTTCTACAGTAGTCCCCCCCTTATCCACAGTTTCACTTTCTGCGTTTTCAGTTACTCACGGTCCAGTACAACAAGATATTTGGAGGTAAACTGCATTCACATAACTTTTATTACAATATATTGTTTTAATTGTTCTATTTTATTTTTAGTTATTGTTGATCTCTCACTGTGCCTGATTTATAAATTAAACTTTACCCTAGGTATGTATGTATAGACAAAAAAAACATAGTCTATGTAAGGATCAATACTATCCACAGTTTCAGGCATCCACTGGGGGTCATGGAACATATTCCCCTCCAATAAGGGAAGACTGCTGTACAGTGTAAACAATTTGTTTTGTTACCTTTTTATAAGTAGTATTCCTAGTAGCAAAATTAAATTAACTTGGGGAAAGTTGTGGAGTTTTTTTTACATCCTAGAATTTCTCTCTATATTTTATGCTTGTGCCATCCAGATGAATGCTTTAAAACACTTGGTGAAGGGAGCTGTCACAGAATTTCTATAGTGTTGAAATGCCTTTAGAGTAAAAACTGTGACCTCGTTCCTTATTGACAGATTATTCAGTAGTACTAAGTACCAACCAGGGTAATTACACTAGATATAGATAAGGTTACATCTCTTTCTGGCAAATTTCCCATTCTGTTATTGAGGGAATTAGTTCATATTTGTGGTATGTAAATTCCCTTGTTGCCCTAGGCCCTGACACTTTTGAGGTGACTTAGAACTTGAATGTATCTAAACTCTCTTAAGACAGTTTTAAGAACTGGCCTCGTATCTGTCAGATTATCAATTAAAATCCAGTTTAGTGTATAAGTATTATTACAGTGAGCACAATTTAAAAGTGTGTGTGACAAAGTAATTTTGAGTCCCGTTTGACCTGCTGGCCATTGGGCTGCATTGATAAGGATCTGAAGCCCTCTCTCCCATGGATGATTCAGTGCCCCGTCCTTTTGTGCTCACTGGTCAGTTGTTTTACTCTCTCATCAGGAAAGCACAGAATGACATGTTAAATGTGGTACAAGTGAAAAAATTAGGCAGATTTAATTATAATTTGTATTTTATTTAGTTTTTTAACCAATCAGCAGTTTACTTTTCATTCTTCCTTTTTTGTTGGCAATTTATTACTATGCACAAAAGGAGCTGGGGACATAAAAGGAGAAAGAAGTAGGAAAACGTGTTCAATACTTTTTCTCTTAGTCACCACTTTGGAGCATTTTTTTGCCCAGCACCGTGCTGAGTGCCATAGGACATACCAAAAGTTAAGATAACGTTGCTGCCTTTGAAAGCACATGGCTAATTGGAGAAGAAAAATGACACCTGTGAGAAGATTTGTGCGCAGTTCAGGGCTTACACTGGTCTGACTGAAGGACATGGAGCCCGGCCATGTAGGAGGGGCACCAGCAGGGCTTATTGTAGAAAGTAGGCCTCAAAGGCAAAGACTGTTATATGACAAGAGGAGGGGCCGGGAAGGTGGTGTCAAGGAGGCGTGCAGCAGCAAAGATGTGGGAGGGACATAAGCACAGTTAGTAGAGAGCCCTGCAATCCCGGCAGAAAATTATCAATTGGATTGAATGAAACCAGGCAGGAGAGCCCGAAATTCAGGCATTGTGCATTTATAAGGGCATGAGTCAGCCCAGAATCACATCATAACCTCCTCATCTATAAAATGAAGATCATGAGGGTAGCAGCCCTGCAGCGGCTTGTGAGAATTCCTCCTAGGATGTGTGCAGCCCTGGGAAGGGTGCCTGCATGGGAGCTGCCCAGTCAGTGTCCTATTTATGTATCCATGGGATCAGAACTGGTGCCTTTTGTTCAGTAGGAGGACACTGTGTGTTTGTTTAATAAGGTTTTTTAGTTTGGTCTTTTGGTTTCGCAGGACAGGTTAGAAGGGGTTAACAGCTGGACCAGGGCAGCCATCAGATAAGGGCCTCTGTTGTCCAGGTGAGACCTGATGACTAAGGACAGCCTGGAGAGAGATGAAGAAGCCCTTGAAGGCTGATTTTATGCTTGGGGACAATGAATAGGAATGTTTCTATGTCAGCATTTCCTACCTTCTCACACTTACTATCTTTCTTTCCTGATTATTTCATTCCCAGAGACTGGTGAACTTCTCTATTTCTTATCTTGCTGTCTAGGATTTATCTCCTGGCAATGCCATCATTACACCAAAGTTCACCACAGTGAAAGCCTGTGGCGTATTCCATGGGCTGTATTTTAATGAACACTTGTGTTCACAGTATTTAAGATTATACCTTAAAGGTCTTCTTCATATTTTACAAATGTCAGTGGACCTTTTGGTCAGGGGCACCTGCCACAGCTTTCTCTGGAGCCAAGCAGGCAGTTGGAAAGAGGCCAAGGCAGGGAGGAGGTGCCAGCACTCCCCATGCCTGAGTGAGTAGGATATTTGCAGCATGAGTGACCAAATCATTCGAAGCTCTCAGAAAGAGATGGCCTAAAAGGTGTGCATTTGAATGGGGAGCTCCAGGGCACCAGGGACCATACCTTTCATGGGAAGAGAGTAGAATGGGCACGTCTTAGAGACGTTCCTCAGGTCCTCAGGGAATAAGCAACTTTTCTACTGGTATGTGTGCATGGGTGACATGTAGCAATTTAAAATTTACTCTGTTTTATTCCCCAAAACAGACCTCGCTGCCAAAGGCCTGGGGGTGGCAGCGGGGGAGACAGAAACTTGGAAGCAGGTTTATATTGCAAAATGAACCCACCTGAAACACAGTTTTATGAAGTGTTCTGCCGTTCTTTTTTTCCAGATGCTCACTTAGCACAGCAGCCTGGGTGTAGTAAACCACAAAAAGCTACTCTAAAGTAGGGGGATTTGGCCTAAATCCACTGAAGCAGAGCTAAGGCTGATCTAGCCATCCATCCTTAACTTATTTTAATTACGCCTGGATGTTCCAATTCTCTTGGCAAATTTTTGAAATACTTGAGTAGAGCAACCTGGAGTTTTGAATACTGTTTTAAGATGGCTGGTTTGTTTCCTGCCTTGTAAAGAAAGTTGGAGTAGATATCTCAAAAGTTGCCACCCTCTGGCACTTCAGAACACTGCCAAGCTTTAAAAGCAATTAATTACAGAGATTAGAGACTGATTCTGTGGATGACAGATGATACTAAGAACTCTGCAACCTATAGAACCATCCCTGAGGGCGGGGTACCTTTCTCCCCTTTCCCTTAAGGTAGGGTTTCTTTGATCCAACAGGACGCGTGCATAGCATTATGTTGACAGGTAGATTTTCTTAAGTGCTAGCCATTAAAGTCTCCAGTCTCTTTGTGGGCCACATTAAGAGAAACCAAAATTGTTTTGAATTAGAGCTAGTGTTTAGTCCAGACAGCCTCTGGGGGTTGAGGAGCATAAATATATACAATTTCAAAAGCAAGAAGTTCTGTGCTCCATATGGGGAGCTAATGAAATGCAAATCTGATACTTCAAGTATTGTTCTCGCTCTGATTTTCAACTCCTTTTCTTTTAAATGCAAAACAGAAGGACTCAGCAGAACTACACCATAAAATGGTTTCTTCAACTCGGTGTGAAAAGGACACAGAACTAATTTTTTTTTTTTCTTACAAGCAGAGCTCTCCTCATGATTATAGATGTTTTCACAGCCAGTTGGTTTTCATTAGTGGCAGTTTCAGCCCTCCCTATTGTTACTGTTCCTTGGCCTTGCATGGCCACACAATGGTGTTTGGACTTAAATTGACTCAAGGGCCTCTAGTGTCCTGGAGTCTAAGGCTACCCAGTTGAGGCCCTGATGCTGCGAGTCGGTTTTTCCCTGTTGTATACTTTACCCATGCCAACTTAGCTAAATTGTTCCATTTAAGTAGGGGGAATTTTCTAACGCGATATTCTGGGAACATGTTCATGAGGCAATGATTGTCCCAAGAATGACGAAAACCATCTGAAGAAGTCTGCCAGGACAAGGGCTGCTGTAACGGCGTAGGGGTTATAATGGCAACACAGCTCACATAAGGTGATAGAACGGGCCTTATTTGTCAGCTTAAACAATTTTGCATTTTGTCTAGATGC
This sequence comes from Homo sapiens, assembly GCF_000001405.40. NCBI lineage: Eukaryota > Metazoa > Chordata > Mammalia > Primates > Hominidae > Homo > Homo sapiens. Next base: position 59,345,428 of record NC_000014.9, read on the forward strand.
TTTATTTGGGTTTGAGAACATGAAATAGAAGAGAATGGTATGAGTACAGTAGGATTCCCAAATTTTTTCCTTCTCTTCCCTACTTAATGGCACATGAAATAACATTCAGTTTAAATAGCAAGGTGGATGGTTTTAACATAATCGGGTCCCAAATCTAGAGAAAAAGACAAGCCAGAGGCATCCTTGGTGGGGTGCCTCATCCAGCTTCACCTGGGGCTTCTCTTCTTTGCTGCCTTTGAGTGCGCGCTTTCAGTTGTTCAGCCCTCACCTTCATCTGCAAGCCCATGGGTGAGTGTGTGCTTTACACACCTTTGTGTCTTGAGGATTTCAGCATATCATCTGGTTCTCCCAATGACTGTAATCACTGTTAAAATAAGGACCTCATCTTCTATTTCCTTCTTAGTACTCCCAGGCCTCATGGGTGTCATACACAGAGAGGAAACACTGGTGAAATAGTGGGTATGACAGTGCTTTGGAAAGTGATCATAATTACCATACTAAGCACTGTTTAATGGGTTCTTAGCTGCATATGACCATTAAGGATACAAAGGTACTGCTACTTTGTTTTTCTAGTATAAAAAAGTCTGCCTTGCAGAACGTACATATAGTTTACTGTGTTCTTTCTATGGCCAGGAACTTTGCTAAGCACTTTACGTGCATTCATTTGCTTAATCCTCATGTGCACACATACAAACACAATCCCTTTTTTTTGGGGGGGGGGGGGTGCCTGGAGGGATGCAGTTATGTAGTTATTACTATCCTTGTTTTACAGATGAGGAAAGTGAGGCTTTATAAAAAATTTTTTGCTCTAGTCACACTGACCAGGAAGTATCGGAGACAGGACTGGGGCCCAGCCTGTCTTACACCAAAGCCCCTACTTCAAAAGTTGCATGTGACATGTGTACAGCTTGCTCTATATTTGTGTGTTTACATCTTTATCTCCAGTCCTAAATATGATGCTTTTTCAAGAGCATAGACTAAAAGAACAAATCAAGTCATGTTAATACGCCACATTAGTTATAGGTTGTAAGGAAGTAAGATTTTTAAAATAAGTCTAGACCAGGCATGGTGACTCATGCCTGTAATCCCAGCACTTTGGGAGGGTAAGGTGGGAGGATTACTTGAGGCCAGGAATTCAAGACCAACCTGGGCAGCATAGTGAGACCCCATTTCCATCAAAGAAAAGGAAAAGTCTGGGTCTAATGCTTACAAATTAAACAAAGGAGTGAGTCTCTTGTTGCAGCTAATAATGTGATCAAGATTTTTTTCCCCTGGGTAAGACTATTGTTATATCTAATAAAAATACATTTTAACATTATATTTTATATTTTACAGTCAATACTTTGTTGTTCTGACAATCAAGACACATATTCCTGATTAAATTAGTAAATCATTTATGTTGATGGTAGACAGAAAAAGAGAAAACAGATTTGTATTTTTGCTTAAATCCTTCCCTATGAGACATTAACTAGATAAGGAATATTTGTATAAAGAGTTTGAGATTAGCAATCAAGAGTCGTGGGTTTGTGGTTACTGTCGTTTTTTATGTCTGACCTCGGACAAATCACTTGGCCATTCTGGGCCCCAGTTTCTCCATCTATTAAAAAAAAGCCTTAACTATGAAGTACTTGCAGATTTTACTTTGCATATTATCTGTTGCTCAACTTTTTAACAATAACATGTAGTTTCTAAACTTCTCAAAATCCATTCTTTACTTGATAGCAAACTTTAAACACTCCTGACGTATAAACAGGTCAGAAACTTAATTCTGTCCTCCCGCCTGCAGTTCATGGATCCTAAATGTGAAAGAAAACAATTGTGTATGGGTATTTTCCCTAATTCTAATCTTCCAATCCCTTGCTTAAGGAAACTAAATCATAGAACATAGCAGCTTTGTCCTCTGTGTCAGCAGAGCATTACAAAGCCCTGAAAGAATGTTAAAGCAGTTTTAAAGTCCTATTTTTAGGTGCAATATTGTCAGGAAATAAGCTTTCACTGAGAGATTTTGAGAAAAAAGTACTTGAAAATCAGCAGCTGGGGTAGCAAAGTGAATTATGTTAAATTTTAATACTCAAACCAATATGGTTAATAACAAAATATTCTTTCTCCAGGTTGAAATTATCCAATGACGAAATCAAACGGGCAATTCTAACAATGGACGAACAGGAAGATCTGCCCAAGGACATGTTGGAACAGGTGAGCTACCAGATGTATCTGAGAGCAGAAGTGAAAAGCGACCATCAACAGGGAGAGGGATGTTGAGAACATCCGGTTGTTGCTAGTGGATCATTTCCTCATCTATGAATTGAGGAGGCTGAACCAAGTTCCCATGTGACTCTGTTAGGAAACTTAATGACCTTATTCTCTCATTGCCTCCCAAACTGATGGGTGAGAAAGAAGATCAAGTTTGTCAAATGCCTGGGACCCACAGCATCCCTCAAGCTGCAATTAAGTCATTATACCTCAGTAAATCATATAAATCTAGCTCTAGAAGAAAATCTGTGTTTCACAGGAATATCGAGAATCTCACTAGCACTGTGAGATTGCAAACCATACTACAAAAACTGATTCATTACTAAACTCTAAATGTAATTTGTGTCTTGGTCACCAGACCCACAACCATGAAAATGACCTTTAAACCCCTAACACTGTCATCTGTATCTAAATACACATACGTGTCACAAGACAGGTTGTAAATGTCTTGGGGCTAAGTCTTAACCTCCGTACATTGTACAGCCCCCTCTTGTGTCATAAATAGCAGTAAATTTAAATGCCAGGGGTAGCAAGAATGGGATTTACACCCAGTCAGATTACATCTTTGCCCATGGTATCTTGTTATAATTTTTATTATCCATGACCAAGCAGCCAGTATTTCTATAGCATTTCTTTGTAGCCTCTCCAACGGGATCATGGGCTGTTTGGCATCTTTGTCTGGTTGTCCCCAAATAACAATGTTGTTGATCTCGCACATATTCTAGGGATTTTCACCTGTCTCTGCCCCCTGCCCCTTGGTCTGGGCCTTAACTTTTCTGTGCTCTGTGGTGATAGTCTCTGAATGCTATAAGATCGTTCCATCCTTCTGTCTCATTGTTTTGGGGATGGGCTCACATTTTGAGTGGTTTTGGTCAATAAGTCCACGTTTGTTAGAGCCAGGTCTACCTAAGGTCAGCTGTGGGCACAAGCAACTATGATTCTAGACTGAACTCCAGGTTGCATCTGTAGGTGTGCCCTGTTCCAAGAGCAGAGAATAAGGGTATTTTGTGTTGTTAACAGTAATCCTGAGTGGTGAAGTTGCTCTGGGTAGAGTGCCTGTCTGTTTGCACGTGTGTTTTCCATGGTTCTCACTGATGTCCTCGAAGGTCTCAGACACCATGCAGGGAGGAATGATGTTTGCAGAGTCACTCCCTAATGGACCAGCCCCGCCCCTGCAACCTCTGCGGCTGGAATAGTCCTGGGGGAAATCCCTCACATTTGCCATGGAGAAACTCTTCATGCTGTCCTTTAAAGGTTTTATTTAATTATCAAAATAGTTAATGATTATGTTCTCAAGTCTCTTGGGGTTCTCTGTGTATGAACGGTTTAAAAGTATCTCCTGAACCCAAAATTTATTTTGAGAGCATTTTCTAGCTCCTTCACGTACCCTTCCCTCCCTTGCTGTAGACCAGTCACACAGAGTCTTTGCTCTGGGACAGTGGAGGTCTAGGCAGTGCTCTGCCCCTCCCAGGTGACCCTGCCTTCGAGTTGCTGCACCCAATGTGGTAACCCAAAGTGAAGGACTATGTGTAAAGCCACTTTAGTCCTCCTGCCTTCAGCTCCTATTGACAAGGTTGTATGTTTTAAAATTCCACAAGATCTGTTTACTGTGGAATTGCATCCAGCAAAATTCCTCCTTGAGGGAAAGGATTTCAAAATCTTGCCAAAAGGGCCTGCAGTGCAAATAGAGTGTGCTTCAAATAAATGCAAGAAATAAAACCAGTCTACTGAAGCAGAATCTGGACAAGTAGGATATTTTTTGACCTGGCCTGTCCTGATAATTCTGTGTGTGTCTTGCTCTCTGGTCATCTCCCACGCTCTTTCTTTTCCTCCCCATTTTACTATTTGTTCTTTACTTCCGTTTCCTCTATACAACACTCTTCCCAGACAAGTGTTGATGCCAGCATTTCCTTACTCCGATTTAGGATGTGCCTGGTGGCTGCTTTCATCCCCTCCTCTCTTGCTGCTTGCAGCTGCTGAGCTCTGATCTCAGATGAGAGAGAGAGCTATACGCTCTTCTTCCTCGGAACACATATCTTTATCCTTATTCCCAGATATTTGCTTGACTCCTGATCCTCTCTTAAAACTACCCACGCACAGTCCTTTACACAACTCTCCTTTGAGAGGGGACTGAGTTTTTAGTGTGGCTCCTACTGTGCACTTTTAGGTAACAAAAGAGATGTAGTGACTGTGTTATTCTGAACAGGGGACAAGTGGGCTCAGCACAAGTTTGCAGGGAGAGAGGGGACTGAGCAAATTAGTGAAAGGATCCTTGAGGCTAGAACTCAGTTTCCTTGCCCAATGGGTAAAAATCCAAGCTGAGGGAGGCTGGGGTGATGCTTTCCTCTCTCTTTTTCTTCCCTTCTTCTTGCCTTCCTCCCTTACTTCCCTGCACTGAGAAAGAACAAGATACATCCTGAACAGTGTCACCGTTTGAACTCAGGAACAGAAATGCCTAGAAGCTATCAGGCCCCCAGACCTATGAACTCCCTGGCATCTACTTCTGTCTTCCCCCACTTCCGTCCCATTAGGATGGAGGGGATGTCTCTTCCCTTCGCTCTGGCCCCATTCCTTTCTTCTAGTCAGGACCCCAGCTGGATTGACTGCCCCCTTCTCTATATCTGCAACCTCGCCCTCTCTACTCTTAGCTCATTCAAGTGTCAGCCTTTAGCACATAAACACACCCCTACATACAGCATCTGCACACATATACCACACATACACACCTACACACAGTGTGCATACACCCCTGCATGCACACCCTCATGCACACGCCCCTTACACACACACACACACACACGTCTTATGCACATGCCCCTCTCAAGACTCCACATCCCCATCTAGCTACTGTCTTCTCTCTGATGCAGCCAGAGTCTTGAAAGCCATCCACGCTCACTTTCTACCCACTCTGCTGCACTGTCCTCCTCCCCTCCCTAGAGCTCTTCTCAGGGGCACTTGCAACTTCCCTGTTGCCGGAGCCAGGGGACACTGCGGGGCCCTCATTTTTCTTAGTTTCTTGGGGGTGTTGGCACCCATGGCTGCATGCTGAAATGCTGTCTTCCCATGGCCCTGTGAGCCACGCAGGCCTCTCTGGCTGCATCTCCTTGGCCTCCTTTTGAAGGTTTTTCCTTTTCTTGTCCTGGCGCCTTGAATGCTGGTTCTCTTCAGCCCTGCTTTTTTTCTCTTGATGGCACCTCTTCTAATCTCACTGACACCTGTGCCTTCAGTAACCTACCTGTTAAAACCAATGCCATGCTTCAGCTTCCAAACACATCTTCCTAGGGCTTCAGACCCATTTGTCCAGCTGCCTACTAGAAATCATTACTTGCTTCCATGCAAACATTTTGAACATTAAACTCACCTTCTCCTCCCCATCCCGGCCCACCCTACCTCCAGCCTTCTCTTCCTTCAATTCATGTTCCCTGTTATGTTGTTGCCTAAGCCAGAAGCCCAGGCGTCATCTTTGACTCTTCCTCTCTCATATACCACAATCCATCAAGTCAAGCCAGTTCCATTTTAGTCTCATAAATAGCTCTAGAATCTGTCCACTAGCTCCACCCTATCCAGGCCACCATCATCTCTCACCTAGATTACTTACTATACCACTATCTAATCATTTTTAATCTCTTCTAATTCTTTTTCCATCCTGCAAGCACGGCAATTTTTTAAAAAAACGTAAACTCACTCTCCTACGTGAGATTTTTAAGGTATGTCCCAGTGCCCTCAAAGTAAAGACAGAACTTCTTATAAGGCCTTGCTACTCCCTGCCTTTGCCTACCCTGCCCTGCCCTCTCCCACTGATGTTACCACTGCCCTTCCACCTGCATAAGTGCTGTGCTGCCCGTTCCAGACCCCGGCACATAGTATACACTCTGCCTGGAATGTATTCCAGCCTCACACAACACCTGCCTGTAATTCCAATTCCCTCTCTCTGCTGATGACACCCAGACTAACTGCCTTTTCTGAGGTCCCTCAGTTAAATCCAACAAACATTTGAAAACCTACTAAATGGATCGTCTAATTCCAGCATCAAATTCTGGGGAGAGCCTCAAAGTCAAGAAGGTCAATGTTTTAAAAAAAAAAAAAAGTTAAGGGCATTTGATCTAGAAAACAGCATGAGTCCACAGGTCTTGCATACACATCCAAAACGTGTGTACCTTGAAAGGAAATCAGACACGTACAGAAGCACTGTTTCAGTTTTAAATATTTTACTATTTCTTCCACATCCCATGCTCATTTCTTCCTTCAAAATAAAATACGAAATTAAAAACATCAAATCCCACTGTGTTCCTCTCACCCAGCTCTGCATGGAAGGGGAAAAAAAAAGATTGAATTAGATAAACCAGAAAAATAAGAAAATGGAATGGAAACTACAAATGGAATTATTCATTCCAGCATGATGTAACAGAAAAAGGCACAGAGCTGGGAGTCAAGAGACCTAGGTTCTATTTCTAATCACTACCCACACTTGCTTTGTAATCCTGGGTGAGTGGCTTACTCTCCCTGGACCTCAGTTGTATCATATTCTGATGAGAGCATTGACTCCCTAAGGTCCTTCTAGTGGTCTGTGAAAAAGAGGTTCCAGTAGAGAACTCCCACAATTCTGATTTGAGAGGCAGTAGAGAACAGAAAGGTGCCAGGAATGAATCTTATACCCATTTAACTACTTCCAAGTAAAAATGAAAAGATTTAATCATTTCTATTGTATCTTAACCTGTGAGCAGAGCTTATACACTCAACAAGAGTTAACATTTTATCTTGGGACAGATTAACTGAAAGGGTGAAAAATTACTACATGGATTTAAGTGATAAACCTCAGTTTTAATATTCGTGTGTACTTTTCAGCTCTTGAAATTTGTTCCTGAAAAAAGTGACATTGACCTATTGGAGGAACATAAACACGAACTGGATCGGATGGCCAAGGCTGATAGGTTCCTTTTTGAGATGAGCCGGTGAGTTTGAAAATGCTGGGAATGTGAAGATGTCACTTCCCTTTCTAAGCTTCATGAATTTTCAATTCATGTTGAATTGTTTGGGCCAATTAACCTGGCTTAACTTGAAAGCTTTTTCATTCTAAAAATCTTCTCAAGTCTGAGTGATGTGGAATTTGTTCTGTTTATGTCACTTCTTGTCTATGGATGAGCCACGGTGAGGGTTTTTTCACAATTATCTCTATTTCTGGGCCCCTTTGGCCTTATCAAGTAATAACTTTTCTTGATTCCAGTCAGTATCATTCTCCTCACCAGTCTGATTTCTTGGGATAGTGTCTCATACTTCCAAGTAGCTTAGCATGGCAAGGTGGTTGTAAAACAAAAAAAAAAAAAAGAAAAAAAAATATATGGACAGACTCTGACAATGTCAGCCTCAAGCCCCCATAACTGAACAACCAGGGTCTAGATGTCAGATCATGACACATGCAGACATCACTAATCAATCATGGCACTCTTCCCACGGAGCCTTGGCAAGCTCTCTGAACCCTTCTCCAGAAAGCCCTGAGGCAGCCACAGCTTCGTAATTGGGTTTGGCATATGAGCTAAGTCGATCTGCTATCTCAGGCCTAGAAAATTGATTCCTCATTAGAGAAGGACCAGTGGTCCTGAAACTTTCAGTGAACCTCAGGGCACAGTTTTCTCCTTTAGGGGTGTAGAGAGGGTGCTCACTATGAAGACAGAGGGAGGTTTGCAGATGGGAGTGAGGAGAGGACAATGTGGGAAGCGGATGTTGGAGACCAGTTTTTACTTTGGAAAGTAAAATGGAAAGTTAAGAAATTTGGAATTTGGGAGAAGTGTACGGAACTGTCCTTTATTTGCAGTAGGGTATTCTTTACATTTTCATTCCCTTTTATCTCTTCTATGCTCAAAAGAGTTCCTGGGACTCTGAGGGAGGAGAGATGCGCTTCAGTCAACAGCAGCAGCAGCAGGCTCCCACTTTCTTTTAGCAGTTGCCTTGATGGGCGCTAAGGACTCTGCTGCAGTTGGCCAAGTAGCCCCTGTAGGTCAGACCAAAATGGGCTCTCCAGGCAAAGCTGGCTTAATGTCCTGTGTTCCTGTCCATGAGAACAACTAATGTATGTGTGTCGGGGGAGTGGGTGGGTATTGGGGGAGGTGCTTCTAGGTACCTCCACCTCCATATCTGTTATTAAGTGAACCTAGATATATTAAATGAATATCAATTAGTACATGTTTGCTCTTACAGAATTAATCACTATCAGCAAAGGTTGCAATCGCTGTACTTCAAAAAGAAGTTTGCAGAGCGTGTGGCAGAAGTGAAACCTAAAGTGGAAGGTAAAGTCAAGCTGTCTAGATTGGAAATGATGTTCATCATTACAACCCATTTAAAAGTGCAATCCAAGTGCATATAGTAAACAAGATCCCCTTGGTGATTTTTTTTTTTTTTTTGAGACGGAGTCTTGCACAGTTGCCCAGGCTGGAGTGCAGTAGCGCGATCTTGGCTCAGTGCAAGCTCCGCCTCCCAGGTTCATGCCATTCTCCTGCCTCAGCTTCCTGAGTAGCTGGGACTACAGGTGCCTGCCACCACGCCTGGCTAATTTTTTGTACTTTTAGTAGAGACGGGGTTTCACCACGTTAGCCAGGATGGTCTCAATCTCCTGACCTCGTGATCTGCCCACCTTGGCCTCCCAAAGTGCTGGGATTACAGGCGTGAGCCACTGCGCCTGGCCTGGTGATTTTTTATTTTATTTTTTGGCTCAAGGTCTTTCTTTTAAAATTCTGAGGGGTGATTACTTAAGGTCAGTGCTTGATGCACTGCCCTAGTCTCGGAGCTCACAGCACGCCTCCTGGGCTCCTCTACAGGGTTGGGCTTTTGACTACGAGGGTGTTGGTGAGGAGTTAATCTCACTGCTACTAGCATTAAACCTGTAATTAGCTTCCTCACAACAGAGCCTTAGTAGCTTTTTTAAAGGGAAGATTTGAGGCTGTTGTATGGTTTGATTTTTAAAATTTGTAAATGTTTGAAATGTGGGCAAGGCAACTGAAGAGCACAGCCACGGAACGCAGGCTGGAATCAGGCATCTGCCTAAGCTCTGATCCCTGTTATGACACCTGCAAGCTATGACATGTAACACATTTAACTAGTTTTCTGTCAGTGGAATTGATCAATACTCCTGTTAACCTGACTCACACCAGACAAGTAAGTGTTTGTAAAGAAATCTTGGAGATGGGATTGCTATTCTAGATATTCCTCAGTGCTTATGACTGATGAGTCAGCCAAGAAAGGCCTGAGAAAGGATAGGATTTTGCAGCTGTCTATGGGTGTTGGTAACAACTTGAGTTGGCTCTCCCTGTCCTTGTTCTTTGCTTCTGGTGTAAGCGTTTTGAAAGTGCTCTTGGTAACCCAATAACTCAGTCTTACATCTTCAATATCTGTTATTAAGTGTGTGAATTTAGAATGGGTATCACTGAAACATCTTGATTTCAAACAACGAAACACTTGGTAATCATGTTTTTATGTGTTTTGTTTTGAAGCAATTCGTTCTGGCTCAGAAGAGGTGTTTAGGAGTGGTGCCCTCAAGCAGTTGCTGGAGGTGGTTTTGGCATTTGGAAATTATATGAATAAAGGTCAAAGAGGGAATGCATATGGATTCAAGATATCTAGCCTAAACAAAATTGCTGACACAAAATCCAGCATCGACAAGTAAGTATGAGATCTTCCAACACTTGGGGGAGCCAGGTGTGTAGGTCCAGGCTCAGATTTATGCCTCTCTGGTCCTCCTCAGCCTTCATGACACTGCATTCTTCAGTTGGAACTTCTCTTTCTCACTACTTTCTTCCCTTCTCTGACATTGACTCTTCTCTAAACCTCTCTCATGACCGCAGGCATCTCCCACATTCCTGTTGGACCAATTATCCTTCATCCATTTTTGGTCCACTGGGACATCATCTGTTCTAAGTTTTGCTGTTGTTTTTGTTTTGTCCTGCCTTTTTAAAAAATTATTTTTTGTAAACTTTTTATTATAATATACTAAGAAGAGGTCAGTCATCACAAATGCTGGGCTTGATAATTTTTCACAAATTAAACACACCTGCATAACCAGCGCCCAGATCAAGGACAGAATGTTACCAGCACTCGACATCTCCCCATGACCCCTCTACAGAAAACTGTGTTCCACAGAAAAGAAAAAAACCGATAGTTGGTGTTAGAATATGAAGCTTTTGGGGTTTTTAGGTTGTGTTTTTATTTATACAGTGGAGGTAGCAACTATATTAAAAACTTATGTATAAATGCATTTTGGCTATTGATACTTAGTTGCTCATTGCAGGTCTCATTAAAATGCTTCCTAGAAAGTGTTCAATGCTGCATTTTAGGTGAACAGATTCTCATTAAAGACACCAAGATGTGAAAACGTTCTTGTGTCATTAACAGGGTAGGGTCATTAGGCATATTAACTTGAGTTTCCTTGAGAGCTCTGTTTCTCTGAGGTTCACACTGACTTCAAAGGAACTTGCACAATTGTTTCTAAGGTAAGCTTCTTCATACCCAAATTCTTTTTAGAAATATGGGCTGTTCACCCTAATTATTTCTAACTAATAGGGGCTTTTACCCTATATTTTCTATAGGGTTCGTGAAGCATAGTATTCTGGCAACCTTAAATCCATCCAAGAAGAAATAAGCAATGTGTTAATTTGTTGTTTTTGCATCGTGTAGAGATAGATTAATGAAGAGCAGCTGTTGTTATAGCCCTGCCACCTTATTTTTAATGTAAACACTTGATCCTTTTCAGAGCACTTTCACATTTGATTGTCCCACTAGCCTGTGAAGTACACAAGCCAAATACTGTTGTCACCTGTTGTCAGGTAAGAAACTGACTCAGGGTCAGGTGGCTCATTCAGCTTGCCTATGGTTACAACAAGCAAGGTATTCGGCCTTACAGGTATTTGACACCTGTGTTGTTGGTCCATCCACAGCTCTATTAGCAGCAGAAGGATCTTATTTGGAGGTTGAAGTAGGGAATGGAAGATCTTATTTGTGTCTAAAGAGCCTTTTTAAGGAAGGGCATTCTCTTCAACTGTACACACACAAAAGCAATCACCCATCCCCAATACTTACCAATAACCTGGCACTTACGTGATTATCTGCTTATTTACTGAGGTTACTACAGAATTTACATAAAGTACAAGCCTTTTCAAAAGAACAATCTGCAACTATTTCTGATCTTTCTGTTTCCTCTTTTTTTTCTGCCTTTAATATTTGGTCCCCAAATGCAGCGCCCACACCTTATACACCTGCATGCCTAGCAAAGTGCTTTGCCTGTAAGCAGTCACCCATGAACGTTGTTCAGTTGAATCTAATCAGATAGTGTAGGTGGTGGGACAGTCAGCAGGAAGGGTGCATTCACTCAGCATTGAAGGCTCAGTTACTGGTAATGAGCAGGGAAGAATCAAATGTGTGGCTGTTGCTGTTCCTTCTTTTAAGAATTTGCATTTAGTCAAATGAGGTATTATTTGGATCGCAAACAAATGAAGCTCAGGCATGGTTTTAAACCTTTCTATAGCAAGAAAGATGTGTATGGTTAATGCAATTAATTGAAATGTCTGTCAATAGCAAAGCATTTCTTTTAAAAAGTGAAAAAAATAGGCTCACTCTTCCTTGTGATGGCGGCTGGCATTTTGCTCACTCCTTGTACCCCTTAGGTAAGAAGTCTCTCAATAGCAAAGCATTTCTTTTAAAAAATGAAAAAAATAGCCTCACTCTTTCTTGTGATGGTGGCTGGCATTTTGCTCACTCCTTGTACCCCTTAGGTAAGAATCACATGGGCAGATGACAGGTAGGTTCTGTGAAGAGCAAAATTGAAATGGAGGCTGGGTGCAGTGGCTCACACCTGTAATCCCAGCACTTTGGGAGGCCGAGGCCGGAAGATCATGAGGTCAGGAGATGGAGACCATCCTGGCTAACGTGGTGAAACCTCGTCTCTACTACAAATAGAAAAAGTTATCCAGGCGTGGTGTCATGCGCTTGTAGTCCCAGCTACTCAGGAGGCTGGAGCAGGAGAATCGCTTGAACCCAGAAGGCAGAGGTTGCAGTGAGCCCAGATCGCACCACTGTACTCCAGCCTGGGTGACAGAGCGAGACTCCATCTCAAAAGAGAAAAAAAAAAATGAAATGGAAGGATGCAGCTGAACATATGAAAAATAAGTGGCCAAAATTGTTGGCCACTGTTTTGCTTTGGTGGGCAATTGTTTTCTAACTATTGAGAGACTGTGAGAAAAATAAGGATTTAAGGATTGCATTGTTTCTATGAAATGCAAGGGTAAAGAAAATTGTTTGAAAACTCTGATTCATTTTGGTTAGAGGTGAGTTGGAATACTGGGGTTTAGCATTGTGAATTAGCAAACTGCCTAAATTATGGAAATGTTTTTTAAAGGAATGTATTTTTACCCTCCTAATTCTAACTTCAACAGATAAGTAGTTCTTGATCCTGGTTGCTTGATAAAATCAACAGGGAGTTTTAAAGAATGCCCATGCCTGACTCCACCTCATTCCAATTAAATGAATCTCTGGGGTTAGCCCAGGCATCTGGAGTCCAGGTGATTGTAATGCGTAGCAGTCAGTGACAATGGGATCAGACCAACACAGTGTTGCCTAATAGATACTGTTATCCTACTTGCTGGCCTTTTCCATCCAGGTCAGTCAGAGTTCAGCCCTGTCACCACCAGAGAGGGAGCTGGCACAACCAACTGTTTTAACTACTAAGAGTTATGCAGTTAGGAGCTGAAGTGTTGCTAAATTAGGAAGTGGATTCAGGGCTGCTAGGATATCACATGGTGGCAGTTATGGCCCACTTCCAGGTTCAGCCCAGAGAAAGGGGGCTTTCTAACTTTCTGACCACCCTTTGGGTGAAACCTTATTAAAAACTATCAGTAGGCCAGACACGGTGGCTCACACCTATAATCCCAGCACTTTGGGAGGCCGAGGCGGGTGGATCACCTGAGGTCAGGAGTTGGGGACCATCCTGACCAACATGGTGAAACCCTGTCTCTACTGAAAACATGAAAATTAGCCGGGCATGGTGGCTGGCGCCTGTAATCCCAGCTACTCGGGAGGCTGAGGCAGGATAATCACTTGAACCCAGGAGGCGGAGGTTGCAGTGAGCTGAGATTGCACCACTGCACTCCAGCCTGGGCAACAGACCCCATCTCAAAAAAAAAAAAAAAAGTATCAATAATTGTCATCAGTGAGTTGCTGCTCTGTACTTTAGACTTAAGAATAGCTGCCCTTTTCGGTGGAATAAACATCCCTCACTCTCCACCCCACCCCACTCCACTCCACCCAAGCCTACTAGTTATAAACCTGCAGGGCACACCCCATTTTAGGGTGGATCCACTGGGAAGGTAAACTTGAGCTTGTCTCCACTGGCAGTGGTTCAGATTCACTTAGATCACCCATCACATTACCCAGATTTTGAAAGATGCTCATTATGGGCCACAAATGTAATTCTTATCCTCTTTTTAGAAATTGTGTGCTTTTTGACATATATCTATGCAATCCCCATGGAGGCTCTCCCATTATTCCTGTCTCTTGAGAATCCCTGCCTTACATGATCCTCCAAATTTTGAAGTTAATGCAGGTAATATAGCATTATTGTGGGTTCTACCATTTGAGCATATAAATCATATGCAGATATTAACTATTCATATATTTATGTAGTTTAAATGAAAATAATTTGAATGTTTAATACTCTTCCCTTCTTCAATTGTAGAAACATTACCCTTTTGCACTATCTCATCACTATTGTGGAAAATAAGTACCCCAGTGTTCTCAATCTAAATGAAGAATTGCGAGATATTCCTCAAGCTGCGAAAGTAAAGTAAGTACTTACAGTGAGTGTTAGTTTCTTAAATCACTTGGATTGTGTGTTAGCCATTGAGGTAGTTTGCACTGCATGAAGTCAGTCCTTCTATTTGTTTTCCCCTGATCATTGTATGAAATAAAGTTTGAATCTCATCCAAGTCACTCAAATGTATTACAAGGTTTTGAATATATGTTTGTTCTAGCTTCTTTGGAATACTGCATGCAATTTTTAACTTTCATACTTTTAAAGGGCAGGTGTTTTAAATACAGGTAGGAGCACCTTAGTTAAATAAAGATGCATGGCTAAGCAAATAGAAGACCTAAGTGTCAGAACATTGCAATAATTTTCACATATGCACACATACTCCCAGAAACCAAGGCGGCTCTTTAATGGGAAGCATTCTTTATGCAAATGAAGAAACTAAAAATAAAATGGAAAGTTGCCAAACTTTTACCACAAACTTCACACCACGTTTCAGAGACTGAGAAGCAGGCAATTTTCCTTGCTGTTTTTCCCTCCCTCTTTTGGCTCTTTTTTTAAAACATAAACTGCATCTTTTTGCAGTGAATTTGAAAAGTATAATGAGCAGGCTCATTTTTTCCCTCTGTTCATGGAATCTGGTGGAAATATACTAAATAAGGCATGAAATTAAATGAAGTATTGGTGAGTTTCTTTATATGTTGTAAATTATCTGGGAGAATTAAGTTTCAATCTCTAATGTTTAAAAGCCATGAAATAGAAAGTGTTGTGTATGGGAGAAGCCCAAGAACCTTTCTCTATTAAAAAAAAGATGAAAATAAAAACTAGTTAATACAACTTTAAGAAAAATCATTTTTGATTGCAACTTAAGCCATTACCTTGTAATAGTCATATTATTGGGGCCTTAGTGAAAAGCAGAACACTGATTATACAGAGTACAATGTGAACATGATTGCAGATGAACTTGTTTTCTTTCTGTTTTCAAAGGGAGCCAAGTATGGCAAGAGATTTATTTCTACATGAAGTAATTTGCTGAAGTGAGATTTTTTTGAGTTTGAAACATAAAATATTTTTGTACAGATGGAAGATATTTCTATTCTATTTTTAACCTGTAAAATATACCTGCTGGCTACAGAAAACAAACATAATTTTATACCTACATTTCATGAGTTTAAAATACTGTTGTCTTTCTTTGAGATCTGAGCATGGAAGGGAATTTTAAACATTTAAATTAAAATAGGATGGACTTCCAAGCGTGAAATATTTAAACCCATCTTATATTTAATATGTGTAAGTCACATGTTGATTGCTAAAACATTGCTATTTACAACAGCATGACTGAGCTGGACAAAGAAATAAGTACCTTGAGAAGTGGCTTGAAAGCAGTAGAGACAGTGAGTATTTTTTTGTTGTTGTTCTAATTCCTGGTCTCTTCACTATCTCTAGTGCTGGTGGTTTTCAGCAGATGGGTTGTGTTGGCATGTGGTATGCCCGGGATAAACATTTATTGATTAAAAAATAAGAACCACCACCACAAGAAGCAAAGGCAGGTTATGTTCAGCCTGGCAACTTGATTGCAGGCAGCAGGGGTCGTGGATAAGTCACTGCAGCAGGAACTGGAAACTGGACCTAGTGTGCCACCAATTTATCTGTAAGGCAGGATTCATCAGGATGAGTGGGCTGGGCTAGATGATCTTCAGGGACGCTCTCAGTTTCCAAGTGCTGCTAATATATGGTGTTCACTTTCGGTAGAGCAGTAGAACTTCTCTGTAGAACTTCTCAGTTGTTTTTGACTTGGTCCTTTGGGGAGTATTTACTAAGCAGACAGTGTAGTACATGCTCTAGCTGAGGGTCACGATGACTCAGAATCCTTGTCCTCCAGGTGTTGCAATAATCGGAGCAGCCACTTCCCTCAGCCTGGCCGCATCCAGATAAGCAGAGTGATTACGGAGGTGCCTTAAGGAAGCAGCGGGTTGAGGGTGCTTTGGAGGCATGAGGAACAATTGGCCCCTATTGGAGGAAGCTTCTCTTTTGGAAAAGAAGTTGTTTGAGCTATGGCTTAAGAGGGTAGGGTAAACTTAGGTGCATAGAGGGAGGTTATCCCAGGCATACAAGACAACCTGGGCCCAGGCCTCTGAGGAAGGAAAACCAGTCAGGCTGGCAGACTGGACCTGGTAGGATGAAACGTGCCTGTTGGCACAGTGCCCTGCGGGTACTCTGCAGATGCAGCTGCCAGCGAGAGAGGGGGCAGGGATGAGAACAGGCTGGCAGAGTAGCGTCCCTGGTGTCTGTGCTCAAAGCAGCCATAGCTTGGGCCTGCTCTGGGTGAAGGAGACGGATTTGCAGGCAGCTTGGAAAGGTGCCTCTCATAAGTATCCTTCAGATCATTTATCAGTAATGCTGTGAGGACTCTCCCTTCTTTTCGTTTTTGAATCACAAAACTGCCATAGAAAGTAGTTGAATTAATTAAAGACATACCTCTAATAAAAATTAAAGTCACAATGTCTAATTTTTTTTTCAATAAATTAAGGAGCATGTGAGGTTTTTTTCCTTTTTTTTTTTTTTTAATGTAGGGAGTAGGGGGCAGTATTAAAAAAAAAATTCTACTGATTGAACTTTTTCTCCCAGCCCCAGAGGGTCCATGGTCATTATGATGGCCCTAAAGCCTGGCTCTGACCCCTGCTTCTGAGCCAGGTCAGAGCAAGGCCTGGGGTGGAGGCTTCTGGGGAAATTTTGTGTTGTTGCTTTATTAAAGGATAGTTTTGCTGAAATCACTCTATCCCTTGGGTCATATACACTGCATCACACTTTTTATAGGAGAGGGGCTATAGAAGCCTCCCCTACCCTTGGAGGTGACGTAGTATTGTAAGAAAATAGTGGGGGCAGAGCTTCGCCTGGCCAAATATATATGTGTTCTAATTGTGCTTTACACAAATTAATTATATTGTTTGAAGGTATCAAAGATGAATATTTATGAAATTATACATTAATGAAACACTTTCAAATGCCTTTCCCGTCCCCACACTGAACACAGATACACTCACTTTCCAAGCTAAAGTACTGGAATCATGGCAATTTCTTCCAATCAGTGCCAGCTCCATAATTGATGAGTTTTCACTTCCGTTATTTCATTTGAGTGTAGTGATGATGTGGATGTTGCCCTCTTACAAAAAAAAAAAAAAAAATCAATAAACTGAGGCCCAGAGCAACATGCCATGGTTAAGAACCAAATCAGTGGTAGAGCTGAGTCAGAACTGATAAACTGTGATGACTACGCTCCTGCTTGTGAAGATCTCTGCCAATGCAAGAAAATAAGGGAGAATCCAGTTTAAGTCAATTGGTATACAACATAGTTATTACCAAGACTCTGGAGTCAGGCAGGCCTGAGTTCAAATTCTGGCTCTGTCACTGGTCAGCACTACTTCAGGGCAAGTAATATAGCCCTCCAAACCTTAATTTATATGTTTGTATAATGGGAATAGTGATCCCTCACTCATAGGGATGTTGTGAACTTTAAATAAGAATGTGCATCTGGCAATGATTAAATTAACCATTAACATTAGATTTGAATCATCTGCGTTCATTGCTGTGATAATGGAAATATGGATAATTAACAAGAGACTAATTCCCCTACAGGCCTGTTCACAAAAACCAATATGGTATGGACAAGAGAAAAATGGTACATTATGGTGCCAAATGCTACAGCCAAAATTCTACTACCCATATCCCACAGTTTAAGAAGTAAATAGACTTGGCTGAGAGGGAAAGAAAAAAATCAAGGCACCACAATTCTAAGCATGGAATATTGACAAGCAGAGTCTCTTGTTTTCACTCACAAACCCTTAAAATTCAGTTTGCCCCCATTATTTGTTTAACTTCTATTAATTTTATCCAAATGCAAATCTGCTTGCTTTCTAAAGCCTGAAAGAGAAATCACATAGATCAAGTACTTAGATTGTTGGTAAATTGCTATTTGCAAATATGCGTGTGCACATGGGCATGGCTTTGGCATGGTGGGAGGAAGGGCAGGGGCACTAGAGTATAACAAAATGTTTTAGAACAAGTTTTGATGTGTTTGCCATTCTGATTTATTAAATTTAAGGCATGTGAAATATGAGACGAGGTGTGTCTCATGTCTGTATTTGAAGCCTGCATTGACATTATTCATTTCCTGTGTTTAAGGAGCTGGAATATCAGAAGTCTCAGCCCCCACAGCCCGGAGATAAGTTTGTGTCTGTTGTCAGCCAGTTCATCACAGTAGCCAGCTTCAGCTTCTCTGATGTTGAAGACCTTCTAGCAGAAGCTAAAGACCTGGTAAGTTTCCCCCTTGTGCACTGAGTGTTGTTTGACCGGGCTGGGCTTCAGTGTGATACTTTCAGTTATTATTCTGTACGGGAAATAGCAGGAGTGAGATCCAAACTTCGTGGTGCAGGAAATAAAGTAGTAGATAATTACTTTCCAGATTCCATTGTTTTGCATGACATAGGTGTATTTTCATTTCCAAGACTGTGATTAATCTGAACACACCCTTTTTGTCTGACTGGCCTATGTTGCCTTTAGGTTAGCAAGACCTTGAAGGCTCTGAATGGTATAAGACCAGCAAATACTTTGACAGTTTTCTCTTGGTTGAAACTGGCTTGAAGTACTTATCTCTGGGAACCAGAAAAGAGTAGATGATGAAAACCAGGGGCAGCATCAAATGTGCAATCAGGTGTTACTAAAGCCATGTGCCTAAATTACCTCTATGTTGTAATATGCTCATCTGAGATACAGCCTTGGAGGACAGGATACTACCTGTATAAATCTCCAGCAGAACTCGCTAAAAGAGATGCATTTTAATTCACAGTCTCATTACAAGAGGTTTTTTTTTTTTTCAGTAAGACATTTATTTTTATGATTTCTGCTATTTCACATTTTGTGTTCCCTTGGAAGAGAAATTTTTGTTGGTTAATAACCACCACCTCTTAGCTCCCTCAGCTTCACCTCACTCCTCTCTATCTCAGGTTGTTTCCTCTTCCAAAATGCATTCACATTCATATACAAGACAGGTACACAGTCTCTCATTTTCTATCCTCTTCTCATTCTTTATAAATGATATTAACACTCTTCCCCACCCCATTGGTTCTTTTACTCTACCCATCTCTCAGTTGCCACAACACTCTGAGTCTTTTGTTTCGAAACTTCTGTAAATGGATGTTATTTTTCTCTGGTCACCTGTTTGGTTGTAGATATGGATGATTGTTTATGTAAATGTACACACATACCAGTTAAAGTTCAAAAGTAGGCTGTTCACATGCATTAGCTAATCTCAGCATTAAACCTTCTTTCTAACCTTATAAAATAAATGGCAATATATGTTCAAATGGCTGCTGTCAGAGGTCCAACCTCTGATATCCCACAGTGGAAATCAGTCAACTCATGTCAGCAACCACCATTCAGACCTCCACTGTGAAAGCCCCCATCCATGTTTTATGTATGCCTCACCACTTTAGAGTTTGTGCTTCATAAAGGAAGAGACTCCCCCTGTTCTGATATCCCACCTGAGCAATATAGCACCTACTTCATCAAGGGGCTCAAACATTTTTGTGTGTGAACTGGCTGTTGTCAGCTTGTTCATCACAGTAGCCAGCATCGCGCTTCTCTGATGTTGAAGATCTTCTAGCAGAACATAAAGACCTGGTAAATTTTCCCCTTGCACACTGACTGGGGTGTGTGTGTGTAGGGGGTGGAACTTTAATCTGGGCCTGGTTTTCTTTAGATTTCTAAGATTTTGATATACATGACGTCATGATCACTAGAATTCCTTGATAAAAAGATCACTCAGGATGGCTTGAAGTATGTGAACTTGAATGTTTTAGAAATCCAGTTGTAGACTGGCTATTGCTATTTTGTTCATACCAGAACTTTTATAAGTTAGCATATAAAACCATGGAGCAAGCTAGAACACTATATATGGCGTCTGAAGAATGTTATGTTTTTGCCCAAAGAACTCTTTTCTAATAGAATATTTCCAAATAAGTAAACATTGAAAACAACTCCTCAGTGAAGACAGAAATGGTAAAAAGGACACTTTTGTTACAAGTTTAAAGATATGAAATAGTAACTGTAAAATATATATAAATATAAGCCAATACTTGTTTTATTTAAAAATAAATGTTGAAAATATTTAAGGTAGATGGTATTACTGAGATATCAGAAGAATCTAACAATATAACAAAGGCAAGTAAAGCAATAAAAAAACCAATTATAAGCTGTTTGGGGGCACTGCATAAACACAGCATGGTCTAAATATGAAGAAAACTTAAAATCTGGAAAATGTTAAGTAGTTGATTGGGCGTAGGGAAAAATGTATTTGACTTTGAAGCTAGGAACACTATCCTTAGTAGCTTAGGAGTAATAACATTAGATCCTTACAGAAGGAAGTATAATTTTAACAAACAATTTGACATTGAATATTATTTGGGTAGTTATAATAATGCTAAGACTATTGAAAACATACTATCTTGAGTTATGGAGATAACCCCTGGAAGAACTAAAAAGAGACTGGATATACTATTGTTACTGTATACATATATTTTTATTTAACTTTAAAAATTTCTTGGTATTTTGCATTTTGGCCATTTAAAAAGATTGACACTGGGGCATGGTGGCATGTACCTATAGTCCCAGCTACTCAGGAGGCTGTGGCAGGATCACTTGTGCCTAGGTGTTTGAGTCCAGCCTGGGCAATGTAACATTGCAATACCCCATATCTTTTTAAAAAAAAATTTTTTTTAAAGATTGGCATTGAAAGGGGTTCTAAAGCAAAGAATTTGGAATAAAATTGTATTCTCAGTCATACACTTTGGGTTGCATTAAAGATTCCATACTCAGTTGCTGTTTTCTCACTGAGACCCTGAAAATATCTTAACAATAGCAGCATTATTTGTGATTGGGAAAAGCAGCTAAGAGGCACTGGCTCCCATTTGCTTTCTATATTGACCATATGGCACCAGTAAATGATATTAAACTACTTCAAAGACAAGTTAAAAGTACAAGTTTCCCTCCCCCTGCTGAGTTTGCTATTAGTTTTATGTCTAGGGTGCTATACCCTACAATATTTTGTTTTTACTACTGTTTAGTTAATAAAAAGTCATAGGAGGTCATCATACATGTTAAGCTCAAATGAGGTAGACAGGAATAAATGGTTTCAAAAGCTGAGGAGTATTACAATTTTTACTTTAGAAATGATTAATAGACATGTTCAGCAGCTGAAGATAAATATAGGCTCACTAAAATCCATCAGTTATATTTGACTCAGCCGGGTGCAGCGGCACATGCCTATAGTCCCAGCTACTCGTGAGGCTTAAGAGGAAGGATTGCCCAGGAGTTTTTGGCTGTATTTTGCTGTGATCATACCTCTGAATAGCCACTAAACTCCAACCTGGGTAACATGTAAGACCCCATCTATTAAAAAAAAAAAAAACTAATAACATATGCATTCCAGCCTGGGCAACATGTAAGACCCCATCTCTTAAAACAAAACAACAAAAAAAAACTGCCGGGTGTGGTGGCTGAAACCTGTAATCCCAGCACTTTGGGAGGCCAAGGTGGGCAGATCACCTGAGGTCAGAAGTTGAGACCAGCCCGGCCAACATGGCAAAATCCTGACTCTACTAAAAATACAAAAATTAGCCAGGCATGGTGGTTTGTGCCTGTAATCCCAGCTACTTGGGAGGTTGAGGCTGGAGAATCGCTTGAACCCGAGAGACAGAGGTTGCAGTGAGCTGGGATCATGCCACTGCACTCCAGCCTGGGTGATGGCGAAACTCCATCTCCAAAAGAAAGAAAGAAATAAAAATAAATGAGCAAACAAAACTTACGTTTGACTCAATCTGGGCTTTGGTCTTTCTCAAGTTATTTATATTTGATTGTGGAATTCTCATGAAACATTGACTTCTTAAAACCATCTTTTTCCTAGTTTACTAAAGCAGTGAAGCACTTTGGGGAAGAGGCTGGCAAAATACAACCAGATGAGTTCTTTGGCATTTTTGATCAATTTCTTCAAGCTGTGTCAGAAGCCAAACAAGAAAACGAAAATATGAGAAAGAAAAAGGAGGAAGAAGAACGTCGAGCTCGCATGGAAGCTCAGGTGAGAGGATGATTAATTGACCAATTCCACCTCCTAGAAGTTCTATGACTGCAGCCCAGTCAAAGGTATTTAGAGAGCACTCTGACCTGGCAGGAAGGAAGGCTTCAATGTACTCTCTAGAATGCTGTGGGACTTTACATTGGTGTTGTTTCTCTTGGGCTATTTAACAGTGTATATTCAAAGCCTTAAAAAAAAAATCTATCCACATCCTTTGCTCTGGAATTCCATTTCTTAGCAATTATTTTAAAGAAATAATCATAAATTTACACAAAAAAGGGCAGCATTCTTTATAATAGCACCAAGCTAAAGACAACCTAAATGTTTACCAAAAGGGGATGAGTTCTAAATGATATAACAGCCATATAATGGAATATTTATGCAGTCCTTGAAAGACATGTATTCAAAGAATAATGATACAGAAAAAGATTTCTACATGAAATCTTTTTCTGTTTTGTTTTTTAAGGTGTGTTAATACATATAGAAAATAATAGTGGTGTGATAAACCTTTAAAAAGTTCACAGTAGTAGAATTAAAGATGTTTCCCCCACCTTCCTTTTATCTGAATTATCCAAATTGTCTACAATGTGTATGTATTAGTTGGCTTTTAATAACAGTAACTATTGTGTATCAGGTTTCAGGCTTCCACAGTAGACACAAGCTAAGCCTTTGATATAAGGAAAATGGCCTGATGACCATTTGCTTTAGTTATTTGGGGTCTATGTAATAGTGATACCTTTTTTTTAATTTTCATTAGCAGAAACACAAATTGCCTCAATTGCTCTTATTTTAACTAGAATATCATGCAGTTTACCTAGAATCTAGGTGGTGAGGGTCTAACCACAAGGGAGTGGTTGTTTTTTGTTGTCCATTGCTCCTGCAATGGAGACCCCATGTTCCAATTCCCCCTTTCTTGTGATATCCAAAGGGGGTTATAGGATGAGCATAGCTTGGTGTCTGGAGCATTACCATATTTCAAGGAATTGACCTCTACTGCAAACAAAATGCAACATTTTGACATGTCTCAAAGAGGTTATTTCTTTCTATTTGCAGCTCAAAGAACAACGTGAAAGGGAACGTAAAATGAGAAAAGCTAAAGAGAATAGTGAAGAAAGCGGAGAGTTTGATGACCTTGTTTCAGCTTTACGCTCAGGAGAAGTGTTTGACAAAGACCTTTCTAAATTGAAACGGAATCGCAAACGTATTACCAACCAGATGACTGACAGCAGCAGAGAGAGACCAATCACAAAACTTAATTTCTAATTTTCCATGAATACTTTTTTTTAGAAAGCTCATTAGCAGCCCTCTAAAGTGACTAGAACGTTTCATTACACTGCCTTGCAATCCAAACAGTGGCAATTTTTTCCTTCATCTGTGAGTGAATGTGTGAACGTGTGTATGTAAATGTATGTGTGTATATATTAAAAAATGTATATAGATGTCTGAGTGTTGTCTGGAGACCTATACGTATGGTTAAAAAGATTTATGTTAATGTATGTGCTCCAAAACCTTTCGTGTATGCATTCACATTGAGTGTGGCTCATTTTCTTTCCCCGAACGCCATGACTGTTCAGAAGCACAATACTATCTCCTGAAAGAGATAAGAGACATTCCCTAGATTCAAAGGCAAAACAGAAGAAACAAACAAACAAACAAAAAAAGCTTGCAAAATATTTTATGGTTTCCAAGCTTGATATCCTTTAAAATTATTTTCATTGATGGAACTGGAGTTGTTGGAAAAACATAGATTTAAAATGATTTTTGATAGCTGACATTGTGATGTTGATGTATCACATCAGTAATAGGACCAGCTTTGAATTTCTGACATTGGTGTGGGGATACAGTCTGTAAATGTTTATTGAGAACATCTTGCACACAATTTGAATTATGTAGAATGTCAATCAAGTTTTTGTATATTTAAAAGTTGGACATCAATTTTTTCCCCTGATTTCATCAAGTTATCTCTGCCAAGTGCTCTTGATAATTTCTTCAGATTTTTGGAAAAAAACACTATATAAATGCAATCCATGCTTTTTTTAAAGAACAACATTGCCAGAGTATGCTTGTTCTAACAATATAGATATATAAACCTTAAAAATAATAAAATATCTCACCCAAGACTTAAAGGAAGAATTCTCTGAAGGGATAAAGATTACTAAAAAAAAAAAAAAAAAAAAAAAATTAATGGGGTGCCTTTTTGTTATAGTTTCTATTTTCTGTTTTGTAGGACAAGCTGCATTTTCTGTAAATATAGGTCTGGACTAAAGGATACATAAAGAATGCACAAAATGTCAACATCAGCAGAGATGCCCAGATCTATTTATCTCTAAGTATATTTGAAGTGATTGCTGTTTATATGTTGTCATTTTAAAATTGTGTGTCAGTAAAGCTACCTGTAAAATTTCAGTCCAAAAAAATAAAGCTCTCAGGGAGACATGAATAAAATCAATGAACATTAGAAAATAAAATATAGATGCTTACCATTAACCTACCAACTCTTAATATCCTTAAATTATGTGATATATAAAGAGGACTGTTACTTTTTTACTTTTTTTTTTTTTTTTTTTTTTTTTTGGCTTTGCTTTATTTATTTGTAGTTGGGGGCTAACGTTTTCTCTTTTCTTTCTATTGATCCTGTTGTGGTTGGGTTTCCTGTGGAGAGAGTAGTTTGTCCTGTTGCACTAGAACATTATTTACTCACTAAATTGAGTTTTTCAGTCAATTAACAAATATTTATTAAGTTCCTACTATGTACCAGGCATAGTAGGGCTACAATGGTAAGCAAGACAGAGTCCCTGCCCCCAAAGAGCTTATATTCTAATGGGGATATTAAGGGATGAATAGAATACCAATGTGTGCACTGTACAGGAATCATACTATTTAAAAATAATTTGTATAAACTATAATGCTTAGCACAGATGGCGAGTTATCTGTGCTATGTGAAAGCTGTGAAATAGTGCTCTAAGAGTTGTCAAGAGCTGTGGTTTTACATCTTTTCCTCATTGCAAATTTAGTGACTTTCTACACACTATATGGAAATAAATGACTAGCAAATAAAACAGTCATAAATACAAAGCAGAGGTTGCACTCCCCCAATCCCGAGTTAACCCAGGTCTGCAATAACACCATGTTAAAGGTGCAGATAGAGACTTGGCTCAAAAAGGCTTGGAGATGAGGAAGATTGGAATATAATGATGGTTTTGTCTGTTCCTTAACTAAAGTGCCTCTATGTATATTCTTTTCTATTTGTAGCAGGATAAATTTGGTCTGGCTCAGTTTTGGAACTGTATTTTGAAAATGGCTTTGTCTTACAGTTTAAGGAATAGACAGGTGGAGGGAAAGTCACATAAAGGAGCAAGTTTGTGTAGCTGTCCCTCTTGCCCCTTTTAATCATCCTCCTTTGATATGGCCATCCTGGTGGGCCTCCTTTGCCATTTCCATTTTTGGTTTCTTTCCCTGAAAACTGTGTGCAGGTAATTCCATGTGCCATTGTTGAAAAGAAAAAAAAAAAACAAAAAAAAAACCTACTTTTTAGATTGGTGCTGGTGTAAGTAGCCACTTTTCTCTCTTGGGTGTGTATTTTAAACTTTTTTTGTTTTTTTAAATTAATGCCAAAAAGAAAATGCATAATTTGTAAACTTAATTATATGTCTTATATCTTATTAGCTTAGTAGTTGGAACCACTTAGTCTTTAGGTGCAAGACTGTTGTTAGATAGTACTGAGAAAAAAAAAGTATGTGTTATGAGACTGTACATGTTTTTTTAAAAATAGCAATATGCAATAAAGAGATGAATTCATTGGGTGTACATATATGCTTTCTATGAATTATTAAAACAGTGTCATCAAACTGCTTTGCAGTTTCCACCATTGAATTTCAATTTTGCAAATTGTTCACTGAATCGGAAATATATACCTGTTTTTAAACTTGTACTTACTGGACCTAGAAGAATATAGTTTTCTATTATGGCAGCATTCAGTATGTTCAGGTTATCATATGCCACCTCTTTCTATACTTGGTTTATGTATGAGTTATACAATTTCTTGTTATAACTCATGTATGGTAGGGCTACTGGTGAAATTATTCAACTAGAGTAGAGAAAATAATCTCTAGTCTCTAGAATCAAAGCCTTTTTGTTTTGAGGCATGTTTTTCTTATTAAAAATTAACTTGATATGGGTCAGTATGGGAAATGGCACCCATACAGATCAAGAAATTTGTTTATCAGTATCCTCTGAAAGTTGAAGCTTTCCCTTTGTCCTACATCACATTTGCTGCCTAGCCACCCTTAGCTCAATTTAAGTTCACGTTGGAAACAAACTGCCCCAGTGACTGATAAAATACCCAAGCAGTCCAAACACTAATTCTTATCATCTTTGGAATGAACTCATGATGTTCTTGTAATAGCTGACCATCTTGTTTTTTATCACCTCACTGCATGGCTTCATAGTAACAACGTTCTGTGGAGCTGACACTCAGATAGGAGAGACCCTTCTGCATGTTAGACAAATGTTATATTCCCACCCACAAACTCAGCCACTGCCTATTTGTATATTTGGGTATGGAATTATGTACAGAACCACCTAGATCCTCAGTTGACCTTGGTGTATTAATAGAAAGGGGGGAGAATGTGAAATTTTCAGATCATATGCTTCATTGTCTTCAGTTTCCCCAAAACAATGATCACTGAAGGAAATGTGCTTCTGACAGAGGGGTGAAGTTATGTGATCCATCCAGAACTTTGCCCCTTTTCTATAACCTAATGTGCATTTTTTTTGTTAGTCAAGGGATAACCTTTATTAAAATACTGTGCTTTCGACACAATTACAGTCATGTGTCATTTAACAAGGACACATTCTGAGAAATTGTGCCAAAAGCTGATTTCATTGTTGTGCATACATCATAGAGTATACTTACACAAATGTAGATAGCATAGCCTACTACACACCTAGGCTATATGGTATACAAAGCCTATTGCTCCTAGGCTACAAACTGCACAGCATGTTACTGCACTGAATAGTGTAGGCAATTTTAACAATGATATTTGTGTATCTAAACATATCTATAGAAAAGATACAGTAAAAATACCATATAAAACATTGAAGATGGTGCATCTATATGGGGCACTTACCATGAATGGAGCTTGCAGAACTGGAAGTTGCTCCAGGTTAGTCAGTGAGTGGTGAGTGAATGTGAAGGCCTAGGACATACACTACTGTGGGCTTTATCAACATTGTACATCTATGCTAGACTAAATTTATTTTTTAAATTATGTAATAAAACTTAGCTTACTATAACTTTTACTTTATTAACATTTAGTGTTTTGATTTATAATAACTGTTTAAAACACAGCTGTACAAAGGTATTTTCTTCACATCCTTACTCTATTAGCTTTTTTTGGTTTTTAACTTTAACTTTTTAAACTTTTTTTGTTAAAAACTAAGACATATTAGCCTATGCCTACATGGGGTCAGGATCATCAATGAGACTGTCTTCACTACGCATCTTGTCCCACTGGAAGGCTTCAGGAGCAATAACCCGCATGGAGCTGTCATCTGTGATAACAATGCCTTCTGGAGTACCTCCTGAAGGACCTGCCTGAGGTTGTTTTACAGTTAACTTTAAAAAAAAAATGAGTATACTTCAAAATAACACATTTGTAGTAAATAAACTAGTAACACATATCATTGTCAAGTATTAACGTACTGTTCATGTGGATGTGCTATAGTTTTATAAAACGGGCAGCTCAATAGCTTGTTTTATGCCAGCATCACCTCAAACACATGAGTAATGCAATGCACTACAGTGTCACTAGGTGATGGGGAATTTTTCAGCTCCATTGTAATTTTATGAGACCACCACCATATATGCAGTTCATGGTTGATTAAAACGTCGTTATGTGATGCATTACTGTGTTCAAAAGGCTGAGTTCTGGAAGGTAAAACTTTCTGTGACTGTTTTTGTTTTTTAATAACATCAGCTGTTTCCTATAAAGTGGAAAACCTAAATTTAGCAACTTCCAAGGCTTAACAGCTACTTGATACCATTTAGTTCCATAAACAATATCTTTGAGAACCACTAGACTATATAGAGAGAATTAAATTCAGGGGTCTAGGGCTTCTCACATGGGGTGTTTATAAACCATCACTGTGTTGAGTTATGTGCTTATTTTCTGTGTGGTCTATATACTGTTTTAAGTATCTATATCCCTGTTGCCTCTATTGATAATAACTGAAGTCTAAAAACCTGTTGAGCCTATAATTAAGAGATGACTTAAAATCTGAATTCTTTTTTCTTATTATTTTTATTTTTAAAATGTTTTCAGAGACAGTGCCTCACTATATTATTGCCCAGGCTGTTCTCAGACTCCTGGCTTCAAGCAATCCTCCAACCTTGGCCTCCCAAAGTGCTGGAATTACAAGCATGGGCCAGCGTGTCCTGCCTATGAATTATTTATGTTTGAGAAAATTTGGGGCCCATGGAGGAACAAGTTTCTTGTTTATAAGGATTTTGTGTTTTCCATAGCAAATACCAATCAGAATTATTTTTTATCTGAATCCTGTGGAAAATGTCAGACCTGCCCTTTGGTCTCTTCCCTAACATGCTTTTATCTACTGCAATCAACTGCATGTTTCCATGGTATCAAACAAACAAATGAGCACAGGACTGCACCCCAGGGTTTTCAGACAAAGGAGATCCTTATTTGTATCAAACCTTAATATGTTTTCGTTTTTCGTGGGAAAAAGTTTCCTACGTATGATTTTTTTCTATTTTGTTTGAATAAAGCATTTGTTTTTTATGATTCTCTTGCTCTTTTGCTGGGAGAAGGAAGAAAGGAAATGGTTTAATGGTACTGATTTCAGTATCATTATCCCATCTCATTCGCACCCATTATGGTCATGTGAGGACGTTTCTGGGCAAAGGAATCTGCAATCCCTCATGTAATCATGAGCATTTCTTGTTAATATCCTCACCATCACTTCCAGCGTAGAAAACCTTTCCTAAGTTAAATTAAGTTGAGAGCTACCCTGACTCTTCCAGGATGGGAGGAGGTGTCTGAAGAGATGACTGTGATGCTGAGCAAGGACACGGGAAGACAAAAACAGGGGAGGAGCCTGTAATCCTAGCACTTTGGGAGGCCAAGACAGGCGGATCACGAGGTCAGGAGATTGAGACCATCCTGGCTAACACGGTAAAACCCCGTCTCTACTAAAAATACAAAAAAATTAGCCGGGTGTGGTGGCGGGAGCCTGTAGTCCCAGCTACTGGGGAGGCTGAGGCAGGAGAATGGCGTGAACCTGGGAGGCGGAGCGTGCAGTGAGCCGAGATCGTGCCACTGCACTCCAGCCTGGGCGACAGAGCGAGACTCTGTCCCAAAAAAAAAAAACAAAAACAAAAAAAACGGGGGAGGAAAGGAGTGACTACCAGCAGCTTAGGAAAATCAGTTTGCCGGATACAAAGTTAATACATAAAAGTCTATTGTTTTCCTATTTACCAGCAAAGAAAAAGTAGAATTGAAAATTAAACATACAATACCATTCATATGAGCACACCACCAAAATGAAATACTTAGGTATAAATCTAACAAAATACGTACAAGATCTATATGAGGAAAACAACAAACCTCTAATGGGAGAAATCAAGGAAGAGCCAAGTAAATGGTGAGATAGTTCATATTCATGGATAGGAAGATATGATATTGTCAAGATCTTTTCAACTTAATCTATAGATTCAATGCAATTCCAATAAAATCCCAGCAAGTTACTTTGTTTTTATTGACAAACTGATTCTAAAGTTTATATAAATAGGCAAAAGATACAGAAAAGCCAACACAATATCGAAGGAAAAGAACAAAGTTGGGAAACTGATTCTACCCTACTTCAAGACATAGTATAAAACTACAGTGATCAAGACAGTGTGGTAGTGGTGAAAAAACAGACTAATAATATAACCCACAAATAGAACCACATAAATATAATTAATTGATTTTTTTAAAAAGGAGCAAAGGTAAGACTGGAGCAAATATAGTCTTTTCAAAAAATAATACTGGACCAACTGAACATCCATATGCAAACACAATAAAGCTAGACAAAGACCTCACATTCTTTACAAAAAATTAACTCAAAATGGATCACAGACTTAAACAAAATGACAAAACTCCTGGAGATAAGAGAAAATTGAAAATTTAGATGACATTGGCAGTGTCATCTGTGTTTGACAGTGACTTTTTAGATGCAACGCCAAATGCACAATCCATGAAAGAATTGATAAGCTGGACTTCATTAAACTTTTATGGCCTGCAAAAGACACAGTCAAGAAAATGATAAAACAAGCCACAGACTGTTAAAAAAATATTTGCTAAAGACATACCAGGTAAAGGACTGTCGTCCAAAATATACAAAAGACTCTTGAAACCCAATGAGAACACAACTCAATTTTTTAAAATGGGCCAAAGATCTGAACAGCCTCCTCACCAAAGAAGATATACAGATGGCAAATAAGCATATGAAAAAATGCTCCACATTATGTGTCATCAAGGAAAGGCAAATTAAAACAACAACAAGATATCACTACACACTCATTAGAGGGGCCAAAACCCACTACACTGACAACACCAAATGCCAGAGAGGATATGCAGCCACAAGAACTCTCATTCATTACTAGTAAGAATGCATAATGGTACAGCTACTTTAAAAGACAGTTTGGAAGTTTCTTATCAAACTAAACATACTCTTACTATACAATCCAGCAATTTATTCAAATGGGTTGAAAATTCATGTCAACACAAACATGTGCACATAGATGTTTATAGCAGCTTTATTAATAATTGCCAAAACTTGGAAGCAACCAAAATGTCTTTCAGTAGGTGAACTGATAAATTGTGGTACATCTAGACAATGGAATATTATTGAGTGCTAAAAAGAAATGACCTATCAAGCCGTGAAAAGACATGGGAGTCTTAAATGCATCTTACCAAGTGAAAGAAGCCAATATGGAAAGGCTGCATAGTGTATGATTCCACTCTGGAAAAGGTAAAACTAGGGAGGCAGGGAAAATATTAGTGGTTACCAGGGGACAGGAGGAGGAAGAGATAAGTATGAAGAGCACAGAGGACTTTCAGGGCAGTGAAAATACTCTCTACATGTCATCTTACATTTGTCCAAACCCATAAAATATATAACACCAAGAGTGAACCCTGATGTAAACTATGAACTCTGGGTGATAATGAGGTGTTGGTGTCGGTCCATCAATTGTAACAAATAGACAGCTGTGGTTGGGGATGTTGATAATAGGGGAGGCTGCACATGTATGGGGGCGGGAGGTATGTGGGAAATCTCTGTACCATCTGTTCAGTTTTGCTATGACCCTGAAACTGCTCTAAAATATAAAGTCTACTTAAGAAAGAAAAGTCCCAATATACATAGCCAAGAAACCTTCCCACCCAATCAGGCCAAGTCATCCTACTCCTTTGCACATACCGGCTGCCTCAGGTAAACTCCCTCTGGTAACTTTCCATGCTTTCTGCTTTTCCAGTTTATTCACATCTGGATATATCTCGATAAAACAGCTCTATGGGATGGCTTTTCACAATACTTCCTTGGACTTCCATGCAGACTGCCACCATTCAAGACATCAGCCCCATCCCTAAAACACTCTGATTAACTCTTAGACTAATAGGACCTTAATATTCATATCTTAACTTTTGAGGATCCAGAGGGAAGAAATAATAAGGAGGGCTTGTCACTAGTGAGCTAGTCACTCTCAAGCAGTTCAGATTATAAGCCTTTTGGATTTCAAGTTTAAGATAATTTTTGCAAGCTGACTGTCATTACAAGGCTCACAGGAAAAGACTTTGCTCCCTCCTTCTCAACTTCCTTCCTTCCCAACCTCCCTTTCTTCCTTCCCTCAAACCACCTTCATTAGTTACTCTCCCATCAGAAGACCTCATTATTAGGAATTCTCTTAAAATGCCTTTTACAGAAAACAGTCCTCTCTTTCTGCCTTGAATGTGAGCTATTTGACCCTGAAGAGCCGCAGCTGTTCAGTGGCCTGACATTTTTATGGCTGGTGAGTTCACACTAAAAGCTGGCTTCCAATGTCTGCTAGAGGCACTGCTAGGAGGGGGTCTTGCGGGCCCTACTATCTTTCCGGGCTCACTGCTAAAGAATTAATGCAATAGGGAGAGAATCCTCTGTCATGTAATGCTTGTAGGACAATTGGCATTGACTTCTCCCCCACTGGACTGTGTAAAGGAGACCTTGACCAATCCAGAAACTATCTACAGCCATTAAAGTACACACCACAAAAGGTGGCTCCCAAATTCCCATCTGCCTATTCTGTTGTCTTGCACCAACAGCTAAGCAACACACTAGGACCCAAGTTCCAGAGTTGTCTGTATTGCTATCAGACATGAGCTGTGACCCTCGGTCAGTCTCCCACACATCTTGGCTTCACACTTTAGAAGCTGGACAGAGCAGCCCTAAAACTTCCCATTGAAGGATGCTGTAGCCCTGCCTCTGAGGTTCTCAGTCCTTAGTTGCTGGGAATTTACTGCAGCCAACTCATTAACGAGAATTAAACAAACTGTTCTCATCACACTGTTTATCAGTTACAGCCAAGAACTCGGGCTTCTTGCCCTGGCTGTTTGGGAAGGGGAAAGGTGGAAGGGCAATTGCTTAGAGCACATTATATTACAGCAGTAATGAGGCTCATTCCAGGGTTTCCTTTTACCAGGTAGCTGTGGTAACGCTGATCCTCGGGGACTCATCTGGGCTGCACTAAAACCACAATGCCTTGATTTTGTCATAAAATCAATGTATAACATTAACATGGCTTTACCCTGTAGAGGCCGTTGTGGTGACCTAGGAAGAGTGTGGTTGGAAGAGGAGGAAGGAACAAATCAAACTAAATGGATGGGCCCACTGCTGTCCTCACTGGCGTGAGCACAGCTGGAGTGTTGTGTTCTCATGGATACCGTGTTCTAAGAGCAGCGCTGACAAATGAAACTGCATCCTGGTGAGCAGGTTTATAGACAGACTCAGAAGCATCTACTGACAAGAAACTTTTAGCCTGCAAAATAAATTATTACAAAAATATAGCAGCTGTTCTCAAATATTTAAAAAGAAAGAAAACGTATTCTGTATTTCACCAGAAGCCAGGGTGACAATCAATGGGTAAAAGTCACCAACCAATTGATTTCATTTTTTTAAGCCATAGAGAAATTTCAAACTCCTAAAATTAGCGATTGAACAGGCTGCCTAATAAGATACTGAGTACCCTTTCCTTAGAGACGTCCACATCTCTAGACTGAATGCCCAAGATGGGGTGACCATCTATCACATCAGGGATGTTGTACAAAGTTCAGGGGTATGTAGAAGTTTGAATACACAATTTAAAAAAAAAAACCTTTTTATTTATAATTTCAAACTCACAAAACATTTCAAAAATAAAAATAGCACAACGAACACCTTTTACTTTTCCAGATACACTTTTTTGTTCTATAGATAAAACTGATTTTTAAACTTGTATTCATTTACTTCATCGTTTGTTCTCTTGCTCTTCCTTTGTGTGTACGTGTACACATAATTTTTTTCTGAACCATCTGAGAGTAAGTTACATACATCACGGCTCTCAATTCCTAAATACTCCAGTGTACATTTCCTAAGAATAAAGATATGCTCTTATACAACTTCAGTACATGTATCAACTTCATAAATTTATATTGATACATTTATCTAATCATACCATCCATGTTCCAATTATGTCAGTTGATATACTAACGTATATTCTTTATAGCGTTTCCCCTGCTCCAGAAAAAGATCTAATCAAAATCAGGTATTGCATTTAGTTGTCATATTTCTGTAACCTCTCATGCTCTCTAGGCTTTCTTTGTCTTTCATGATATTGACATTTTTTAATTATAGTCGAATGTAAGCAGAATAATGGCCCCCCAAAAATGTTCATGTCCTAATCCCCAGAACCTGTGAATATATTACCTTATATGGCAAAGAGGACTTTGCAGATGTGACAAGGTTAAGGATTTTGAGAAAGGAAGATTAATTCTCCTGGATTATCCAGGTGGGCCCGGTGTAATCACAAGGAGCCTTATGAGAAAGAGACAGGAGAGTCAGAGGGAGAGAGGGAGAGAAGGAGAGAAGGAGAGAAGGAGAGAAGGAGAGAAGGAGAGAAGGAGAGAAGGAGACGTGAGGATGGAAACAGAGGTGAGAGTAATGTGAGTGCTGTCTTTGAAGATGCGAAGGGACCATGAGCCAAGGAATACAAGTCCTCCCTCCCATCTTTTTTTAAACTCTAATTTTCCTTGTTTAGTGTTTGTCTGATGTTTCTTTTCATTAGTTTGAAGTTACACATTCTCCGCTGGAATATAGCATAGGTGGTATCAGGGTGTCCTATCTTGGGACACACAATTTTCATCTGTCTCCCATAGGTGATATAAATTTTGATCACTCCGTCAAG
Organism: Homo sapiens; assembly: GCF_000001405.40. NCBI lineage: Eukaryota > Metazoa > Chordata > Mammalia > Primates > Hominidae > Homo > Homo sapiens. The sequence continues at coordinate 59,380,069 of NC_000014.9, forward strand.
GTGTTGCCCAATTTCTTTTGTGTAGATTTACATGATTTTTTTTTCGTTCTTACAATTAACACGTGGTCTGCTCCTCACCTAAAATTTATCCTAGATTTAGCATCCACCGATGATTCTTGTCTAAACCAATCTTTACTATGATGGCTGCAAATCATGATTGTTTAGCTCCAACACTCTCTCCACAATTACCAGTTGGTCCTCAGCATTCTACAGTAAGCAAGTTCCCGCTCACCTCCTTCATTAATTAATTTACCTATTATGAGTACGGGCTCATGAATTCCTCAGCTTGTGAATTTCTCCCCCAGGAGTTTATAATTCATTCATGTTCTTAATTATTTTATGCTCAAATGCTTCCAGATTTGACCAGGCAGAGCCCTTTCAAGCTTTCTCCTGTGTCCTCATATGCCCCCATCTTTAGAAAAGCATTTTCTCACTGTCTGGCATAACAAAAGGTTCCAGGTTTATCTTATAACTACCCTGCCACAGGGTAGTGGAGTCAGCCACTTCTCCAAGGAACTCTGATGCCTTTTAGTGGAAAATGGTATTAAAGATCAAGATTAACTTTGCTTCTAACATTTTCCACAGAGGGAGAAAATGTATATATGTAGATATACACATAATGTACACACAAATATAAACACACACATATATACATGCACATACGCATACACGTTTTAGGAATGATGAGTTCACATTGATACCTCAAATTCTACCCCATCCCTACAGCATTCTTCCTTGCCTTACCCCATTCTATATTTGTATGTTCCTTCTTTCACAGTGAGAATCCTAACTCCCAACACATCGACACATGTAGTCATTTGCTCAGTTCTATATTAATCTAAAAGAGTTTCAAAATTGTTTCTTGTGTAACACTACTAAAAACTAACCTACTAAAAAAAGTTCAGAATTTGTTCATACTTCTTCCCCTTTCTGCATCCCCTCCCCACATTCCACTCTGGTCCAGAACAAGGATTATATAATTAAAAACTCTTCATAAGTTACTTGGATTTGTTCTTTCTTCTTTGTCCTCCCTCTTCAGTATGGTTATAGTAACCATAAAAAAATGCACTTAGATTAATTTGCTTCCATTTGCTTTCAGATTTAGTCAGGTTTTCCCTTCTAACTCTTACTGATTTTTTAATTTTTAATTTTTGCAGGCACATGGTAGGTGTATGTACTTATGGGGTATTTGAGATATTCTGATACAGGCATACAATACATAATAAACACATCAGGGTAAATGAGGTATCCATCACCTGAAGCATGTATCCTTCCTTTGTGTTACAATCCAATTATACTTTTAGTTATTTTTAAATGTACAATTATTGTGTGCTATCAAATACTAGATCTTGTTCATTCTATCTAATTATATTTTTGTATCCATTAGCCATCCCCACTCCCCTCCCCTCAGACTACCCTCCCCAACCTCTGGTGACCAGCATACTACTCTCTATCTCCAAAATGTGGCTGCTTTATTTTACTTAACATAATGATCTCCACTTCAACCATGTTGTTGCAAATGACATGGCCATTTCATGGCTGAATAGTACTCCAATGTGTATATGTACCACATTTTCTTTTTGAGACAGAATCTTGCTCTGTCGCCCAGACTAGAGTGCAGTGGCATGATGTCAGCTCACTGCAACCTCCACCTCCCATGTTCAAGTCATTCTCCTGCCTTAGCCTCCCAGGTAGCTGGGATTACAGGCACCCGCCACTGCGTATGGCTTATTTTGGTATTTTTAGTAGAGACAGAGTTTCCCCATCTTCGCCAGGCTGGTCTTGAACTCCTGACCTCGTGATCCACCAGCCTCAGCCTCCCAAAGTGCTGGGATTACAGGCGTGAGCCACTGCTACTGGCCACCATATTTTCTTTATCCATTCATCTATTGATGGATACTTAGGTTGATTCCATGTCTTGGCTATTGTGAATAGTGCTGCTATAAACATGGAAGTGCAGATATCTCTTTGATATACTGATTTCCCTTCTGTTGGGTATATACCTTGCAGTGGGATTGCTGGATCATATAGTGGTTCAATTTTTGTTTTTTTGAGGAACCTCTATACTGTTTACCATAGTGAGTGTGCTAATTTTCATTCCCACCAACAGTATACGAGGGTTCCCTTTTCTCCAAATTCTCACCAGCATTCATTACTGCATGTATTTTGGATGTAAGCCATTTTAACTAGGGCGAGATATCTCATCGCAGTTTTGATTTGCATTTTTCTTATGATCAAAGAGTTCAGCACTTTTCCATATACCTGTTTGCCATTTGTATGCCTTCTTTTGAGAAATGTCTATTCAGATCTCTTGCCCATGTTCTAATCAGATTATTAGATTTTTTCCTATGGAGTTATTTGAGCTTCTTATATATTTTGCTTATTAACCCATTGTCAGATGGATATTTTGCAAATATTTTCTCCCATTCTGCAGGTTGTTACTTCATTTTGTTGATTATTTCCTTTGCTGTGCAGAAGCTTTTTAATTTGATGTGATTGATCCTATTTGTCCATTTTTGCTTTGGTTGCCTGTGCTTGTGGGGTATTACTCAAGAAATCTTTGCTCAGACCAATGTCTTGGAAAGTTTCCCCAATGTTTTATTTTAGTGGTTTCATAGTTTGAGGTCTTAGATTTAAGTCTTTAATCAATTTTGATTTGATTTGTGTATATGGCAAGAGACAAGAGTCTATAGTTTTACTCTTCTGCATATGAATATCCAGTTTTCCCAGCACCACTGATTGACGAGATGGTCCTTTCCCTAATATATGTTCTTGGCATCTTTGTCGAAAATGAGTTCAATGTAGATGTATGTATTTGTTTCTGGGTTCTCTATTCTGTTCCCTCTGTTTTTATGTGTCTGTTTTTATGTCAGTACCATGCTGTTTTGGTTACCTGAGCTCTGTAGTATAATTTGAAGTCAGGGAAAGTGATTCCTCCAGTTTTGTTCTTTTTATTCAGGATAGCTTTGGCCATTCTGGGTCTTTTGCGGTTCCATATAAATTTTAGGATTATTTTTTCCATTTCTGTGAGGAACGCCATTGGTATTTTGAAAGGGATTGCATTGAGTCTGTAGATTACTTAGGGTAGTTTGGACATTTTAACAATATTGATTCTTCCAATCCATGAACATGGAATCTTTCCTTTTGTGTGTGTGTGCACTCTTCAATTTCTTTATCAATGTTTTACAGTTTTCACTGTAGAGATCTTTAATTTCTTTGGTTAATTTCTAGGCATTTAATTGTATTTGTAGCTACTGTAAATGGGATTATTTTCTTGATATCTTTTCAGATTGTTTGCTGTTAGCATATGTAAGCACCACTGATTTTGTATGTCGATTTTATATCCTGCAACTTTACTGTATCTATCAGTTCTAATAGTCTTTTCATTGTATCTTTAGGTTTTTCCAAATATAAGATCATATTATCTGCAAAAAGAATGATTTGACTTCTTCCTTTCCAATTTGAATGCCCTTTATTTCTTTTTTGTTGTTTTTGGATTGCTCTAGCTAGAACTTCCAGTACTATGCTGAATAACAATGGTTAAAGTGGACTTTCTTGTCATGTTCCAGATCTTAGAGAAAAGGCTTTCAATGTTTCCCTGTTCTATATGATACTATCTGTTGGTCTGTCATATATGGCTTTGATTATGTTGAGGTATATTCTTTCTATGCCCACTTTTCTGAGAGCTTTCCCCATGAAGGGATGTTGAATTTTATAAAATTCTTTTTCGGCATCAGTTGAAATGATCATATGGTTTTTGTTGTTGTTGTTGTTGTTTTGAGATGGAATCTCACTCTGTCACCCAGGCTAGAGTGCAGTGGCACGACCACCTTCCAATTTTAAGTGATTCTCCCGAATAACTAGCATTATAGGTGTGTGCCACCAAGCCCAGCTAATTTTTGTATTTTTAGTAGAGACAGGGTTTCGCCATGTTAGCCAGGCTAGTCTCAAACTCCTGACCTCAGGTGATCCACCTGCCTTGGCCTCCCAAAGTGCTGGGATTACAGACGTGAGCCACCACACCTGACCCTTTTTCCTTCCTGTCTTCCTGTCTTCCTGTCTCCCTTCCCTCCCCTCGCCTTTTTTCTTTTTCTTTCTTTCTTTCTCTCTCTCTTTCTTTCTTTCTTTCTTTCCTCTCTCTCTCTTTCTTCTTTCTTTCTTTCTTTCTTTCATGCGTCTTTGTTTGATTTTGGTGTCAGGGTAATACTAAATTTGAAAATATCTCACCTCCTGTATTTTTCAGAATAGTTTGACTAGAATTGGTATTAATTATTCTTTAAATGTTTGGTTAAATTCAGCAGTGAAGCCATCAGGTCCTGGACTTTGCCTTTCTGGGAGACTTTTTATTATGACTTCAATCTCCTTACTTGTTATTGGTCTGTTTATGTTTTGTATTTCTTCATCTTGGTAGGTTGCATGTGTCTAGAAACTTATCCATTTATTCTATGTTTTCCAATTTATTGGCATATAGTTGCTCATAATAGCCTCTAAACTCAGTGATTCTTTGAATTTCTGCAGCATCAGTTTTAATGTCTCCTTTGACATCTCTGATTTTACTTATTTGGGTCTTCTCTCTTTTTTCTTTGTCTCACAAAAGATTTGTGAATTTTATCTTTTCAGAACACCATTTCTTTTGTCTCATTGACCTTTCATATTCTTTTCTTCACTTCAATTTTTTTATTTCTGTTCTAGACTTTATTACGCCTTTTCTTCTACTAAGATTGAGTTTGGTTTCCTCTTGATTTTCTAATTCTTTAAGATGCATTGTTAGGTTGTTTATTTGAAGTTTTTCTACTTTTTGGATATAGGTGCTTATTGCTAAAAACTTTCCTCTTAGTACTGCTTTCATTGCATCCCATTGGTTTTGGTATGTTGTGTTTCTATTATCATTTGTTTCAAGAAATTTTTAATTTCCTTCTTAATTTCTTCATTAACCCACTGGTCATTTGGGAACATATTGTTTAATTTCCATGTGTTTGCATAGTTTCCAAAGTTCCTGCTGTTACTGATTTCTAGTTTTATTCCATTGTGGTCAGATGAGACATTTGATATAATTTAAATTAAAAAAATGTAAGATGTGTTTTGTGGCCTAACATATCGTCTTGTCTTTCAGAATGATCCATGCGTTGAGGAGAGGAATGTGTATTCTAGAGTCATTGAATGAAATGTTCTGTAAATATCTGTTAGGTTCATTTGATCTACAGTGCAGATTAAATTCAACGATTCTTTGCTGATTTTCTATATGGATGATCTCTCCAATGATGAAAGTGAGGGGTTGAAGTCTCCAGCTATTATTATTATTATTATTATTATTATTATTATTATTATTATTATTTTGAGATGAAGTCTTGTTCTGTTGCCCAGGCTGGAGTGCAGTAGTGTGATCTCAACTCACTTCAACTTCTGCCTCCCGGTTTCAAGCAATTCTGATACCTCAGCCTCCTCAGTAGCTGGGACTACAGGTGCACACCACCACGCTTGGCTAATTTTTGTATTTTTAGTAGACCCAGGGTTTTGCCATGTTGGCCAAGCTGGTCTCAAACTTCTGGCCTCAAGTGATCCACCTGCCTTGGCTTCCCAAAATGCTGGGATTACAGGCTTGAGCCACCATACCTGGCCTCCAGCTATTATTGTATTGGGGTCTCCCTCCCCTTAATTCTAGTAATATTTGCTTTATATATCTGGGTGCTTCAGTGTTGGGTGCATATATATATATTTACAATTGCTATATCCTCTTGCTGAATTGACCTTGTTGTGATTATGTAATAACTTTCTTTGTCTCTTTTTATAGTTTTTGTTGTAAAATCTATTTTGTCTGATGTAAGTATAGCAACTACTGCTGGGTTTTCGGTTTCTATTTGCATGGAATATCTTTTTCCATTCCTTCATTTTCAATCTATGTATGTCTTTATAGGTAAAGTGTGTTTCTTGTAGGCAACAAATTGTTGGGTCTTGTTTTTTTTTTTTTCTTTTCATTCAGTCACTCTGTCTTTCTATTGGAGAATTTAGTCTATTTACATTCAATGTTATTATTGATAAGTAACAACTTGCTCCTTCCTTTTTGTTATTTGTTTTCTGGTTGTTTTGTGGTCTTCTCTTTCTTCCTTCCTCTCTTCTTATCGTCCTTTTAGTGAAGGTGATTATCTCTGATGGTATGTTTTAATTTCTTGCTTTTTATTTTTTGTGTATCTATTGTATGTTTTTTTAATTTGAGGTTACCATGAGGCTTGCAAATAATATCACCTATTATTTTAAACTGATGACAACATAATACTGATTGCATAAAGAAATAAACAAGCAAAGAGAAAACTAATAAAAACTCTACACTTTAACTTTGTACCCCTGCTTTTTAACTTTTTGTTGTTTCTATTTACATGCCGACGTCTTGAAAAGTTGTCATAATTATTATTTTTTATTGGTTCATGTTTTAGTCTTTCTACTCAAGATAAGGGTAATTTACCCACCACAATTACAGTGTTATAATATTCTGTATACTGGCATATACTAACACCAGTGAGTTTTGTACCTTCAGATGATTTCTTATTGCCCATCTATGTCTTTTTCTTTCAGATTGCAGAACTCCATTTAGCATTTTTTGTAGGACAAGTCTTTTGTATGTCTGAGAAAGTCATTCTCCTTTATGTTTGAAGGATATTTTTGCTGGATATACTATTCTAGGATTAAAGGTTTTTTCCCCAGCACTTTAAATAGGTCATGCTACTATCCTGTCTTGGCCTATAAGGTCTCTACTGAACAGTCTGCTGCCAAATGTATTGGAGCTCCATTATAGGTTATGTGTTTCTTTTATCTTTCTGCTTATATGATTCTTTATTGTTGGTTTTTTGGGAGTTTGATTATTAAATGTCTTGAGGTAGTCTTATTTGGGTTAAGTCTGCTTGGTGTTCTATAACCTTCTTAAACTTGAATATTGATATTTGTCTCTAGGTTTGAGAAGTTATCTGTTATTATCCCTTTGAATAAACTTTCCACCCCTATTTATCTCTCTACCTCCTCTTTAAGGCCAATAATTCTTAGGTTTGCCCATTTGAGGCTATGTTTTAGACCTTGCAGGATTGCTTCATTCTTTTTTAGTTTTTATTTTGTCTCATCTGACTGCATATTTTCAAATAGCCTATCTTCAAGCTCAGTAATTCTTTCTTCTATTTGATCAATTCTGCTGTTAAGATACTTATACATTCTTCAGGATGTCAATTGCATTTTTCAATTTTAGAATTTCTGCCTTATTCTTTTAAATTATTTTCAATGTTAAACTTTTCTGATAGGATTCTGAACTCCTTCCCTGTGTTATCATAAATTTCATTGAGCTTCCTTAAAACAGTCATTTTGAATTCTCTGTCAGAAAGATTACACTTCTTGGTCTCTTCAGGATTGGTCACTGGTGCCTTATTTAGTTTGTTAAATGAGGTCATATTTTCCTGGATGGTCTTCATGGTTGTGCATGTTCATCAGTTTCTGGACATTGGAGAGTTAGGCATTTTTTGTACTCTTTACAGTCTGGCCTTTTTTGTTCCTGTCCTTCTTGGGAAGGCTTTCCAATTATTCAAAGGGAAGTGAGTGTTGTGATCTAAGTCTAAGTGAGATATAAGTGCCCCTCAGGGGGTACTGTATCCATATATGCCTCAGGGGGCACCCCAAGCCCAATAATGCTGTGGCTCTTATAGATTTGTAGAGGCACCACCTTGGTGGTCTTGGATAAAGTCTGGAAGAATTCTCTGGATTACCAGGCAGAGACTCTTGTTCTCTTTCCTTGCTTTCTCCCAAACAACAAATGGAGTGTCTCTCTCTCTCTCTCTCTCTCTCTCTGTGTGTGTGTGTGTGTGTGTGTGTGTGTGTGTGTGTGTGTGTGTGTGTGTGTGTGTGCTGAGCTGCCTGGAACTGGGGGAGGAATGACACAAGCACCCCTGTGGTCTACCACCACTGGGACTGTGCTGGGTCAGAACTGCAGCCAGCATATATCACCCAAGGCTTATAGTAACCACTACCTGGTCATCACCTATGTTCATTCAAGGCCTTAAGGCTCTACAATCAGCAGGTGATGAAGCCAGCCAGGCTTGTGTCCTTCCTTTTTGTGCAGTCAGTTTCCCCTGCTCCCAGGTGGATCCAGAGATGCCATCCCAGAGCCAGGGCCTGAAGTTGGGAACCTTAGGAATCTACCTGGTGCTCTATTCTACTACTGCTGAGTTGGCACCCAAGCCACAAGAGAAAGCCCTTCCTCTTCTTTCACAAGCAGAGGAGTCTCTCCCTGTGGCCAGTACTATTCCAGGCCCATGGCAAGTACTGCCTAGCTACCACCAATGTTCATTCAAGGTCCAAGAGCTCTTTAGCCAGCTTATGATAAATGCTGCAAGGCCAAGGACTCTCCCTTCAGGGCAGTGAGCTTCCCTTTGGCCCAGGGCAGGTCTAGAAATGCTGTCCAAGAGCTAAGGGCTAGAATTGGGTACCCCAAGAGCCCACTTGGTGCTCTATCCAACTGTGGCCCAGCTGGTACCTATGCTGCAAGACAAATTTTCCTTTACTCTTACCTCTCCTTTTCTCCACAGAAAGGGTCCCTCCTCAGAGCCACCATAGCTAGGAATGTACAGTTTCACACCTGAAGCCAGTACCTCTCTGAATCTTGTCCAAGGTCCACAGCAAGTACTGCCTGGGTTCCACTGCTGAATATTCAGAGCCCAAGGGCTCCTCAGTAAGCAGATAATCCTGCCAGGCCTGGGTCCTTCCCTTCAAGGTAGCAGGTTCCCTTTCAGCCCAAGTATGTCTAGAAATGTCATCTGGCAGCTAGGGCCTGGAATGGGGGCCTCAGGACTCTACCTAGTGCTCTATCCTACTGTGGCTGAGGTGATATCCAAGTTGCAAGACAAACTCCTTTTTACTCTTCCCTCTCTTCTCCTCAAGCAGAGGGAAGGAGTCTCCCCTGGAGCTGTGAACTGCATTGCCTGCAGTTAGGGAAGGGGTGGAGCAAGCACCCTCTTGGCTGCCCCCACTGTTGTCTTACTAATTCATGTGCCCTCCAAGCCCACAGGCTTCAGATCCAGCACAGCACCAACACTTAACCAGGAATTGCAGTCCTTGTGGCCTACATTGCCTTTCAAGTTTATTTAGGACCCCAGAGCACTTTAGCCCACAGTGGTGAGGCTTGCTGGAACTCAGGTTCTGACCATTGGGATGGGAGATTCCCCTCTGGCTAGCGGTGGTCTAAATGCTTCCTCCATGGGTGCCAGCTGAGTTCTGCCTTGTGTTGCTTTCTGCTGAGACAGGGCAGCACTAAGTTGAAATACAATGCCCCACAACCACTGCACTCTTTCTCCTCAGTGCACAGATTCTCTCTCTGCACCGTGCAAATGCTGCCAAGGGATGGGAGAGAGATGGCATTAGCAATTCATGGCTGTCTTTTCTACCCTTTTCAGTGCCTCCTTCAGTGATATGAAATTAGAATCGGGTACTATGACTGCTCACCTGGGTTTTGGTTCTTGTTGTTGTTGTTGTTGTTGTTGTTGTTGATTTTGGTTCTTATGAAGACACTTTTCTGTGTGGATAGTCATTCAATTTGGTGTCCCTGTGGGGAGAACAATTGGTGGAGGCTTCTATTTGGCCATATTGTTCCACCTCTTCCCATTCTTATTGATTGATTTGATTTTTTAAAATATGTAGGCTAGTAACATACAGTCATGCATCCCTTAATGACAGAGATACATTCTGAGAAATGGGTCTTTAAGTGATTTCATCATTGTGCAAACATCATAGCATATACTTACACACACCTAGGTGGTGTAATCTACTATACACCTAGGTTATATGGTATAATCTATTGTTCCTAGGCTACAAACCTGTACAGCATGTTACCATATTGAGTATTGGAAGCAACTGTAACACAATGGTAAGTATCTGTGTATCTAAACATAGAAAAGGCATAGTAAAAAATATGATATACAAGATAACTGGGGCCAGGCACAGTGGCTCATATCTATAATCCCAGTGCTTTGTTGGGCTGATTCAGGAAAATTGCTTGAGGCCAAGTGTTCTAGATCAGCCTGGGAAACATAGTAAGACCATGAATTGAGCTTGCAGGACAGGAAATTGCTCTGGGCAAGTCAGTGAATAAGTGGTGAGTGAATGTGAAGGCCTCAGACACTACTGTACACTACTGTAGAGTTTATAAACACTGTATATCTAGGCTACATTACATTTATAAAAAATAAAGTAACTGCACTACTATGTTACAACAGCTATAATATCACTACGTAATAGCAGTTTTTCAGCTTCATTATAAACTTATGAGACCACCATTGTATATGCATTGATTGAAATGTCATTATGCGGCACATGATTGTACTTTCAAAGTCAAAACTGCATGAAAAGGTATACTCAGAGAACTTTCATTCTTTCTTGTCTTTCTTCCTCTCCATTACCCTCATCCCCACTCTACCATCCTGCCTTGTAAGTATCCAACCTCAGTATTTTCTTTTTTTTCTTCCTGTTTCTTGTGTAATGATGAATGCATGTATGTATGTATATATGTATATGTTTATATTAATATAAATGAATATATATGTTTTCTTAGCTTTCCTATGCTTTTGTACAAAAGGTAGCATATTACATATATTCTTTTGCAGTGAGTTTTTATATTTTATAATATCTGCTGGAAATCAGCCCACATTCAATCATAAAGATCTTCATCCTCATTCCTCTTTAAGGTTGCATAGTACTTCATAGTATTTTCATAGTCTATTCAATCATTCTTCAATATTTTCCAATTACATACAACTTTGCAATGAGCAACTTTGTGCATATCTATTTATTATAGGTGGAAGTATATTTCCAGTATAAATTTCTAGAGGTGAGATCACTAGGTCAAAGAGTAGATGGGTACACATGTCCTCTTTTTAAATATTGCTACATTCTCCTCATAGGTACCATTGTACAATTTTGCATTCCCACTATCAATGTATAAGTGTACCTTTCCTCATAGCCTTGCTAAGCTTGTGAATTTTTGTCAATTTGATGGATAAGACATATCTCAATGAAGTTTTAATTTGCAATTCTTTTTTATAAGTGAATTAAGTATATTTTTATGTTTAAGGACCATTTTTAACATCTCTTAATTTAAAAAGTGTCTCTTTGTACCTGTTTCCTACTTTTCTATGGGATTTTTGGTATTTTTTTTCAATTTTTAAGAGTTCTTTATAAATAATATATTAGATCTTTTTACTTTAATATATATAGTGAAGACTTTCTTCCCAGTTTGTCATTTGCCTTTGACTTTGTTTAGGTTGTTTTTTCCCATATAAAAGTTTGGTGGTTTTGTGTAGTCAGGTTTATCAATCTTTTTTTTTTTGTCACCTCAAAAAGGGTTTACCAATCTCTTTTGCTGTACTTGGAAAGCTAATTCTTATACTGAGGTTAAAGAGGAATTCACCCAGGTTCTCTTCTAGTTATTATATGGTTATATTTTTCAAATTTATATATATAATTCATTTGGAGTTTATTTATTTATTTATTTATTTATTTATTTATTTATTTATTTTTTGAGATGAAGTCTTGCTTTGTCATCCAGGCTGGAGTGCAGTGGCACTATCTCTGCTTACTGCAACCTCTGCCTCCTGGATTCAAGCGATTTTCTTGCCTTAGCCTCCCTAGTAGCTGGGATTACAGACGCCTGCCACCATGCCCAGCTAGTTTTTTTTTTGTTGTTGTTGTTTTTTAAGTAGAAACAGGGTTTCACCTTGTTGGCCAAGCTGGTCTTGAACTCCTGACTTCAAGTGATCCACCCGCCTCGGCCTCCCAAAATGTTGGGATTACAGGCATGAGCCACCGTGCCCAGGCTGGAGTTTATTCTTGAATAAGGTCTGTGGGATGTGCCTAATTTTATATTTTTCAGAAAAATATACAACAAACTAGTAGTCCCAACACTGTTTACTAAAAATACAATTTTTGTTCCAGTGATTTGAGAGACCACTTTTATCATATATTAGATTTTTATATGTAGTTGGATCTATTTCTGGATTTTCTGTTCTATTCCATTAATCTATTTATGCTCCAGTATCATACTGTTGTACTTAAAGATGTTTTGTAATATGTTGTAATATCTGGTGACCACCTCTCTTAAGTGCATTCCTAGTTATTCTTATGTGTTTACTTTTCCATATAGAACTTAGAATCAACTTGTCTAGCTACATTAAAAAGCTTACTAGCATTTGTATTGAGATCTCATTAGATTTATAAGTTAACTTATGACTAAATAATGTTGAGACATCCTAACCAAGAATAAGAGACATCTTTTCAATTGTTCAGTTCTTCTGTTCTGTCTTTCACAAGTCTTAAATAGTTTTCTTCATATAGGTTTTGAAAATTCTTTGTTAAGTTTATTCCTATATGTGTTATCATTTTTGTTGCTATTATAAAAGTTGTCTCTTTCATTATATCTCCTACCTTGTCATTATTTGAATATATGAGAGCTTGATTTTTGCACGTTAATTTTATATCTTGATACCTTGCTGGATTTTGTTATTATTTGAATTATTTTTATCATTTCTCTTCTAGGTTGGAGTTGACAAACTTTTTATATAATAGGCTAGATAGAACATATTTTCAGCTTTGAGTGCTAAGGAGTCTCTGTCACAATTATTCACTCTTTCATTTATGCACAAAAGCAGTCATAGTCAATATGTAAGTGATTGGGTATGACTGTGTTCCAATATAACTTTACTTATAAAAGCAAGCAGTGGGCCAGATTTGGGCTGCAGGTCATAGCCTGCTGACCCCAGTTCTAGAGTTTTCCAGGTATATGATCGTATCATCTGCAAATATAATTTTTTTAATCCAGCTACTCAACATGGTACAAATCATTTTATTATTTTTTTCCTATTCTTTTGCCTCTAAGTTTTCCTAGTCTAATTGCTATTTAACAATGTTAAATAGTAGTGGAGACGGTTGGGATCCTTGCCTTGTTTTTGGCCTTAGTGAATGCTTTCAGTGTTACCCCATCATATAAGATTTTGGATTGAAATATGCATATTGTTATATTAAAGAAATAACCATTCATTCCTATTTTCCAAGAGTTCTTGTTCAGGATAGGTATCAATTTTTTGTCAAAGTCTTTTTTACTATATATGAAAATAGGCATGTGGTTGTTCTCCATAACCTATTAATGCAGTGAATTATGTTAATACATTTCCTAACAACATTGAATCATCTTTGTATTCCTGTTATAAACTTCCCTTGATTGTGGTATACTATTCTCATAATGTAGTATTGGGACCTAGAAAAATATTCTGTGTACCATAAACTATTGGGAGTATTAAAACTGAGATGCAAAGGGAAAGCCCATCTCTTGAAGAGGGTCTGCCATAGGAAATAGACATAAATTTTAAGAGGCTTCTATGTTGCATTCTTTCTGAAATGCAAGTAAACATTATCTCTATAAAATCAGATGAAATATAAACTAATCAGATGAATAAAAATGGATCTGGATGAAAGATAACTAAAAATAAAAGCTGCTGGTAAAAAGAAGAAAAATTGTGAAGAGTTTAGGAATCCAAATAATGGAATTAAATTCTGCTTTGGAAGTGGTAAAGAGTATAACTAAGCAGCTTAAAAGAAGTATAAATCACAACGTGAGCCATGAGCCCTTCTCACAGTGCATCTCTCTGACCCTTCTTCTATGGTCATCTCTCTCTCTGACTACATGTAAAAAAAGTTCTCTACTTTTAAGGACTCATCTCATTAGAGCAAATCCATTAAAAAAATCTCCCCATCTCAAGGTCATAACCTTAACCACATCTGCAAAGCCCCTTTTGCCATATAAAATAACATATTCACAGGTCCCAGGGATTAGGGCATGGTTATCTTTAGAAGGCCATTATTCCTCCTATTAGTGAGTCAAAGATCTAAGTTTGTAAATAAAATGAAATATCTCTGTTACAGGTAAAATTAGTAAAAAGAAACCAAGACCTAGATATTTTGAGGAAACTTTTTAGTATCAAATGTAAACTTTAAAACAAATTTAGTAACCAGATTGGATTATGTTTATTATACCAAAAACTCCCAGCATACATGGTTATGACCATTCTAGCATCTCATGGACTCTGACTCAAACCCAAGCAGAGATGGCTTAATCACATCTATTTAATAAGGCTTAGAGGTGGCAATCAGGTTGCAAGAAGGAAAGGGGTGGGGGGAGAGAGAGAGAGAGAGAGAGAAAGAGAGAGAGAGAAAGTTACTGGGCTTAGAGGATTTATCTTTATGATGTGTTGATATAGCAATCAAAGGTTCCCATTTCATCAATCAATAGTCCCCATTTACTTTAGAGTAAAAGCCAAAGGCTTTGCAATGAACAAGACCCTACGTGAGCTAGCCGCCTGCTCCATGCCTCTCTCAAGTCATCCCTGAGTCATTTCTGCTCATTGATGCCAGCCACGTGGGCTTCTTGCTTGCTTTTTCTTTTTTTTTTTTTTTTTTTTTTTTTTTTGAGACTGAATAGCTGGGATTACTGGTGCCTCCCAACACGCCCAGCTAAATTTTGTAATTTTAGTAGAGACAGGGTTTCACCATGTTGGCCAGGCTGGTCTTAAACTCCTGACCTCAAGTGATCCGCCCACCTTGGCCTCCCAAAGTGCTGGAATTACAGGTGTGAGACACTGAGCCCAGCCTTCCTTGCTTTCTTTTGTAGGTGTGTACCTCAGAGCCTTTGCACTGCATCTCCCTCGGACTAGAATGCTTTTCCCCTCATTTTCCGTGGGACTCTCTTTCTTGCTTCCATCAGGTCTTCATTCAAAAGACTCCTCAGTAAGGCCTACCCTGCTCTGTCCACCCTACTTAAAATTCCCCTGTCCCTACAATCCCAATCTCACGTATGCAGCTCTATTTTGCCATAGGACTTGCTTTCTAACACACACATCTAATTTGTATACTTTGTGTATTATCTGTCCCCTCATCCCATACTAGAGTATAAGATTCACAAAGGCAGTTTTTTTAACCTATTTTGTTTATTGGAATATTCAGTATTTGGAAAAAGTACCCAGTACATGTGGGCCCTCAGCCCATGTGTGTGGAATGAATGGATGGATACCTGAATAAACGAAGAGCAAGCATACTAATTGTACTTAAATCGTGTAATACTTGGGGTGGCTTATAGGAATTGAGAAGATTTGGGGGTGGCAAAGTAAGGTCCCCAAAATACCTCTTGATTTTTTTTTATTACAACAAGACATTTATAGGAGATTGACTCCAAAGGATAAGGATGGGGAGTGGGAGAGAGAGAGAGAGGGACCGAGGGAAAGAATGAGTGATGTGAGGAGGGGAGAGAAGAGAAGGGGAAGAAGGATGAGACTTAACTGACAACAGAAATATGAATGATGACTGATGGAAACAAGTGTACTCTAAGGGGCCCTTATGGCTTAGTATTTATGCCCTAATAAACAACCATTTGAACGAGTATTATACTCCTCAGTACCTAACCCTTTATAAAAAAGTTCTCTAAATTGTTATGCCCTAAAGGGATTTTAAACACCCTGCCAGCCCTCCCCGCAGTGTCCTTCCCCTTGGAAGAAGAAAAGAAGTTGGAGCCCACCAGGAAGTGCCAAACCCTTTTGACTTTGTCCTCTGTTACACAAACACACAAGAGCTCAGAAAGCACACACGTTTTTAGAGGGAGAATTCTTTCCCTTCTCCCAGTTCCCATGAGGACTGAGTTTTCTTCTGGCCTCTCCCTACCCATTTACTCAGTCTACCCTAGGGATTGGTAAATTTCAGAATAACAACAGGTTACGCTAATCTCATTCTGACCTTTTTCTCTTGAGAACAAGATGCTCAGAAGGGCTCTGCCGCATGGAGAGGCCTGCTGTGAGCCCATGACCCCTTGCAGTGGGGGGGCTGCTTTTTTCTAGGGCACAGTTAGCAGGCTTAGTTGTTCTCATTTTAAGCTACATCCTCCAACCAGGCTTCTATCAAATAAAAGTACAATTTTAAAAAAATCTTCTGTGTTAGCGTGCTGTCTGCCATAACAAAATACCACACACGAGAGCTAATATCCAGAATCTACAATGAATTCAAACAAATTTACAAGAAAAAAACAAACAACCCCATCAAAAAGTGGGCAAAGGATATGAACAGACACTTCTCAAAAGAAGACATTTATGTAGCCAACAGACACATGAAAAACGCTCACCATCACTGGCCATCAGAGAAATGCAAATCAAATGCATCTCACACTAGTTAGAATGGTGATCATTAAAAAGTCAGGAAACAACAGGTGCTGGAGAGGATGTGGAGAAATAGGAACACTTTTACACTGTTGGTGGAACTGTAAACTAGTTCAACCATTGTGGAAGTCAGTGTGGCGATTCCTCAGGGATCTAGAACTAGAAATACCATTTGACCCAGCCATCCCATTACTGGGTATATACCCAAAGGATTATAAATCATGCTGCTATAAAGACACATGCACACGTATGTTTATTGTGGCACTATTCACAATAGCAAAGTCTTGGAACCAACCCAAATGTCCAACAATGATAGACTGGATTAAGAAAATGTGGCACATATACAGCACGGAATACTACGCAGCCATAAAAAATGATGAGTTCATGTCCTTTGTAGGGACATGGATGAAACTGGAAACCATCATTCTCAGCAAACTATCACAAGGACAAAAAAACCAAACACCGCATGTTCTCACTCATAGGTAGGAATTGAACAATGAGAACACTTGGACACAGGAAGGGGAACATCACACACTGGGGACTGTTGTGGGGTGGGGGGAGGGGGGAGGGATAGCATTAGGAGATATATCTAATGCTAAATGATGAGTTAATGGGTGCAGCACACCAACATGGCACATGTATACATATGTAACAAACCTGCACGTTATGCACATGTACCCTAAAACTTAAAGTATAATAATATTTAAAAAAAAAATACCACACACTAGGCAGCTTAAACAACAGAAATTTACTTCCTCACAGTTCTGGAGGTTAGCAGTTTAAGGTCAAGGTATCAGGGTGGTTTCTAGTGAGGACTGTCTTCCTCACTTGCAGGCTGCCACCTTCTTGCTGCCTTCACCTGGCCTTTTCTCTTTGCGTGCAGAGAGACAGAGAGTGCACTCCAGTGTCTCTTCCTCTTCTTATTAGGACGCCCATCCTGTTGGATTAGGCTCCACCCTTTTGACTTCATTTAACCTTAATTATCTCCCAAAAGACCCTCCCTTCAAATATAGTCATATTGGGTCTTAGGGCTTCAATACATGAATTTTGGGAGGAAAAAATTAGGTCCATAACATCTCCCATCTGTCTTTCTTCAATTTGTTCAAAACCCAGAAGAGAAAGAGAGAAAAAGAGGTGTTACTTATTGGGGATCCCCTTAGAGATCCTAGAATCCTGCATATGCCCTTTCCTCCTAAGTTTCTTTTTCTTTTTTTTTTTTTTTTTTTCTCTTTGAGACTGAGTCTAACTCTGTTGCCCAGGCTGAAGTTCAGTGGCACAATCTCAGCTCACTGCAACCTCCGCCTCCCAGGTTCAAGTGATTCTCCTGCCTCAGCCTCCTGAGTAGCTGGGATTACAGGCGCATACCACCACGCCCGGCTAATTTTTGTATTTTTAGTAGAGACAGGGTTTCACCATGTTGGCCAGGCTGGTCTTGAACTCCTGACCTCAGGTGATCCACCCACCTCAGCCTCCCAAAGTACTGGGATTACAGGCGTGAGCCACCATGCCTGGCCCCTTTCCTCCTAAGTTTCTTAAACATATACTCTGTATATTCTGGACAACCAAAACATTAATAAAATTTAAGAATTCTGAAATGGATAAATATAGGTACTTTCACAGAATAAAAAACTCTCAAGGAATAAATCTTGAAGTAAATGCAAGACAATTTCCCAATTTTTTATAGGGCATAGTTGGGAGATATGTTATCATTTTTTTAATTTTTTTTTTTTTTTTTTCGACAGGGTGTTGCTCTGTCATCAAGGCTGGAGTGCAGTGGCAGGATCATGGTTCACTGCAGCCTCAACCGTTTAGGCTTAAGCCGTCTTCCTGCCTCAGCATCCTTTGTAGCTGGGACCACAGGTGTATGTCACCATGACCAGCTACTTTTTGCATTTTTTGTAGAGATAGAGTTTTGCCATGTTACCCTGGCTGATCTTGAACTCCCGAGCTCAAGCGATCCACCTGCCTCAGCCTCCCAAAGTTCTGGGATTACAGGCATGAGCCACCACACCTGGCTTCATTTTCATTTTGAAATCAGAAAAATTGAGTTTCAAATATTTTTATTTGAAGTTTTTATATTATAGAGTAAAAAATTATACATAGGAGGTTTTAAATCTCATATGTATACTCACAACTCAGATATTTACGTATCCAGTCCAGACCTCTGGATTTATATGTCCAACTTCCTACTCAATTTCTGAAGTAGAAAGTCTAGTGGATATCTCAAACCCAACACATTCAAAATCGAACTGATCTGTCTTAAACTTGCTCCTACTCTAGTCTGCTAGATTTTAAATGATAGCAACTCCATCTTTCTACTTCCTTTGGTCTAAAACCTTGAGGTCATCACTAACTCCGTCTGTCTTCACACAGCCCAGACACATTCCCATAGCAAATTCTTGTGGCTCTACCTACAATCCAGAATTTGATCTGTCCTCACAATCTCCACTGTTACTTCCCTCATTAAAGTATCATCATCTCTTTTTTGGGTTATTGCAGTGGCCTCCTTACCGGCCTCTCTGCTTCAGCCTTGCCCTCCCGTCTCCTGTCAATGGTCTATTCTCAACACAACAGCCAAAGTGAGGCTTTCAAAATGTATACAAAACCACATTACTCTGAACTCTCCAGTGGCTCCTTATCTCACACAGAAGCAAATGCCACAGTTCTCACAATGGCCTCCTCCACCCTAAATGATCTGAACACCAGTGCAGCACCATCAGCCCTCTGACCTTGTCCCCACCACTTCCCCTCTTCCTCCCTTTTCTTCAGCCGCACTGGCTTCCTCTTCTTCCTAGAACATACCAAGCACCAACCCACATCAGAGGCTTGGCATTTCTGTTTCCTTTGCCTGAAACATACTTCTCTTAAATATCACATCACTTTCTCTGTCATCTCCTCCAGGTCTTTGCTCTACTGTGACCTCAGTAATAACTTCCCCATGACCCAATTTATAATTACAATTCATGTCCCCATCCCAGAACCCATCCCTATTTTCTGCTCTGTTTTGCTGTGTAACACTTATCATCATATATTTTGCATAAAATTTGTTTATTACATCTCCTGATCCTATCCCACACACTAGAATATAAGCTCCATGAATTCAGAAATGTTTGTCTGTTTCATTTACTGAGTATTCCCAGTTAGAATAAGGTCTGACATACTGGGGTATCTCAATATATGTTTATTAAATTGAATGAATGACTTCAGTATGTCATTCTCTTTCTTTGATAGGCCAAAGATGAAAAAAATAGAGAAGATATGAATAAAACAATTGATGAGATGGATTTAATAGATCTAATTTAAACAAAGATATATTTGAAAAGATAAACCCCTATTTTCAAATGTTTATGGCAGGGTTTCTCAACAACAGCTATTATATTTTATGTCAAATAGTTCTTTGTTGTGGGGGTTTCATATTACAGTGTACATTGTAAGATGTTTAGCAGCATCACTGGCCTCTACCAATTAGATGCTAGTGCAATCAATACTCTCCCACTCTCAAGTCATGACAACCAAAAATGTCTCCAGACATTGCCTAGTGGAGAGTAGCCACCTATGGTAATACCTAAAGTTGAGCCACATATACACACCAAAAATATATAATTTAATAAGAAAAGTTTAAACAAAAAATATCACAATCAATTGGAAAAAAATTCTCCAAAAATATTGAGTCAAAAATTAACCAAAACAACATCGAAGATCTGTTTTTTATAAGGCTGCCAGATAAAATATAGGAACCCAGTTAAATTCAAATTTCAGACAAATATTGAGTAATTTTTTAGTCTAAGTATGTCTCATGCAACTTTTGGGACATACTTACACCAGACATTTATCTGTTGTTTTTCTGAAATTCTAATTTAACTGGAGAACTGCCAGAATTGCTAAATCTGGCAATTCCGGTTTATAAAATAATAAGTATAAGATTGCTACATATAAAATTATAGCCACTACCTATAGAACACAGCCAAAACCGTACTAAGACAAAGGTATGTTTGTCAATGCCTTCATTTCTTAAAAAGAGAAATGACTAAAAATGAACTAAAGTTTAACTGAAAAATTTAGAAAATGATAAAATAAAATGAAAGAAAACAAATATAAATAATCTAAAGGACTCTCCCACAGTTAAATTAATTTGCAGAAGAAACCCTTGCCGACTCTACTAATAGCCTTGCTGATGGGACTGTAATATTTCAAGTTCTTTGATCCTTGGACAGTGATGGATACATTCTAATAAAGCTTAGCATTTACTCACCACTCTAGATGCTCCATCAATGTCTTCTGTTGATGTCTTTTTCCTTTAGATATATAACTGCACATGATCATCATGCTGTGTTACGTCAGTAAGATTTTTTTTTTTTTTTTTTTTGAGACAGAGTCTCGCTCTGTCACCCAGGCTGGAGTGCAGTGGCACAATCTCGGCTCACCGCAACCTGCGCCTCCTGGGTTCACGCCATTCTCCTGCCTCAGCCTCCCGAGTAGCTGGGACTACAGGCGCCTGCCACCACGCCAAGCTAATTTTTGTATTTTTAGTAGAGACCAGTGATGATGGTTACTTCTAGAGTTTTTATGGTTTTAGGTTTTACGTTTAAGTCTTTAATCCATCTTGAGTTAATTTTTGTATAAGGTGTAAGGAAGGGCTCCAGTTTCAGTTTTCTGCATATGGCTAGCCAGTTTTCCCAACACCATTTATTAAATAGGGAGTCCTTTCCCCATTGTTTGTTTTTGTAAGGTTTGTCAAAGATCAGATGGTTGTAGTTGTGTGGTGTTATTTCTGACGCCTCTGTTCTGTTCCATTGGTCTATATCTCTGTTTTGGTACCAGTACCACGCTATTTTGGTTACTACAGCCTTGTAGTATAGTTTGAAGTCAGGTAGCGTGATGCCTCCAGCTTTGTTCTTTTGGCTTAGGATTGACTTGGCAATGCGGGATTTTTTTTTGGTTCCATATGAACTTTAAACTAGTTTTTTCCAATTCCGTGAAGAAAGTCATTGGTAGCTTGATGGGATGGCATTGAATCTATAAATTACCTTGGGCAGTATGGCCATTTTCACAATATTGATTCTTTCTATCCATGAGCATGGAATGTTCTTCCATTTGTTTGTATCCTCTTTTATTTCATTGAGCAGTGGTTTGTAGTTCTCCTTGAAGAGGTCCTTCACATCCCTTGTAAGTTGGATTCCTAAGTAGTTTATTCTCTTTGAAGCAATTGTGAATGGGAGTTCACTCATGATTTGGCTCTCTGTCTGTTATTGGTGTAGAGGAATGCTTGTGATTTTTGCACATTGATTTTGTATCCTGAGACTTTGCTGAAGTTGCTTATCACCTTAAGGAGATTTTGGGCTGAGATGATGGGGTTTTCTAGATATACAATCATGTCATCTGCAAACAGGGACAATTTGACTTCCTCTTTTCCTAACTGAATACTCTTTATTTCTTTCTCCTGCCTGATTGCCCTGGCCAGAACTTCCAACACTATGTTGAATAGGAGTGGTGAGAGAGGGCATCCCTGTCTTGTGCCAGTTTTCAAAGGGAATGCTTCCAGATTTTGCCCATTCAGTATGATATTGGCTGTGGATTTGTCATAAATAGCTCTTATTATTTTGAGATACGTCCCATCAATACCTAGTTTATTGAGAGTTTTTAGCATGAAGCGCTGTTGAATTTTGTCAAAGGCCTTTTCTGCATCTATTGAAATAATCATGTGGTTTTTATTGTTGGTTCTGTTTATGTGATGGATTACGTTTACTGATTTGCATATGTTGAACCAGCCTTGCATCCCAGTGATGAAGCCAATTTGATCGTGGTGGATAAGCTTTTTGATATGCTGCTGGATTCGGTTTGCCAGTATTTTATTGAGGATTTTCACATTGATGTCCATCAGGGATATTGGTCTAAAATTATCTTTTCTTGTTGTGTCTCTGCCAGCCTTTCATAGCAGGATGATGCTGGCCTCATAAAATGAGTTAGGGAAGATTCCCTCTTTTTCTGTTGATTGGAATAGTTTCAGAAGGAATGGTACCAGCTCCTCTTTGAACCTCTGGTAGAATTCGGCTGGGAATCCATCTGGTCCTGGACTTTTTTTGGTTGGTAGGCTATTAATTATTGCCTCAATTTCAGAGCCTGTTATTGGTCTATTCAGAGATTCAACTTCTTCCTGGTTTAGTCTTGGGAGAGTGTATGTGTCAAGGAATTTATCCTTTTCTTCTAGATTTTCTAGTTTATTTGTGTAGAGGTGTTTATAGTATTCTCTGATGGTAGTTTGTATTTCTGTGGGATTGGTGGTGATATCCCCTTTATCATTTTTTATTGCATCTGTGTGATTCTTCTCTCTTTTCTTCTTTATTAGTCTTGCTACCAGTCTATCAATTTTTACAAAAAACCAGCTCCTGGATTCATTGATTTTTTGAAGGGTTTTTTGTGTCTCTCTCTCTCCTTCAGTTCTGCTCTGATCTTAGTTATTTCTTGCCTTCTGCTAGCTTTTGAATTTGTTTGCTCTTGCTTCTCTAGTTCTTTTAATTGTGATGTTAGGGTGTCAATTTTGCATCTTTCCTGCTTTCTCTTGTGGGCATTTAGTGCTATAAATTTCTCGCTACACACTGCTTTAAATGTTTCCCAGAGTTTCTGGTACGTTGTCTTTGTTCTCATTGGTTTCAAAGAACATCTTTATTTCTGCCTTCATTTTGTTATTTACCCAGTAGTCATTCAGGAGCAGGTTGTTCAGTTTCCATGTAGTTGTGCAGTTCTGAGTGAGTTTCTTAATCCTGAGTTCTAATTTGATTGCACTGTGATCTGAGAGACAGTGTGTTGTAATTTCTGTTCTTTTACATTTGCTGAGGAGTGCTTTACTTCCAACTATGTGATGTGGTCAATTTTGGAATAAGTGCAATGTGGTGCTGAGGAGAATGTATATTTTGTTGATTTGGCTGTAGATGTCTATTAGGTCCGCTTGATGCAGAGCTGAGTTCAAGTCCTGGATATCCTTGTAAACCTTCTGTCTTGTTCATTTGTCTAATATTGACAGTGGGGTGTTAAAGCCTCCCATTATTGTGTGGGAGTCTAAGCTCTTTGTGGGTCTCTAAGGACTTGCTTTATGAATCTGGATGTTCCTGTATTGGGTGCATATATATTTAGGATAGTTAGCTCTTCTTGTTGAGTTGATCCCTTTACCATTATGTAATGGCCTTCTTTGTCTCTTTTGATCTTTGTTGGTTTAAAGTCTGTTTTATCAGAGACTAGGATTGCAACCCCTGCTTTTTTTTTGCTTTTATTTGCTTGGTAGATCTTCCTCCATCCCTTTATTTTGAGCCTATGTGTGTCTCTGCATATGAGATGGGTCTCCTGAATACAGCACACTGATGGGTCTTGACTCTTTATCCAATTTGCCAGTCTGTGTCTTTTAATCAGGGCATTTATCCCATTCACATTTAAGATTAATATTGTTATGTGTGAATTTGATCCTATCATTATGATGCTAGCTGGTTATTTTGCTCGTTAGTTAATGCAGTTTCTTTCTAGCATTGATGGTCTTTACAATTTGGCATGTTTTTGCAGTGGCTGGTACTGGTTGTTCCTTTCCATATTTAGTGCTTCCTTCAGGAGCTCTTGTAAGGCAGGCCTGGTGGTGACAAAAATCTCTCAGCATTTGCTTGTCTGTAAAGGATTTTATTTCTCCTTCACTTATGAAACTTAGTTTGGCTGGATATGAAATTCTGGGTTGAAAATTATTTTCTTTAACAATGTTGAATATTGGCCCCCACTCTTTTCTGGCTTATAGAGTTTCTGCTGAGAGATCCGCTGTTAGTCTGATGGGCTTCCCTTTGTGGGTAACCCGACCTTTCTCTCTGGCTGCCCTTAACATTTTTTCCTTCATTTCAACCTTGGCAAATCTGACAATTATGTGTCTTGGGGTTGCTCTTCTCGAAGAGTATCTTTGTGGTGTTCGCTGTATTTCCTGAATTTGAATGTTGGCCTGCCTTGCTAGGTTGGGGAGGTTCTCCTGGATAATATCCTGCAGAGTGTTTTCCAACTTGGTTCCATTCTCCCCGTCACTTTCAGGTACACCAATTAAGCGTAGATTTGGTCTTTTCACATAGTCCCATATTCCCTGGAGGCTTTGTTCATTTCCTTTTACTCTTTTTTTTTTTCTAAACTTCTCTTCTCACTTTATTTCATTAATTTGATCTTCCATCACTGATACCCTTTCTTCCACTTCATTGAATCGGCTACTGAAGCTTGTGCATGCATCATGTAGTTCTCATGCCATGGTTTTCAGCTCCATCAGGTCATTTAAGGTCTTCTCTACACTGTTTATTCTAGTTAGCCATTCATCTAATCTTTTTTTCAAGGTTTTTAGCTTCCTTGCAATGGGTTCAAACATCCTCCTTTAGCTCAGAGAAGTTTGTTATTACTGACCTTCTGAAGCCTACTTCTGTCAACTCATCAAATCATTCTCCATCCAGCTTTATTCCATTGCTGGCGAGGAGTTGTGATCCTTTGGAGGAGAAGAGGCACTCTGGTTTTTAGAATTTTCAGCTTTTCTGCTCTGGTTTCTCCCCATCTTTGTGGTTTTATCTACCTTTGGTCGTTAATGTTGGTGACCTACAGATGGGGTTTTGGTGTGGATTTCCTTCTTGTTGATGTTGATGCTATTCCTTTCTGCTTTTTAGTTTTCCTTCTAACAGTCAGGTCCCTCAGCTGCAGGTCTGTTGGAGTTTGCTGGAGGTCCACTCCAGACGCTGTTTGCCTGGGTATCACCAGCAGAGGCTGCAGAACAACAAAGATTGCAAAACAGCAAATATTGCTGCCTGATCCTTCCTCTGGAAGCTTCGTCCCAGAGAAGCACCCACCTGTATGAGGTGTCAGTTGGCCCCTATTGGAAGGTGTCTCTCAGTCAGGCTACACGGGGATCAGGGACCCACTTGAGGAGGCAGTCTGTCCGTTCTCAGAGCTCAAACACTGTGCTGGGAGAACCACTGCTCTCTTCAGAGCTGACAGACAGGGACATTTAAGTCTGCAGAAGTTTCTGCCACCTTTTGTTCAGCTATGCCCTGCCTCCAGAGGTGGAGTCTACAGAGGTAGCCAGCCTTGGTGAGCTGCAGTGGGCTCCACTCAGTTCGAACTTTCCCAGCTGCTTTGTTTACCTACTCAAGCCTCAGCAATGGTGGACGCCCCTCCCCCTGCCAGGCTGCTGCCTTGCAGGTTGATCTCAGTCTGCTGCACTAGCAGTGAGTAAGGCTCCATGGGCATGGGACCCACTGAGCCAGGCACGGGATATAATCTCCTGGTGTGCCATTTGCTAAGACCATCAGAAAAGCACAGTATTCAGGCGGGAGTGTCCCATTTTTCCAGGTACAGACAGTCACAGCTTCCCTTGGCTAAGAAAGGGAAATCCCCTGACCCCCTGTGCTTCCCGGGTGAGGCAATGCCCCACACTGCTTCAACTTGGGTGAAGCATCCCAGATCGACTTCAGACTGCTGTGCTGACAATGAGAATTTTTTTTATTATTTTTTATTTTTATTATACTTTAAGTTCTACAGTATTTCAAGCCAAAGGATCTTAGCTTGCTGGGCTCCATGAGGGTGGGATCTGCTGAGCTAGACCACTTGGCTCCTTGGCTTCAGCCCCCTTTCCCAGGGAGTGAACAGTTCTGTCTCACTGGCATTCCAGGCACCACTGGCGAATGAAAAAAAAAAACTCCTGCAACTAGCTCGGTGTCTGCCTAAACGGCAGCCCAGTTTTGTGCTTGAAACCCGGGGCCCTGGTGGTGTAGGCACCTGAGGGAATCTCCTGGTCTGCAGGTTGTGAAGACCGTGGGAAAAATGTAGTATCTAGGCCAGAATGCACCATTCTTCACAGCACAATCCTTCACGGCTTCCCCTGGCTAGGGGAGGGAGTTCCCTGACCCCTTGCACTTCCTGGGTGAGGCTACCTCCCCACCTTGCTTTGGGTCACCTTCCATAGGCTGCACCCACTGTCTAACCAGTCCCAATGAGATGAGGCAGGTACCTCAGTTGGAAATGCAGAAATCACCCACCTTCTGCATTGATCTTGCTGGGAGCTGCAGACTGGAGCTGTTCCTATTCAGCCATCATACCAGCAACTCCTAGACATTTCTTTATGTCCTTGAAACATTTTCAGGGAGATGGCAATGCCTGTCTGAAGCATTAGTGCTACAGATGTGGGCTTGGAATGAACCTGGGAGTGTCTGGACTCCCGGAAGGATTGAAGTCTATCAACTATCTTTGAGAACCAGAGTGAAAACAAAGAAGCAAGGTCTATTGTGTATAATCTGCTATCACTGTGTTGTCATTTCCTGAGCCACGTTCTTATCAGCAGTGGCTCTGTTGCCAAATTTCAATTCAAAAGAGCGTTACAAGGTGAAAAAAAAATCCAAATTTTTAGTAGTATTTCCTAGGTAGTAAACACAGGATTTCCTGCATCCGAAATGACTTCAACAAATTGCCTGTTCCTTCAAACGTGATCTGTTGACAAATTTGGACTCTGTTCCTTTAGGTACAGATAAGCTTACTGATGGAAAACTCCTCCAGCTGAGCAAGGGATTTTTGCCAGCTATCCTGCTCTAACAGGCCTGGGAGCCACAGGAATGAGTTTTCATTTCAAATGGATTTCTATTTGGCGTTAATATTTTGTGTGTTTACATCTTGTCTCCCCATGTAGAATATACAATCCATAAGTGTTGGAATCACTCTTCTCTTCTGAGAGCTCAGGCAGGCAGCATGGTGATGAATAAAAAGGAAGGTAGGTGGTAAATAAATGCTTTTGGTTCATTGGTTTAAGAAATAATAAGATGGAAGACTTCTGAAGGATTGACTCAATTTCTGAATACTGGCATTTGTTTCTGGTAGGGAAAGACAGACTTTCCAACTCACAATCTCCACAGGAAGGATGCTCTGTTGACAAAGGGGCAGGAATCTCCCCCTCTCAGATATAATTCTGGTAACACCAGGATAATTTGTAAATCTGCATTAGAAACAGCTCTTTTCCCTATTTCCCATTCTTAATAAAGTGCTTGTGATGAACTGAGTGAAATTCTCTCCCCAGACTTCAGTCACTCTTTGTTTTAAAATCCTCCGTTAGTGCGTTGCTTGCGGAAGCATGTGGTTTCACAATTCCCAGTACACATTTTTGCCCTGAAACTCATTTTTACTTTAGTCATCACAATGATGTACCAGGGAGTCATAGCAACCACTCCAGTTTGCCAAAGGACAGAGAATAGACAGGATATAATCAAAATTCTACAGAAATATACTATTCATGCCATTATATGGAAGTCACCAAGGAGGAAACCTTTCCAGAAAAAGCTAGGGTAAATCTTCAGAGTGAGCCTTGTAATGCATCTTCTATAATGGTTCTCCAGTTGCTGTCGAATACAGCAATGTCCAGGTATGTAATGTGTCCAGTTACATACCTGGACACATCCATGTGAGACACTTTTGGGCTCACAGAGCACAAATCTGTAGCTTCATTGAATTTTCACTGTTCATTTTGTTAGTCTCCTGGGCTTGGTTGTTGAGAACCCAAGAATATATATCTGTTCCCATGCCTCCAAGCTTCAGTGAATTAATGAAAATGAGCTCATTAAAATATGACCATATAAATTTCCATGATTAACATTTGAGAGGGAATTCCTTTACAGAAAAATAGTACTAACTGCCACTTATTAAGGCCAGGCACTGAAACAAGCATTTCCCACAGAACAACCCAATAAAACCCCCAACGAAGTATTTTTGGTCATATTTTACAGATGAGGAAACAGAAGCTCAGGAAAATTAAGATATTTAATCGAGGTCATACATAATTTAATTGTGATCTAACTGGAACTCTGGGCTCTTAACAAATACTGAATAAAAAAGAACCACAAAAGAAACTGCCATTATCTCCTTAATTTTTTTTGTCTTCTATGTTAATGCTGCTATTTTACAAGTTTAAATCTTGAAATGAGAACAGAGCCTGCAGCTAGTTCTCTGGAGCCAAGGCATCACTTTGGTTCTCAAATGGGAATTCTTTAATGATTGAACAGTAGAAGTATGGAACAGCCATAGAATCCTGGGCTTGGAGGGGACCTCAAAGGCACTATACTGGACACTTGATTTTTTATTCTCCTAACATCCCTCTTTTCTGCTAACCATCCCCTGCCTGATCAGATGAGCAATCAAAATGTCCCACACCCCCAGACCAAGGGATAGACATGTGACCCAAGCAAGGCAATCAGCACTGAGGAACACCAAGTCTGGTCCTGATGACAACTCCTGAAGAGACTGCCCTTTTAGTTCCTGTGTCTCCAAACCCAGGAGCTTCCCTGATTCTGGTTTCCTTTCTGAAGCTTAATTCTTCAGCTTTCCTAGCAATTTTGAAAACTGGCCAAAGTCAGATTCTGTTGTTTGCAAGTGAAGGTCCTAACTGATGCAAATGACTAATCTGGGGTCTTCATAGGGCTGATGAGCCAGATAAGCAAGACACTGGGTCCCCATTTCTGCTTAAGCAAAAGCGATCTGTGTGAACCAAGGGTTTTGTTATTAAAGAAAAACTTGAAATGTCACTAATCTAGTCCAAGCACCCTCAGTCTCCGGTAGCTCAATTATGATCATCCAGCCCAGCCCTTAGATCCTTTAATTTTGTTTTTTATACTAATTTATTTTGAAAATTAACTAAAATGCCAAGAATGAGAAAATGACACCTAAGGAATCCCTTTAATTGTCCAAAAATTTGTACCCAGTCAAGAGACAGACTGGGAAATAATTGCCATCTGAACTCACCTATTGACAACTTTTTCAAACCTACTTCCAAATCACATCTGAACTTTCCTTTAAATAACTTATTTATTTATTTTTGAGATGTAGTCTTGCTCTTGTAACCCAGGCTGGGGTGCAATGGCATGATCTCAGCTCACTGCAAACTTCACCTCCCAGGTTCAAGTGATTCTCCTGCCTCAGCCTCCCAAGTAGCTGGGATTACAGGCACCCACCACCATGCCTGGCTGATTTTTGTATTTTTATTAGAGACAGGGTTTCGCCATGTTGGCCAGGCTGGCCTCGAACTCCTGACCTCGTGATCCACCCACCTCAGCCTCCCAAAGTGCTGGGATTACAGACGTGAGCCACTGCGCCTAGCCTAGATAACTTATTATTGTCAATATGGCCGGAAGGGAGGTTCCAAGATGGCCGAATAGGAACAGCTCCAGTCTACAGCTCCCAGTGTGAGCAACGCAGAAGACAGGTGATTTCTGCATTTCCAACTGAGGTACTGGGTTCACCTCACTGGGGGCATGTCGGACAGTGGGTGCAGGACAGTGGGTGCAACGCACCAAACGTGAGCCGAAGCAGGGCAAGGCATCGCCTCACCCGGAAAGCGCAAGGGGTCAGGGAATTCCCTTTCCTAGCCAAGGGAAGGGGGGACAAATGGCAGCTGGAAAATTGGGTCACTCCCACCCTAATACTGCACTTTTCCGACGGTCTTAGCAAACGGCACATCAGGAGATTATATCCCGCGCATGGCTCAGAGGGTCCTACGCCCACGGAGCCTCGCTCATGGCTAGCACAGCAGTCTGAGATCGAACTGCAAGGTGGCAGCAAGGCTGGGGGAGGGGCACCCACAATTGCTGAGGCTTGACTACGTAAACAAAGCAGCACAGAAGCTCAAACTGGGTGGAGCCCACCGCAGCTCAAGGAGGCCTGCCTGCCTCTGTAGACTCCACCTCTGGGGGTAGGGCATAGCCGAACAAAAGGCAGCAGAAACCTCAGCAGATTTAAATGTCCCTGTCTGACAGCTTGGAAGAGAGTAATGGTTCTCCCAGCATGGAGTTTGAGATCTGAGAACAGACAGACTGCCTCCTCAAGTGGGTCCTGGACCCCACGAGTAGCCTAACTGGGAGGCACCTCCCAGTAGGGGCAGACTGACACCTCACATGGCCGGGTACTCCTCTGAGATGAAACTTCCAGAGGAACAATCAGGCAGCAACATTTGCTGTTCAACAATATTCACTGTTCTGCAGCCTCTGCTGCTGATACCTAGGCAAACAGGGTCTGGAGTGGACCTCCAGCAAACTCCAACAGACCTGCAGCTGAGGGTCCTGACTGTTAGAAGGAAAACTAAAAAACAGAAAGGACATCCACACCAAAACCCCATCTGTACCTCACCATCATCAAAGACCAAAGGTAGATAAGACCACAAAGATGGGGAAAAAACAGAGCAGAAAAACTGAAAATTCTAAAAATCAGAGCACCTCTCCTCCTCCAAAGGAACACAGCTCCTCACCAGCAATGGAACAAAGCTGGATGGAGAATGACTTTGACAAGCTGAGAGAAGAAGGCTTCAGATGGTCAAACTTGTCTGAGCTAAAGGAGGAAGTTTGAACCCAACGCAAAGAAGTTAAAAACCTTGAAAAAAGATTAGATGAACGGCTAACTAGAATAACCAATGCAGATAAGTCCTTAAAGGACCTGATGGAGCTGAAAACCATGGCAGGAGAACTACATGATGAATGAACAAGCTTCAGTAGACAATTCAATCAAATGAAAGAAAGGGTATCAGTGATGGAAGATGAAATGAATGAAATGAAGCAAGAAGAGAAGTTTAGAGAAAAAAGAACAAAAAGAAACGAACAAAGCCTCCAAGAAATATGGGACTATGTGAAAAGACCAAATCTACGCTTAATTGGTGTACCTGAAAGTGACGGGGAGAATGGAACCAAGTTGGAAAACACTCTGAAGGATATTATCCAGGAGAACTTCCCCAACCTAGCAAGGCAGGCCAACATTCAAATTCAGGAAATACAGAGAACACCACAAAGATACTCCTCAAGAAGAGTAACTCCAAGACACATAATTGTCAGATTCGCCAAGGTTGAAATGAAGGAAAAAATGTTAAGGGCAGCCAGAGAGAAAGGTCGGGTTACCCACAAAGGGAAGCCCATCAGACCAACAGCTGATCTCTCGGCAGAAACTCTACAAGCCAGAAGAGAGTGGGGGCCAAAATTCAACATTCTTAAAGGAAAGAATTTTCAACCCAGAATTTCATATCCAGCCAAACTAAGTTTCATAAGTGAAGAAGAAATAAAATCCTTTACAGACAAGCAAAGGATGAGAGATTTTGTCACCACCAGGCCTGCCCTACAAGAGCTCCTGAAGGAAGCACTAAACATGGAAAGGAACAACTGGTACCAGCCAATGCAAAAACATACCAAATTGTAAAGACCATCGATGCTACGAAGAAACTGCATCAACTAACGAGCAAAATAACCAGCTAACATCATAATGACAGGATCAAATTCACACATAACAATATTAGCCTTAAATGTAAATGGACTAAAGGCTCCAATTAAAAGACACAGACTGGCAAATTGGATAAAGAGTCAAGACCCATCAGTGTGCTGTATTCAGGAAACCTATCTCACGTGCAGAGACACACATAGGCTCAAAATAAAGGGATGGAGGAAGATCTACCAAGGAAATGGAAAACAAAAAAAAGGAAGGGGTTGCAATCCTAGTCTCTGATAAAACAGACTTTAAACCAACAAAGATCAAAAGAGACAAAGAAGGCCATTACATAATGGTAAAGGGATCAATTCAACAAGAAGAGCTAACTATCCTAAATATATATGCACCCAATACAGGAGCACCCAGATTCATAAAGCAAGTCCTTAGAGACCTACAAAGAGACTTAGACTCCCACACAATAATAATGGGAGACTTTACACCCCACTGTCAACATTAGACAGATCAATGAGACAGAAAGTTAGCAAGAATATCCAGGAATTGAACTCAGCTCTGCACCAAGCAGACCTAATAGACATCTACAGAATTCTCCACGCCAAATCAACAGAATATACATTCTTCTCAGCACCATACCGCACTTATTCCAAAATTGACCACATAGTTGGAACTAAAGCACTCCTCAGCAAATGTAAAAGAACAGAAATTATAACAAACTGTCTCTCAGACCACAGTGCAATCAAAGTGGAACTCAGGATTGAGAAACTCACTCAAAACTGCTCAACTACATGGAAACTGAACAACCTGCTCCTGAATGACTACTGGGTACATAATGAAATGAAGGCAGAAATAAGGATGTTCTTTGAAACCAACAAGAACTAAGACACAACATGCCAGAATCTCTGGGACACAATTAAAGCAGTGTGTAGAGGGAAATTTATAGCACTAAATGCCCACAAGAGAAAGCAGGAAAGATCCAAAATTGACACCCTAACACCACAATTAAAAGAACTAGAGAAGCAAGAGCAAACACATTCAAAAGCTAGCAGAAGGCAAGAAATAACTAAGATCAGAGCAGAACTGAAGGAGAGAGAGACACAAAAAATCCTTCAAAAAAATCAATGAATCCAGGAGCTGGTTTTTTTGAAAAGATCAACAAATTTGATAGACTGGTAGCAAGACTAATAAAGAAGAAAAGAGAGAAGAATCAAATAGACTCAATAAAAAATGATAAAGGGGATATCACCGCCAATCCCACAGAAATACAAACTACCATCAGAGAATACTATAAACACCTCTACACAAATAAACTAGAGAATCTAGAAGAAATGGATAAATTCCTCGACACATACACCCTCCAAAGACTAAACCAGGAAAAAGTTGAATCTCTGAATAGACCAATAACAGGCTCTGAAATTGAGGCAATAATTAATAGCTTACCAACCGAAAAAAGTCCAGGACCAGATGGATTCCCAGCCGAATTCTACCAGAGGTACAAGGAGGAGCTGGTACCATTCCTTCTGAAACTATTCCAATCAATAGAAAAAGAGGGAATCCTCCCTAACTCATTTTATGAGGCCAGCATCATCCTGATACCAAAGCTTGGCAGGGACACAACAAAAAAAGAGAATTTTAGACCAATATCCCTGATGAACATCCATGCCAAAATCCTCAATAAAATACTGGCAAACCAGCACATCAAATCAAACAGCACATCAAAAAGCTCATCCACCATGATCAAGTGGGCCTCATTCCTGGGATGCAAGGTTGGTTCAACATACACAAATCAATAAATGTAATCCAGCATATAAAGAGAACCAACGACAAAAACAACATGATTATCTCAATAGATGCAGAAAAGGCCTTTGACAAAATTCAACAGCGCTTCATGCTAAAAGCTCAATAAACTAGGTATTGATGGGACGTATCTCAAAATAATAAGAGCTGTCTATGACAAACCCACAGCCAATGTCATACTGAATGGGCAAAAACTGGAAGCATTCCCTTTGAAAACTGGCACAAGACAGGGATGCCCTCTCTCACCACTCCTATTCAACATAGTGTTGGAAGTTCTGGCCAGGGCAATCAGGCAGGAGAAGGAAATAAAGGGTATTCAATTAGCAAAAGAGGAAGTCAAATTGTCCCTGTTTGCAGATGACATGATTGTATATCTAGAAAACCCCATCATCTCAGCCCAAAATCTCCTTAAGCTGATAGGCATCTTTAGCAAAGTCTCAGGATACAAAATCAATGTGCAAAAATCACAAGCATTCCTCTACACCAATAACAGACAAACAGAGAGCCAAATCATGAGTGAACTCCCATTCACAACTGCTTCAAAGAGAATAAAATACCTAGGAATCCAACTTACAAGGGATGTGAAGGACCTCTTCAAGGAGAACTACAAACCACTGCTCAATGAAATAAAAGAGGATACAAAAAAATGAAGAACATTCCACGCTCATGGATAGGAAGAATCAATATCGTGAAAATGGCCATACTGCCCAAGGTAATTTATAGATTCAATGCCATCCCCATTAAGCTACCAATGACTTTCTTCACAGAATTGGAAAAAACTACTTTAAAGTTCGTATGGAACCAAAAAAGAGCCCACATTGCCAAGTCAATCCTAAGCCAAAAGAACAAAGCTGGAGGCATCATGCTACCTGACTTCAAACTATACTACAAGGCTACAGTAAACAAAATAGCGTGGTACTGGTACCAAAACAGAGATATAGACCAATGGAACAGAACAGAGCCCTCAGAAATAATACCACACATCTACAACCATCTAATCTTTGACAAACCTGACAAAAACAAGAAATGGGGAAAGGATTCCCTATTTAACGAATGGTGCTGGGAAAACTGGTTAGCCATATGTAGAAAGCTGAAACTGGATCCCTTCTTTACACCTTATACAAAAATTAATTCAAGATGGATTAAAGACTTAAATGTTAGACTTAAAACCATGAAAACCCTAGAAGAAAACCTAGGCAATACCATTCAGGACATAGGCATGGGCAAGGACTTCATGTCTAAAACACCAAAAGCAATGGCAACAAAAGACAAAATTGACAAATGGGATCTAATGAAACTAAAGAGCTTCTGCACAGAAAAAGAAACTACCATCAGAGTGAATAGGCAACCTACAGAATGGGAGAAAATTTTTGCAATCTACTCATCTGACAAAGGGCTAACATCCAGAATCTACAAAGAACTCAAACAAATTTACAAGAAAAAAACAAGCAAGCCCATCAACAAGTGGGTGAAGGATATGAACAGACACTTCTCAAAAGAAGACATTTATGCAGCCAAAAGACACATGAAAAAATGCTCATCATCACTGGCCATCAGAGAAATGCAAATCAAAACCACAATGAGATACCATCTCACACCAGTTAGAATGGTGATCATTAAAAAGTCAGGAAACAACAGGTGCTGGAGAGGATGTGGAGAAATAGGAACACTTTTACACTGTTGGTGGGAGTGTAAACTGGTTCAACCATTGTGGAAGACAGTATGGCGATTCCTCAGGGATCCAGAATTAGAAATACCATTTGACCCAGCCATCCCATTACTGGGTATATACCCAAAGGATTATAAATCATGCTGCTATAAAGACACATGCATACATTTGTTTACTGCAGCACTATTCACAATAGCAAAGACCTGAAACCAACCCAAATGTCCAACAATGATAGACTGGATTAAGAAAATGTGGCACATACACAGCATGGAATACTATGCAGCCATAAAAATGATGAGTTCATGTCCTGTGTAAGGACATGGATGAAGCTGGAAACCATCATTCTCAGCAAACTATCACAAGGACAAAAAACCAAACATCGCATGTTCTCACTCATAGGTGGGAATTGAACAATGAGAACACTTGGACACAGGAAGGGGGACATCACACACCGGGGACTGTTGTGGGGTGGGCGGAGGGGGGAGGGATAGCATTAGGAGATATACCTAATGTAAATGACGAGTTAATGGGTGCAGCACGCCAACATGGCACATGTATACATATGCAACAAACCTGCATGTTGTGCACATGTACCCTAGAACTTAAAGTATAATAATAAAACAAAAAAAACTTATTGTCACCAAGTTGTAAATGTACAATGGCACATTTGCTTGTGTACATATTTAATGTTAGCAAATTTTATTATTGTCTATTCCATGCCTGTCAAAAGAGGTTTGTTCAATAATTTATTCTTTAGGTTTTTTGAATTTGAAGTTTATAAAATTTAAAGAGACCATTCCAAATTCAAAACTAAATCTAAAGAAGCTCACCAAAACAGATAAATCCCCTATTTCTCATACCATCCCTCTTTCGAAAGGCAAGAATCCAAATGTCTTTATGAAAAGAAGTAGAGGCTCAAATCTGATATGTGAACTTTTGGGCTTGAGATGCAATGTAATCCACTATTTAACAGCAGACACCTGTCCTCTCTTCTCAAAACCAGGTTTCTCTTTCTACTTTATTTTAATACATGAGCTAATGTCATCTGAAAATTGAAGGATTTCCAAATAGAGTCAGTTACATTAGGGATGGAGTGGTTGCCCATGTTCCAGCTGGGAGTCTTACAGCTCGGTGGCCATAGCAGATTGGAATACACATGTGACAACCTAGATGACT
This sequence comes from Homo sapiens, assembly GCF_000001405.40. Taxonomy (NCBI): domain Eukaryota; kingdom Metazoa; phylum Chordata; class Mammalia; order Primates; family Hominidae; genus Homo; species Homo sapiens. Next base: position 59,416,159 of record NC_000014.9, read on the forward strand.
TCCTAATATCTTAATTTTTTGAATTTGACCAGTTACGTGTCTGTTGAACATGTATCACTATTATAAATGAGGCTCTGATGAATATTCTGAATGTAAATCTTCAATAGAATCTTTCCTTTAATAGAGTTTTTCCCTTGTGGCTCATTTCTAGAAATAGAATTCATAGTTTCTCACCATAGATTACCAAAATGCCTTCTGGAAAGGATCCTCCCAGTTTACACTCCCAGCAGTTGGGTGTGAGAGTTCCCTTCTACTAACCACGCCATCATCAATGTTGAGTAATATCAGGATTAAACAACTTTTAGGCACTTCTTTTTTTAAATGAGGGATCATCCAAGGTGTGACTTCGAAGAACCAAGGGAGGAGAGAGAAGATGGAGCTGTGGGCAGATCTCTGGAGTGCATCAGGAGCTGAGTTGGTGGCACCCTTCTACCAGGCACTGGCCTCCTGGCTGTCTGAGTCTCTCAGAGTCTTAGCAAGCCACATCCATGGCAAATCTGGTGGATCAGGCAAAACTACTCACCTGGTGGTGCCCCTCCTACACTTCCAGGCAGTTACTAAATCAGTGGCTCACACATGTTAGTATGCCTAAGAATGACCTGAGACAAGAATAGAAATTAAGATTCCTAGGTCCACCTAGAGATTCTGACTCAGTCAGCACAAGGTAGGGCAGCACAGAAATTTGCATTTTGATTAATAACCGCATATGAGTCCAACATAGGTGGCCTAGTACCTCACTTAGAGAAATAGTAAACTAAGGGAGGGGAAGAACACCTCCGGAGTGTCAACCTTATAAACCTAAACTTATTTTATTTCAGGAAATGACTCCAGTTGCTCTTTCCATGAGGAATCTACTCTGAATAGTTTCAGAATAGTATGACGATTCTTTTTTTCCATTTGGAAATGAACATCTGCACTTGGAGGCAGAACTCCTTGAATGATGTGCTGCTGCCATCAGCCTAGCTTTCAGTCTAGTGCTCGGGATGGATTCCTTTAGCTGAGCGTGACTCTAGTTTGTAAGGATGGTGCAGAGACAATAGCGCATTCTCTCTCTCTTCTCTCTCTCTCTTCTCTCTCTCTCTTCTCTCTCTCTTCTCTCTCTCTCTCTCTCTCTCTCTCTCTCTCCTCTCTCTCTCTCTCTCTCTCTCTCTCTCTCTCTCTCTCTCTCTAGGCTTATGGTTTGGTACTGTGTGCTGCTGAACATGCTGGCACAGAATGTTCCAACGCATATTCATTTGTCGTACAAAAGCAGCCCACACAGACTGCAGCTTGTCAAGTCAGAGACCATGTACCTACCTTTTGACATCCTGGCAAAGGTCCCCCAGGCTAGGTCTCTCCATCAAATGCAGCACTGAGAAGAGCTGGAGTCTGCATTAACATCAGCCTCCGCATTTGCCAGTTCCAATTACATCGAATCGTGTGCTTACAGGGGCCCTGTCAACATTGCTTAGATTTGAAGATCAAGTCCAAGGAAGGTACGAGTATGCAGTTGATCCACAAGGCAGGCCTTAACTTCAGGCAAAGTAGTTACCCAGTGTTACTGGCTGAATTGAAGCTCCCCTCCAAAATTTGTGTTAAAGTCCTCACCTTCAGTACCCCAGAATGTGACTGTGTTTTTGTGGAAACCGGTCCTTTAAAGAGATACTTAAGATTAAATGAGATGACTGGGGTGAGTCCTAATCCAGTATGATTGGCATCCTAATAAGGAGAGGAGATTAGGACACAGACACACACAGACCAAGGTATGACCATGTGAATACAGGAACAGAGAGAAGACATCCATGTACAAACCTAGGAGAGTGGCCTCAGAATGAAACCAGCCCTGCCAGCAGACAGGTCTTGAATTTGTATGCAGCCTCCAGAATTGTGAGAAAATGAATTTCTGCTGTTTAAGCCACCCAGTCTAAGGTACTTAGTTATTACAATCCTAGCAAACTAATATATCCACTATAGTATGATTTGAACCAATCTCTCTTCTCTGGGTGCCTAGAATTACTCCCATTAAAGAGAGTCGGTCTTTTGTCTCTGGCTATTCAATTTAATAGTATTTTACTTACTCTCTCTCTCTCTCTCTCTCTCACACACACACACACACACACACACACACACACACACCCCACACACACAAACACACTCTCTTACTCTCCTCCTGCTAGGCCAGGCAGCTGGTTTACTCACCTTTGTATTCTTAGGCTGCTTATCAAGATCTCAATCTAATAGAATTCACAAATATTTATTAACTTATTATTTGTCAGACATGCTAAGCAATAGAGATTTTAACAAATAAGATGTAATCCTTGTGTCTGAGGCATTCATCATCGTCTGGGGAGGAAGAATCATGCATAATTTCTGGGCTATGATGGAGATTGCTTTAGGAATATAGAGGTAGAGATGGCTAATTTTGCCTAAGGGAACTGAGAGGCTTCACAGAAAAGCAAGTTTAAAAGGATGAGTTGGAGGTTACCAGATGAAGAAGAGGGAAATTCCAACTAAAAGGAATAATATGTGCCAAAAGACAGAAGTATCAAACAAAGTATGTTTGGAAATGACGAGAACTTCAGTGGGGGAGAAACTCAAGCCGCCTTGTGCACCACCCTAAGAAGCAGATGGTAGGGCAGGATGAAACTTCCCTGCTGGGAGAACATTGGCCAGGAGGGCTCTCCAGGTTCCCCAGACTTTTTCAGCATCTCTGAAGCAAGTGGATGGTCCCGCAAACCAGATCCGCGCCAACCCCATTCCTATGTGTTGGCCTTTTTTATCTTTTCTTTCTTTTTTTTTTTTTTTTTTGAGACGGAGTTTCGCTCTTGTTGCCCAGGCTGGAGTGCAATGGCGCAATCTCGGCTCACCACAACCTCCGCCTACCAGGTTCAAGCGATTCTTCTGCCTCAGCCGCCCGAGGAGCTGGGATTATTGGCATGCACCACCACGCCCGGCTAATTTTTGTATTTTTAGTAGAGATGGGGTTTCTCCATGCTGGTCAGTCTGGTCTTGAACTCCCGACCTCAGGTGATCCACCCGCCTCAGCCTCCCAAAGTGTTGGGTTTTAAGAGAACCCAGGAAGCCCAGCTCAAGAGTCAAAGTCCCCCTCACCCACTCATGAGCAGCCAGGATTTCCAGGCCCTGCTTTCCCCTCTCGAGAGCTGGAAAGTAATCAAATGAAGGGATGAGGTTTAAGCTAGTCCCTAACATCTACTCAGGAGAACATAATATCTCGACTGCTGTCTTTGTGCCCAAGTTTCATTCAGCTTGTCAGAAATCTTGATAGTGTTCCTACTCCTGTGTGGTCACACCAGAATCTGTGTGTTTTGGCGAATAACTGATAGTCTTCCTATTTATAGACTGTTTCCTATATTATTCACTTATAGGGTTTCTGTGCTCCAATGTTCTGTCAAGTCCCAGCTGGCCAGGGTGTGTAATAGTCATTAACACCACAGCTGCTTGTTTTATAGTCTCCCTGTACAGCCCAGTTGTTAAGTGCTCTTAGATAAGTTTTAAACTGTTTGTGTTTAAAAAAAAAAAAAAAAAAAAAGTCTCTAGCTGAAAAAAGTGCTCATTTGGGCTAAGCGCCTTTCCAATTTAACACCAAAGCTAAAAATAAAAGTTCCCCTTTGTCCAAACAATAACATAGTCATTTTTGCCTTTTTAAGATACAGGAGAGTAAAAAAGATGTTGGAAAAAGTATTTCCTGACTGATCTAAACCAAAGTATAATCTTTGGTAAAAGTAAAATGTCCCAGGGAACTGAGCAAAAAACAAAATACCTTTTTCTTCCCACTTCTTCTGCTTCCTTAGCATCTGTTTTGAGGAGACAGTTTGATGGGTGCCTGCTCAAATGCTGACTTTCCTCTTTCAAGCAAAATTGTTAGCATCTTAGGTCACTGCTAACTAGCATAGCTCCTCATCTCATGGTAATCCTGGATATCATTTTGAATTGCTTTTGAAAAATAGCAACTTTATTAAGATATAGTTCCCATCCCATCTAATTTACTCATTTAAAATGTACAATTCGATGGCTTTTAGTACATTCACAAAACTGTGCCACCATCACCACAATCAATTTTAGAGCATTTGCATCAACTCCAAAAAGAATACCCATTAGCAGTCACTCCTCAATTTCCCCATTCCCCTTCCCTCCAGCCCTAGACAACCACCAATCTACTTCTGTGTCTATGGATTTGTCTATTCTGGACACTTCATGTAAATGAAATAATATGTCATTTTTTTGTGACTAGCTTCTTTCCCTTAGCATGTTTTCACAGTGTACCGACGTTGCAGTATGTATTAACATTTCATTCCTTTTTATTGCTGAATAATACCCCACTTTTGTTTATCCATTGTCAGTTAGTTGACATTTAGGTTGTTTCCACTTTTTGACTGTTATGAGTAATGCTGCACAAATTTTTGTGTGGACACGTGTTCTCATATGTTTCATATGGGGTAGACTTGCTGGGTCATATCATTTCGACTGTTTTTCAATGTTGAACAAGGATACCCCCAGATTTTACAACTGACGAACACAGGAAAATGTGTGGACTTAGAGAAGAGTCCATTTTGTGGACAACATTACTACCTAATTCTTTTGCTCAAAACAAAAACTGGGTAACAACCTATCACTTATAGAAGAAAAATCAATCAGTCAGCAATTGTGTCCATTGATTATCTAAGGAAGTCTCTATGTTATTCAGATGTACAAACCACAAAAACGAAGTATTTAATGTCAAAAGTCAATCTTTAGCAAGACACTCTCACCTCTTTTGTGTTATATTAATTGTTTAATTGCTAGATAGAATGCCATGGTTTTCAGGGAATACACAGACTGCAATACAGAGAGTGTTTGCCATTATTTTGACATTAATGCTGCACCTCATCTGTTTAAGAGACAATTTATTTCAACTCTGAGCATCTATTATTTGATTAGTGCAGGGGGTAAAAATATCACGCAAACATGGTTACTTTCCTTACAAAGACCACGATCCAGTGATGAGGATGAGACTAGACTAACTCACCAATCACTAATGCCAGGCACGCATTAGCGCGTGGCTACTCAGATGAAGGACAAAGCACCATCAGTTGGAGACATGAAGAGAGACCTCAAGGAAAAAGTGGCATTTGACATGAGTGTTGGCAGATAAGTAAGATTTTGATATATAAATGTATGTGGAGAGAACACTGGAAACTGAAAGAAAATAACATGAATAAAGGCAGATAAGCAAAGCAAAGTGTCTATATGGGTAGTTCAGATTTCACTTCCCTCAATACTGCTTACTAGCCATAATACTTATCTGAATTCTTACCTGTAATTTACCTGAATTCACCAAGTAGCTGTTTCCTCATTTTTAAATGGGTAAAATAATGCCATCATATGCTGTGAGGATTAAACAATAATATATTTTAAATGTTCATTACAGTGTTTAAGACATAGTAAATGCTCAATAAAAGTTAGTTTCAAGATAATTGGTTGGAATTCTAGGTAGATGTAAGAGAGTAGAAAGTAGGTTGGACCCATATTGCAGAGAACCTTGTGTGGGATGAGAAGTTGGAAATTCCACCGTAAGCAGTAAGGAATTACAGAGATTTTAGAGTAAGAAAGCGACCTCATTAGAGTTCCGCTGGACAGGAGCATATAGAATGGGATAAAATTGGATGAGTCTTCAGAAGGCCATGTAATTAGTCCTAGGGAAAGGTAATGAGGACCTGAGATAAGACAGGAAGTATAGAAATTAAAATGAGGAGTCACTTCAAAAGGCTTTATAAAGGTGGGTGATGCGGATATAGTGACTGCTTACATTTTGGAGGCAAAAGAGAAGGCAAACTTTTGAGCCTGCATAGCTGGGAGAGTAATAATGTCATTAGCCAGGAAGAATGAGCTAAGAGGAAAGATAATGAGATAATACTTTGGCTCTGAAGAATTTGGGGTACCTGTGAGGCATGTGTGTGAAGATGTCTGGTGGACAGAAAGGACAATAGAGCACGGAAGAAGGGTCCTGGCTAGAAACTCTGGAGTCACCCGCCAAGAACTATTGGTGGAAGCGAGGGGTGGGTGACACAGATCCTTACAGGAGCATTGAGACTGCTGTAAAGAGGAAGAGAACCAGGAACTGAGATGTGCATGAGACCAGTCCTGCGTGTCTGAAGAGGTTACCAAGAGGAAAGCCCTTCATAAACTGTCAAGTACTGCAGAGATTCAAGCTGATGAGAAGCAGAGGAATGAACAGCTGCTTTGGAGAAGGCCACAGGGAGCCCTTTCCTGAACCAACAGTACCACTGTGATTTTTGGATGGTTCTCATAACCAGTCAAATGGATTAATCACACTGCTAGTCCCTTGGGTAGGATGTGATGGCAAAGGAGTCATGAAGCCAAGCTTTTTTGACAAGAACATTTGCTCTTGAATGCTTCAAGTAACTTGCTGGTCATTCCAATGTTCTTGATTATGTCAACTGCTTTTTGAGTCTGTACGTTCAGCCATTTATCCAAATTAAGTAATGATCCCTGGGGGCTTCGATGGCAAGGCATTGGCATGGGAATCAATGGTGCCATCTACTGTCCTTTTCTTTGATAGAAACAACTTCGGGAATAAACTCCTTTTCTCCCATCACACATTTAGCATCTGGTCTTTTAAAGTATAAATAGTTCCACATTTTAAAGTTTTTAACCAGTCAAAGGATGGTTAGTAGCACTGGCCCCTAAGTGCTAGCAAGATTTTTCTGATATCTCCCCAGATGGTTATTTGGGAGGTCAGAACCTGAGGCCCAGAAGTCAGGGACCATAAGGGAAGGAGGTCACCATAAGGGAAGGAGGTTACAAGTGTCAGGCGCTGGCACCAGGCTTTCCAGGTGCCAGTACCTGACACTTGTAATCCCAGCGATTTCCCACAAGGGCTGTAAGACTTTGTTACTTTATCTCCAATTTTCAGACAAGGACTAAGAAAAGTTAACTAAGGTCAAATGCGAGCAAGTGGCTGAGCTAGAAGCTGAATCTTGATTTGCCTGACTCCTGTGTTTTTTCTACTAAGTAACTTCTGCCGGATTTGTGACAATTCTTGCAGACATTTACCCCGTAGTTCGCGAGCATCAATCCTCAGACTACAGCTAGTGGGGAAGCTGCACTTCATGGCATTGGATCTTTTATTTTTTTCTTAAACCATTTAGCACTTCAGCATTTATGCTAAATTCATCATGCCATGTGTTTTTCTGGATACATTTTATTTTCAAATGCTTCTATGATTGAATTAAAGAAATCAATTCCTATTTCAGTGTGACTATTTTTCCTATACTCTTCTTAGATGAATCTGTGACAAGAGAAGGGTTAAAAATCAATTTCATGTCAGTGAGCGGGTCATTGTTATTAGTACTTTTTAAGTACTTTGATATAACTTTGTTTTTTTGGAAGTGGGGTCTTGCTGTGTTTCCCAGACTGGAATGCAGTGTCATGATCATGACTCACTGCATCCTCGAACTCCTGGACTCAAGAGATCCTCCTGCCTCAGCCTCCTGAGTTGTTAGAATTACAGTCACCAGGCACTGTGCCCAGCTCTCTATATATTATTACAGAATATTATTTCATAAGCAAAATTGCAAACATAAAAAATTGAAAGTGCTTAGCAATAATAAAGCTCCATTCTAGAAATGTAGAAATTATTAAAAATTGTATATTTTAGTTATTCATGGATAATGCAAATATAACAGCCATTTTGTGCAAAATATATGATAAATCAGAGTAAACTTAAGAATGTCCATGTAAATTAATTTAATAGTTTTCATGCTTTCCCCAAATATGCTGAAAAGGTCTCACTTGCCCTAGGGAAGTACATACACATAAAGCATGCCTTAGTGAGGTCTGCAGTTTTGCTAAAATAAATCACTACTTTCCAACATTAAGGGGAAACAGTAATTTATAGGACTGCAGTGAATACAAGTTTTTTAAATTATGGTCTGTCCTAGGGGAAAACTACCCCTGTACAAATGTATTTACAAGAAAATAGTTGGAAAAGTTTGGAAGCCTGCGCACTGTGGCATAATCTTTTATTACCATAATTATTTGCCTAAGTTAAGGTGCTTATCAGACTTGATCTCAGCCCTAACAAAATTTGAAGTAGTAAAATAGCATTCAAGTAAGACCTACATCATTACAGCAATATCCCTGATTCTTCAGATTTGAGGAGCGCTAAAGTTTTCTGAGCTCTTTTATCATACTGCCTCTCCAATGAGGTTCCTTACCTAGAATAAATAAGAAATTAAAATATACTGATTTATAAGCCATTTGACAAGAGTAATTTGTAAATTAGGTTGGACCTAAGGATGAACTATGATGGTTTTATTGAGAAGATTACAACTAGTGTCCAGTCTCTGTAGGGAATTTTCTTCCCTCTAGCCAGAGCACATTTGAAAACTTTTCCTTTTATGGCTTTAGTTAAAGAAGAGAGTTGACCTCTACACAAACTCTCATGAGCACACATAGAGTTGTGTGGGGTTTTTCTTTTCTGTCACCCCCCATCACTTCATATTTTAGACAACCTAGGCCGAGGGTCCCCCATGTTCATCCCTTTCCTGCTGAGACCTAGGTCTCTTTGGAGCAGACTCCTTCCCTAGATTAATCCCATTGTCTGACTTTTCAACATCCCACAAAGGGCTGCTATGTCCTAATCAAACAAACAAACAAACAAAGAAAAAACACACATGGTTACATGGATTGGAGCCACTTAAAGTTCACGTTCTCGGACTTCTCCCCTCCCCTTGCCCTAGAGCTGTCCCATGGGATGCCCTTGGCAGCCTTCTCTTCCATCCTCTTCAAAGGCTCCACCTCCCTCAGACCCAACCACCTCCCTTCATCCCTATTCTCAACTGACAACTTCCCCGCTCACAAGCTAATCTACTCCTCACCCACCTTCATTCCTTTTTTTCCTTTCCTTTCATTCCAGGGGACAAGGCTACTCCTACCACTTCCCTCAGGAATCTTGTTCCATTAACTATTATCTCTCTGGTATTAATGTTCTATCTCTCCTTGATTGATTCTTTCCCTTAGCAGACACAGACCCTCTTGGATTTCCTGCCACCTCCCTGGTCCACATCTTGGGCTGACGGTCCTTAAATGTAGGTGGTCCCAGGCTGTTTTTGAAGCTCTCTTCTTTTATTACTCTCTATACTTTTCTTTGATATCCCCATATTTACCCTGTAACAGTCAGGATTCAGTCAGGAGATGGAACCACACCAGTTATGTTAACTGAGATAAATTAACATGAAGAATTGTTAACTATGTATAAAGTTGTTAACTAAGTAACCCAAAGAGTGAAAAGAAAACTCTAAGACATGGCAAAAGTAGCACCTGCAGGAAGCAACTCCACCTCTAGGGCTGAAAGGACAAAGGAAGAAGCTGGAATTACTAAAACCAGAATGTAGAAAAGAGACTGCCTAGTGAGGGACCCAGACCTTGGAAGAGGGGACATAGTTGGTCACTGCTAGTGTCTCTAAGCGGGGGTAAGAGGAAGCCGGTTTTGCAAGTGTTAAAAAAAAAACTACACACTGGCCCCAACAGCTGTTACTGGAATGATCTGCAACTGCTGGAGGGAAGCAGTGAGGTTGCAGGGAGACTCACATCCTGTCCTCCCTCCAGCCCTGCAGCTTCCCTCTATTAGCAGAGCCTAAGAAAAAGCCAAACGGTCAAGCAGAAATGAGGTTTGCAGAGTCCTAGCTCCAGCATCAGAAAGCATGTATGGAGAGCACATTTGGAAGAAAATATAAAAATGGGCACAACTCCACAGCCTCAAATATCACTGGAAGGGGCCGGGCACGGTGGCTCATGCCTGTAATCCCAGCACTTTGGGAGGCCGAGGCGGGTGGATCATTTGATGTCAGGAGTTCGAGACTAGCCTGGCCAACATGGTGAAACCCTGTCTCTACTAAAAATACAAATATTAGCCGGGTGTGTAATCCCAGCTACTCAAGAGGCTAAGGCAGGAGAATCACTTGAACCTGGGAGGTGGATGTTGCAGTGAGCCGAGATTGTGCCATTTCACTCCAGCCTGGGCAACAGAGCGAGACTCCGTCTCAAAGATAAATAAAAATAAATAAATAAATAAATAAATAAATAAAACCACTGGAGGATTCAACAATCTGTTTCCCTAGCCCAAGTTTCTCTCTTGAACTCCAGGCTTTTTTAACCAGCCTCCTGTTGGAATATTTCTTTGCATGCCCTATGGTTACTTCAGACTCATTATGTTCTAAATTGCTCTCATTACCTTTCTCTTTCCCAGCCTGTCCTCTTCTTCCACCCTGCTCTCTCCATGTGAATGAGTACCACCGTTATGTCTTTATGAAATGCATAAATGTTATTTCATCAGTACACCTCTGGCCTTTTGCGCTCAAATTGAATCAATCATTAGAGCCCTTTCACTTCCCTTAATATCTCTCAAATCAGTTCCCTCCTCTTCAGTCCCATTTCTACTCTCTTAGTCTCTACCCCCTGTCATTTCCTACCAGATTAAAACATCGTCTACTAACTGGTCTTGCTGTCTCACATTTTACTCTGCTGCCATACTCTGGGCTCTAATTTCCTGACAGTGATCCCCTATACAAGCAGAATGATCTTCCTTAAATGCAAATCTTGTCACCCTGCTCCCTGCCTAAAATCCTTTACGGGCTTCTCCCAATCTTCAAAATTCCTTTCTCTTTGGTATGACTTAGAAAGTTGTCCAGCTTTAATTCTAGCCTCTACTTCTGTCCCCACCCTCTTTCCTCATTTCAATCCAAATTCAATCATCTGAGCATACCGCACTACCTAGCTTTCTTCAGCCTTGCCATGTTCTTCATGGCCTCTGCATGTTTGTACATCCCCTTGCCTTTTCTGGGTTGATCTTCCTATTTCTCACTTCTGACCCTTCTTCCCCTTTCTAACTTTTTTCCACCCTTCAAGATTGAACACAAGTTTTAACTCCTAGGGGTATTTTCTCTGTCTCAGCCCTCATGCCCGCCCCTGGTCTGTCAGGGTCTCTCCCTTGAGCCCCCACACCCCTTCATGTTGGGCTTCTTGGGGCTATTCCTGAGTGGTTAGGAGTGAGAGTTCTGAAGCCAGACACTGTGTTCAATTTCCAGCACTTCATATTGCTGTACGTGTGACCTCGGGAAAGTTATTTAGCCATGCCACCCTCAATCCCTGCATATGTAAACCAGGGCTTATAATAATACCTTCTGATAGGTGGTTATGAAGATTAAATGAGAGATATGCAAAAGCCCAATTCCAGTTTTTGATCATTCTTTTCAAAGTGTCTCACATAATTCTCTGGCTACTGGTACATGTAGATTATTAAAACCAGGGCACAAATTGATAGTGCACTGCTTTATCACAACACTGCTGTTCTGCTAAAACCCTCAGCCACATTTATCTCAGAAGGGCCAGGACCAGATGGACACTATCATTGACTTGAGTCTATAATTATTTGGGGATGGGCTCAAGTCTTGCATTTTTGTTTTTTAAGATACTAGGGTCTTCCACTCTCTTTAGGAAAAAGAGCGAATGCTTTGCCAGCCCTATTATCCTCTGACTGGTGTTAAAGCGCATTTAGTGGGAATGTCATTAACTTTTTCATGGGAAAGATGAAATTGGCCAGCACCCTGTTTCTCCCTTCCAGTTTTGCTGTGCTCCTGGCTGTGCCTAGAGAGGGAAATCCAATGAAGCGTGAGGTCAGGCAGCCCAAGCTCTTCCCCAGGGTGCACTCAGCCAGCAGGCCTCGGTCCTACCTTGAGGCAAACACTCCTTCTAAATGTTTATTTATGCTTTTGAACCCAAGGTCCAATGGGAACATGAAACATATGATTCCAAAAGAGATTACCCCCCACGGATTTCTTCTACCACACACAGAGAAAAGGAAAACCATGTATAAGCCAATAGTTGGGAACTTCTCCAGAGAGCTTCTGACCGCCATGTATGAAGCCCTTAAATATAGCTGTGGGGAGAGCAATGCCCAGGGAAGGCACGTGGACAGAATGAAGGCGCAGGCGTGTATTTTGTTTTAATTTTCTTTTCACCAGACCTATCCTTGACTTTTCACAGATTTCCCCAGCCGAAGAATCAGGATGGATGATAACATGGGAGAAAAATGTTCCACTGTGGCCAATCTGTGTTCCTCCGGAGAGTCACTTATATGCACGTGGATGGGCAGCCGGGAGCCCTGGTTGGACCATGAAGCAGCTGGGGAGGTCAGGCTGCTCCCTGGGAGCTGGGATGGAGTGACCTCTGTCTTTTGGTTCTCTGGCTTTGGTCCCACAGCAGACTGTCACCTCAGATGGCCTCACTGAGTCAGAATGAGTTACTGGCAAGTTAGCAACAGTCAAGCTATATGATGTCCTCCTGTGTCCCCCTCTGAGAACACTGAGAGTCTGACACTCCTACTGCTAGGCTGTGAAAATGACTAAGAAAAATGTAGTAGGGATGGCTTTTTAAAAAGCATGACAAGTTTTTTAGCCTTGCTCAAAAAATACCTCTCCTTAAGGAAAAAAAGCAAGAGGACCTGAGCATAGGCGTGGGGGTGGGAGGGAGCTAAAATACTAATGTCTCTAGGGGAAGTTGCCTTCAAAGGAATATAGGACTGCAGGGTGACTCATGTTCCCTGGAAATGGTTTATGTTCTAATACTGAATCTGTAGAATCACAAAACCAGATTGTATGCAAGCATTTTGCACATGTTCATCATCATTGTTACATGTCACAAGTATATTACTTTTATAACAAAAGTCTTATAACCAAGTTGTGTCTTTACTTTTTATTCTTCCACACTGCAGCTCCCCCTGCCTGGCATGTAGAAGGATAATCAGAGTGCTGGTCCTGCATGAAAGGAAGCTATCACAAACTATTAATGAGAGATGTTTGAGCCATTTTAAAATTGGTGAGAGATAAAATTTTTATTTTTTAAAATTAGAGTCAGCTTGTAGTTATTCACTGTAAAGAAATAAAGAAAAACATATAAGCTTAAATAGTTGGCTTTCGAATATATTTTATATAAATATATTTGAGTGTATTTATTTCTACTTCTGAATATAGTTTTCATCTAGGATTTTGGGAAGCCAAGTAATTTCCTACAAACTAAATGAAGTACATTGACTTCATACCTTTAAAAAAAACCCAAAAAAGGGCCGAGCGCAGTGGCTCACACCTGTAATCCCAGCACTTTGGGAGGCCGAGGCGGGCGAATCACGAGGTCAGGAAATCGAGACCATCCTGGCTAACATGGTGAAACCCCGTCTCTACTAAAAATACAAAAAAATTAGCCGGGCATGGTGGCAGGCGCCTGTAGTCCCAGCTACTCGGGAGGCTGAGGCAGGAGAATGGCGTGAACCTGGGAGGCGGAGCTTGCAGTGAGCCGAGATCGTGCCACTGCACTCCAGCCTGGGCGACAGAGCGAGACTCCGTCTCAAAAAAAAAAAAAAAAAAAAAACCCAAAAACAAAACAAAGAACACTCTGTTTAAACGAAATTGCTCAGAAGCCCTATATGTAAAATAGGTATAAATGGAGCAGCTTTGGTTGAAGCAGAAATTACAGGCCTTAAGCCGAGCCCTCTTGGCTGTCATGTGCACCTCATAGCAACACAAAAGGTGCTCTGGAGACAGCAGTTTACATAAGAAAATGAACACACACAAAGATGTTCACCATCATTAGCCACTAGGGAAATTCAGATGAAAACCGCAATGAGATATCACTGCACACCTATCAGAATAGCTAAAATAAAAAAGGGTGATGATACAAATACTGGCAAAGATAGGGAGAAACTATGTCACTCGTGCACTACTGGTGGGAATGTAAAATGGTATAGCCACTCTGGAAAGCAGTTTGGCAGTTGCTTAAAAAGCTAAACACGTAACTATGCAACCAAACAATTGCACTCCTGGGCATTAATCCCAGAGAAGTGACAACTTATGTTCACACAAAAACCTGTACGCTAGAGTTCATATGAGCTCTATTTGTAATAACCCCCAAATGGAAATAACCTAGATGTCTTTCAACAGATGAATAGGTTAAACTGCAATACATCTATATGATAGAATACCACTCAGCTATACAAAGAAGCCAATTATTAACACATCAAACCTGGGTGAATCTCCAGAGGATTATACCATGTGAATAAAGCTGATACCAAAATGTTGCATACTGTATGATTCCATTTATATAACATTCTTAAAATGTCAAAATTATAGAAATGGACAAAAGATTCATGTTTTCTAAGGGTTAAGAATGTGGGAGGGAAGTGGAAATGGCTTTAAAGGGCATGAAGGATTGTGTTGGTGATGAAACGACCTGTATTTTGTCTGTATCTACATCAATATTCTGGATGTAATAGTGTACCATAGTTTTGCAAGACGTTGCTATTGGTAAAACTGGGTTAAAAGTACATGAGATTGGCCGGGCGCGGTGGCTCACGCCTGTAATCCCAGCACTTTGGGAGGCCGAGGCGGGCAGATTACGAGGTCAGGAGATCGAGACCATCCTGGCTAACATGGTGAAACCCCATCTCTACTAAAAATACAAAAAATTAGCCGGGCATGGTGGTGGGCGCCTGTAGTCCCAGCTACTCAGGGGGCTGAGGCAGGAGAATGGCCTGAACCCAGGAGGCGGGCTTGCAGTGAGCCAAGATTGTGCCACTGCACTCCAGCCTGGGCGGCAGAGTGAGACTCCATCTCAAAAAAAATAAATAAATAAAATAAAATAAAAGTACATGGCGTCTCTGTATTATTTCTTACAACTGCATGGGAATCAAAAACTTTTTCAGAATAAAAAATCTATAATAATATTTTAATCCTAAAAAGATGATCTCTCGAAATCCTGTGTTCAACTGTAACTTGGATGTCACTTGTTTCACCCTGTTCAGACTGATTCATGCATCACTCTAGTGATGGCAGTGTGCCCTTCAGACAAATGTCAGGTTACAGGTGAAGTTCAACTTCCCTCCTTCTAATCCAGTAAAAAGCACTTACTTGAGTTAATATCATGAATCAATGAAGTATTCAGTGCTGGAAATGAACCTACTGTTTTGTTTTGTTTTTTTTTAAGTTCATACCTCCTCTGAACTAGATAGGCATTTAAGTGATAAAGCAGAGGAAGCAAGAAGGAGATATCAATGAGAAATGATTGGTTGGTTGGATCATGGCATGTACCTACCTCACTTCAAAAAGTGATTTAGGATATGTTATTTTAAAAATACGTGTTCTATATTGTGGTAGGCCGAGTGGTAGTCCTCCAAAGAGGTCCATGTCTTAATCCTCAGAACATGTGAATATGTCACCTTGCATGGTAAAAGGAACTTTGCAGATGTGACTAAGTTAAGGATCTTGAGATGAGAGATTAGCCTGTATTATGCAGGTGGGCCTGATGTAATTGTAAGGTTCCTTACAAAAAGGAGGGAGGAGTTCAGAGAGAGGAGAAGAGAATTTGTTAAGGAAAGCAGATATTGGAATGATATGGCCATAGCCAAGGAAACTGGCAGCCACTGGAAGCTGGGTGAGGCAAGGAATATTCCCTCTGAAGCCATCAGAAGGAATCAGCCCTGCTGACACCTTGATTTTAGCCCTATAAGATTCATTTCTGATTTCTGACTTCCAAAGTTTAAGAGAAGAATAAATATGTGTTGTCTTAAATCACTGCATTTGTGGTAATTTGTTACAATAGCAACAAGAAATTAATTGAAGGAGAAGAAAATAAAGAGGGGAAAATATGATGAAGCAATAGCTTACTCTTTCTTGTGTCTAATTTTATTGAAATACTAATTTGAAAGCAAGATTTACTTCTTATAAACTCTATGTAGACTGTGCACTTGAAAGCTTACCAAACAAAACAAAAACAAAAAAATCAGTCAACTCGCGTAGCGAGACATTGTATAATCTCTAATAATTAACTTTTTTGTACTCTGCCAGTAAAAAAGCTCATATTAGAAATTATTTTTAGGTCAGGTGCAGTGACTCACATCTGCAATCCCAGCACTTTGGGAGGCCAAGATGGGCAGATCACTTGAAGCCAGGAGTTCAAGACCAGCCTGGCCAACATGGTGAAACCCCATCACTAATAAAAATATGAAAATTAGCCAGGCACGGTGGCCTGTAGCTACTCAAGAGGCTGAGGCAGGAGGATCCTTTCAACATGGGAGGCAGAGGCTGCAGTGAGCTGAGATCACGCTACTGCACTCCAGGCTAGGTGACAGTCTTGACTCTGTCCCCCCCCGCCCCCCAAAAAAAGAAAATGTATTAAGCACGTCTATCGTTTGTCATAGTCTCAGTAAGAGTTAAGCTCAATATTATCTCTTTATTTCCATTTTAGAAAACCAAGAACCAAGTAAATTACAATAAATTATTTAGAGCTTGGCATGCATTTCTCTATTCTTTCTCTATTTCATATTTTGAAGGCAGCTTTTTTTCATAACCTCTGGCATCATTCCCTTTACATTTAAATCATCACCATTCATTCATTAAACAGGTAATTACTGCTATACATAAATATATATACCTATAGATACATATACACACATATAAAAATACACATATATGTACATATACATACACATACATATAATAGGAATTAAATTACTCCCCTTATTTATAGTAGACGTGTGAGAACAGTGAAGACACTGATTTTCAAAAAGGCGAATTCCAGAACATGATACCTCTCATGGCCTAGAAAGTCTTTAGGATGTTGTTAAACAGTGGTTTGGGAGCATTTAGAAAAGACGTATGGCCCGGAGTGGAGTGGCTCACGCCTATAATCCCAGCAGTTTGGGAGGCCGAGGCGGGCGGATCACGAGGTCAGGAGATCGAGACCATCCCGGCTAACACAGTGAAACCTGTCTCTTCTAAAAATACAAAAAATTAGCCGGGCGTGGTGGCGGGCGCCTATAGTCCCAGCTACTCGGAAGGCTGAGGCAGGAGAATGGCGTGAACCCGGGAGGCGGAGCTTGCAGTGAGCCGAGATCGCGCCACTGCACTCCAGCCTGGGCGAAAGAGCAAGACTCCGTCTCAAAAAAAGAAAAGAAAAGAAAAGACGTATAATCCTTAGGAGTCAGCAACATGGTTTCCTGATGGCTTTTAGAATGACAAATCCAGATAGAGTTGGTATTCACCTAATATAAGAGCTTTGGAACCTTCTCTTGTCCCAGTATATGCCACATCCCACAGGCTCCAACTGGCATAGGACTGTGTTTCAGAGAGTGCCTATTAGCATGTGAATGACTCGAGAAGAAACAATGTTCTTGCCAAGATTACATACGTATGGCTTAAAATATAATTACAATATGCTTTTAAAATATGCCACACATGTTTACAAACCACAGCACATCAGAGTATCTCTCTGAGGTCATCTAACTCAGCCCTACAGAATCCTTCTACAGCATCTACTTGAATATCCCTAGAGAATGGGAATCTATACCCTCCCTGTTCAACCTATTCATTAGACAGTTAATTTATATAGAATAAAACTCTGACCTTAATCTGACATCAACTCATCGTTCATCTGTAAATTAAAAAAAAAAAAAAATCCTGGGTTTTTTTTTTTTTTTTTTTTAAGATGGAGTTTCGCTCTTGTTGCCCCAGCCTGGAGTGAGTGCAATGGTGCCATCTTGGCTCACTGCAACCTCTGCCTCCCAGGTTCAAGCGATTCTTCTGCCTCAGCCATCCGAGTAGCTGGGATTACAGGCATGCACCACCATGTCCGGCTAATTTTGTATTTTTTAGTAGAGACGGGGTTTCACCATGTTGGTCAGGCTGGTTGTGAACTCCCAACCTCAGGTGATCTGCCCACCTTGGCCTCCCAAACTGTTGGGATTAAGAGTGTGAGCCACCACGCCCGGCCCAATCCCGTCCTCTTTTAACACGTGAAGATAGTATAAGGCTATGTCAGACCGTTCTTGCATTGCTGTAAAGAAATACCCGAGACTGGGTAATTTATAAGAAATGAGATTTATTGGCTCACGGCTTTGCAAGCTGTCAACTGGAAGCATAGTGGCATCTGCTTCTGGGGAAACCTCAGGAAGTTTCCAATCATGATGAAAGGCAAAGGGGGAGCAGTCACATCACATGGCAAGAATAGGAGCAAGGGCCGGGGGAGGTGCCACACACTTTTAAATCATCAGATCTCACTCACGATGGTGAAGACAGCACCAAACCATAAGGAATCTGCCCCCATGATCCAAACATCTCCCACCAGGCCCGCTTCCAGCATTGGGGATTACAATTCAACATGAGATTTGGGCAGGGACAAATATCCAAACTGTATCACAGGCCCTGCTTCCAAAATTTTTTTTTTCCCAAGTTAAACATACATTTTTTTCTTAACTTTCCTTCACAGGTCATTTTCCAGGCAGATCTAGCCATACTAATCTCTGCTGCAAATTTTTCTAAACCAATTTTATAATGTATTGCTCAGACCAGGACAAATACTCCAGATGTCATCTGCCACAACAGGTTATAACAGTTATGAAGGTAATGCTCTGTATTCATCTGTGTGGCAGGAAATCTCATTAGCTTCATTGAAATAATTACACCAAATTATGTTCTTTTGTATCTTTTTCCAAGTAATCATAAAAAATGTTTTATAGAAAAAAATGTAAGGATTAAACGCTGTGATACTCTAAAAGAGATATCCTGCCACATAGATACTTAGGTTATTGTGTTGGTTCAGCCAGCTGTGACTCCACCTCACAGTTCAATAAAGAGCCAGCATCTCTCCAGCCTCTTCAGAAGGCTGCGCTGGAGGACTTCCAACCATGCTAGTCATGGTACATTATAGGTATGGCATTCCCCAGATGCAACAAATCAATAATGAGGATAATTTGGCCTGTCTTACAATTACTGAACTACTTTTTTGACTCCTAGCGATAACTTCTTTTCTAATGTTCTTCCACCATCTGTTTAAAATGAGCTCTTGAATTTTTCTAGGACATGATATCATCTTATAGGATTTGACCTTTTGAAAATCTGGATGAGGAGGTGTCTCCATTTTCCTAACATCAACTACCCCCCAACAGTTTTGAAGATTATATATAGCAGTTCTGAAAGCATCTCCATATTTGTTCATCACCCTGGGATAAAATTCATCTGGACTTACGAATTTGCACTAAACTAAAAACAACCAGAATTCAAAAGAACTCCCCTGCCTGCCAATGACTTAGTGTCACATGATAACTGTGGCAGAAGGGGATCTGCAGTCACTAGGCTCTTTAAAGATACAACAGAGCAGCGTTGGTGGTACAAAGGGCTTCACAGCAAATGGCAGTAGATAAATCTGCTATTGTATCTTCTGATTATTAAGATAATTAAGATAATTAACTTTATTTGGGTTACTACGCTAGGAATTATCCTATTTCTTCATAACATGAGTTGTTAACTTTCTTGTTACCATTGAAATAGAATGCCACTAAGGCAGCTACCAGCATTTGTCACAAACATGAAACTAGCTCCTAAAATTTTAGGCCTTAAATATGGAGATAAATTTAGAAGACATTGTAGTATCTCCCCAACATCAATTTCAATCTCTCCTTTTGTATAGGTTGCATTGGGTGGGGTTGACTTCACTCCCAACTCCAGGGGTGCCCCCAGGTTGCTTTGAACTCAATATGCCACAAAGATTGATTAGGGATGGACATATGACTTAATGCTGACCATCAAAGCAGGATTCAGGACATTTTTTCCATGGCTTTGAGGGGAAAAGCTACCTCCTTCCCCTGGCTGCTATCTCACCCACCTATTAATCCAGAGGAAAACCAGTTTGAAGATAAACTCTACACATGAGAGAGACCAGAATTTACACAAAACATAAGTAAACAAAAACACCACACTCACATTGAAACAGGGTCCTTGATCAAAATAAATCTGAAGCTTACACTACTATGGGACCAGTCTTTCTCAAAGTTCAATAGAAGAAATAAGCCCTAAGATATACATTGCATGCAATAATGTAGCTTCTGTCCTATGCAACTGGAATGGTACTAAGTATGTCCTATCCTTGGGTGAACTGAGAAAAGTTACTCAAATTACTTTTATGTTCTGTGGTTCAAATGAGGAACTCTGGTTGCAAAAGCAATTTGACTCTGCAGTTGGGTGTACTGATAAGTCAGCTTTATTGTTTAGGCTAGTTAGAGTTGGGGTTTCCATTTCTTACAGCTGAAAGCTTCCTAACTAGTATAACGATCAATCTTTCTTGCACTCCCATCTGTTGCTCTGAATGCAATTTCAACAAAATTACTGGGAAATTTTCAAAAAAATTACCAGAAAATCTGGCTCAGCAGATGCAGAATTCTGTAGGTTATCTGCTGTATCCTCACTTGATTCATTTCTCAGACATTCAAAAATGCTGAACAATGATAAAAGGGTCAATCCATAAGGAAGATATAACAATTATAAACAAATATGCAAGTAACAGGAACTGAAAATGCATGAAGGAGAAACAGACAGAATGGAAGGGAGAAATAGACAATTCAACTATAATGGATTATATACCATTATCACCATTATATACCAGTTATCCTAGGAATGCAAGGTTGGATTAACATCCAAAAATCAATCAACCACATGACCACCTCAGCAGATGCATTAAAAAGCATTTGACAACATCCAAAGCCTTTTCATGACAAAAAATCATTCAGCAAACTATTAACAGGAATAGAAGAGAACTTCCACAACCTGATGATGAAAGGCATGTACTAAAAGCCCAGAGCTAATATTTACCTGGGAAAGACAATACTTTCCCCCTAAGATCAGGAAAAAGACAAGATGTCTGCTCTCACCACTTGTATTCAACCTGAAGGTTATAGCCAGGGAAGTTAGGTAAGAAAAATGAAATATTAGGTTGGTGCAAAAGTAATTGTGGTTTTTGCCATTACTTTTTATTGGCAAAAACCGCAATTATAGCCAAATAAAAGGCATCTAGTTCAGAAAGAAGAAAAGTAAAACTATTTTTATTTGCAGATGACATATTGTATTTGAATAAGAAATCTGCTTAAAAAGAACTAATTAACAAGTTCAGTAAGTTTGCAGGCTAAAAAATAATATTAAAAACAGTTGTATTTCTATACACTAACAATGAAGAATCCAAAATGAAATTAAGAAAAGAATTCCATTTATGATAGCAGCACAATGAATAAAACACTTAGGAACAAATTTCACAAAAAAAAGTATAAAACTTGTACTCTGAAAACTACAAAAAAATGTTGAATGCAATGAATGAACGCCTAAACAAATGGAAAGACAGCTTGTGTTCACTGACTGGAAGATTTAATATCATTAAGATGGCAATATTCTATAAATTGAACTACAGATTTAATGAAATCCCTATCAAATTCCCAGCTGGCTTTCTTGCAAAAGTTGACAAGCTGATTCTAAAATCCACATGGAAATGTAAGAGGCCCAGAAACAATCTTGAAAAAGAATAACAAAACTGGAAGGCTCACACTTCACAATTTCAAGGCTTACTATTACAATGCTATTGTAAACAAGACAGTGTGAAACTGACAGAAGGATAAACCCATATCCTGGAATGGAATTGAGAATCCAGAAATAAACCCTCATATTTATAATCAATTGATTTTCAGTGAGTGTCCCGAGATAATTCAATGGGGGAAAGAATAATCTTTTCAACAAATGGTACGGTGACGATTAGATATCTACGTGCAAAAGAATAAAATTAGACTCCTACCGCACACTGTCTATAAAAATCAACTCAAAATAGACCTAAATAAAAGAGCCAAAAGAAACAAACTCTTACAAGAAAACACACATGTGAATCTTTGAGAACTTAGGATAAGCCTGTTTAGGTAGGCCAATAAAAGCACAAGCAATAAAACAAACAAAAAAGATAAATTGGACTTCATAGAAATAAAAAACTTGGGGACATCAAAGATTTTATCAAGAAAGTGAGAAGGCAACCTACAATATGACAGAAAATATTTGCAATCTTGATATATGACAGGAACTTGTATCCAGAGTATATAAAGAACTCCTACAAGTCAACAATAAAATGACAAATAACCCAATTTAGAAATAGGGAAAATACTTATATAGACATTTCTCCAAAGGAGACATATTAAATAGAAATGGCCAACAAGCACATAAAAGACATTCAACATCATTATTATTAGGGAAATGCAAGTCAAAACCACAATAAGATACCACTTCATGCCTGTCAGGGTGACTAATACTAAAAACAAAACAAAGCAATAGCCATAAGAGGTATTGGCGAGGGTGTGAAGAAACTGGAATCCTTATACATTGCTAGTGGAAATGTAAAATGGTGCAGCTGCCTTGGAAAATGATTTGGCAGTTCCTCAAAATGGTCAACCAAGTGATACCATATGACCCAGCAATTTCACTCCTAGGTATATACTCAAAAGAAATGAAAACAAATGTCCTCACAAAACTCATACACAATGTTCATAGCAGCATTGTTCACAATACCTAAAAAGTGGAAATGACTCAAATGTCCATCACCTAATGAATGAGTAAACAAAATGTGTTTTTATCTGAAAAACAGAATATTATTCAGGAATAAAAAGAAAGAAGTACTGATATGAGCTACAGCATGAATGGACCTCAAAAACATCATGCTGAGAGAAAGAAGTCAGATGCTAAAGACCACATATTGTATGCTTAATTTATATCAAATATCCAGAATATACCAATCCATAGAGATAGAGAGTAGTGTTTTCCAGAGACCGGGAGGAGAGGGAAATGCAGAGGAACAGCTAGTGGGTATGGGGTTTCTTTTTAGGTTAGGAAGTTAGATCGTGGTGAGAGTTGCACAAGTCTGTGAATAGACTAAAAACCACTGAATTGTACACTTTAAAGGATAAATAGTATGGTTTGTGAATAGTATCTCTGAGTTGTCATAAAAAAACACATTTGAACAGCTTCTACAATGTTGCTTTATCACTTGCTATCTCTCAGGCCTCATTAGCATCAATATAGTTGTGAAACGAATTTTTAAAGACATTTAATATAGAACCTCCCATTTAGAGAAATAAAATTTCAACAAAATAATGTTTAATGAATTCTGAACTTGTCATATTAGACAAAGTAAGTCAAACTATTGAAAGCATGAGGTAGAAAATCAATAAACCTTAGGCATAAAAACATGTTTCATGACGACAAAGCTTAGTTTAAAAATGTTTCATAAATTAAAAACATGGAAAACTGAAAGCTTATCAACCCTTTTACTTATTTTATTAACCTCAGATGTTATGAAAAGAACTAAAGCAGTTTATTTGATTTGGCTGAACACATATGAATTACTTAAAAATGAAGCATAGCCATCCAAATAGCATGCTTTAAATGCCTGTCCAGTGATTTACAGCTAATTGCCAAATATTATTCCGTTGCTAAATCTTTACATTTGCTTTACTAAGGTTTGCTAAATTAGTTAAAATAAACTCAAGCATAGCATATTTCCAGAATATTTTTGATAAAAGATGTCACAAACATACATTTCCTACATATTTTAAAAATATTTAATAGGAAACTATCTTATGTCATATTTCCCAGGAAAAAGATAGAGAAACAGATTTGTGTATGGGAAGTTTATTGTGCAATGGTCTCAAGATAAAAACTGTGAGACGTTAAGGAACCAGGGTTGAGCAAAAAGAGTCGAATTGTGATGTAATTGCAAAAAAACATCTCAGCTAATCCCACTGGAGCTTGGAAGCTACGCTGGCCTTTCTGAGTTGTTCCAAATTAAGGCAAGGGGGCCTGATTTGTATATCACCACACTGACCAGTCATTGGATGTGGGCTGCACCTGGGGAGTGGTCATAATGCTGGGTGAAGAAATTCCTTTCACCTGAGGGCAATTCTTGGTGAGGGATTTGCTCTGAGCCATCAACAGGTAATAATTCTGACAGCTGGGGAAATGAATGCCTTGGTCCTGAAGCAGGTATCTGAGCAAGACACCACATTATCCATTCAGTGCACCCTTTGAACTGCTCAGATCCATTTGCTTTGTATAAAACAGTCACACCACCTGCTTCCTTTTGGTTGGTCTCTTTTCCAGTGAAATTTACAAAAGGAAAGTTGGTGGAATGAAGTATAATCCCCACTGCTGCACCTGATTGCAGAGTTGCAACTAATATTCAATTTTTGAATTCTCATTACTTTTGGCTGGTACCTCCACTAGACCGGGTGGCTTGCCCATAGGGGTGACCCAGGCCCTCATTACTGTGCCATCGAAGCCCTGCTCACTATGCCCTCCTTAGGGCCAATGATCTGCACTGTTCCTTCACTGTCAACTTTAGACAGGCGAACACTAAGAGATGCCCCAGTATATCACATGGAGCAAACCTATTCTCTCCTTCCCCATTGTGGAACAGCAGTCCTGCCTCCCACAGAACCTGGGGTTGTTTGAAATGCAGTCCCAAAGCATAGCTAGGTTCTCACATCTGTGGAAGCCAGCACTTAACAGTCCACACTTCAACCTCTTGCTCTGTGTCTCACAGCACGACTATTGATGTTTCAATGTGCACTAAATAAACTGACATTTCTTTCCAACTGTATCCTCTACATCTTTTCCACATCATGTCAACAACCAGAATACCAATACAATATTTTAGAAAGGTTGAGAAGTTCTCCAAAAGCAGAGAATATGTTCAGGAGGAATGTCCTCTCCCCTTTTTGCATGTGAGCTATACTATTTGAGGACAAAATTAGTGAAAGGAGTAGCTTAACTTTTAATGGATCAGGAGGGGAACTTCATTCCATGCTAATGACATACCACTTTCCCCATAATTAGGGAGGATGTTTATTCAGCCAGGATGCTGAAAAATACATTTTAAGATATAGAAGCAGCATCTGTGTTCATACCATATTGGTTGTTGAATATTTTGACTATTATACCTGCAGTTTGATAAATTGAAGGTAAGTTGTAAGTACATAAAGTTGATTAGCCTTTTCGGCACCAAAGGCAAAAAAAAAAAGAAAAAAATCTGGAAACTACTTAGAAATTATTTGACAGCATTGACCTCAAGTTCACCTCTGTTATGGACTTAAGCGCTTTGATACACAAGAGTATTTTATTTGTTTTAGAAGAGGCTGTCAGGTTATCCATTTCATGTTAAATCCAATATTCTTTGTTTAATTTCTGATTATTTTTGTTTGCATTTATCCCAAATATTGATTTAGAATAAAATCCACTCTTGACCCTGACTTTTCTCCACTACCTATTTTTCAGGAAAATTTTTGCAAATAGGCTGATTGAGTAGACTATATAGAAATGAACAAACATCTTTTTATCAGCTCTTTAAAAAATGTGTAGACACGCAGTAATACAAAAACATTGCTCCAATTAAGAAAGCAAAAGTACAAATATGCTTACATTGAAAAACATTTTTTGAGACAATGGTATATTTTAATAGTCTAGAGTGGCTCATTTATATTACTTGGGTTTATGAGTAGAATGAGAGGCATTGTTATGGAGGATGAGAGGAATAATGTAAAAATAAAGTGAACTAAGAGTGTATTTGCAACCTAATTTACTTTATTTAAAAAATTTTGTGACTCGCCCAATCTATGTGCTTCATAAGACAACTATCTGTTTCACTGCTTTCAACCGGGGTCTAAGAGCCTGGCACATAATAGATGCTCGATAACTGTGTGTCAAACGAATAAATGCACAAAGTGTTCATTGCTCACCTAATATGCCACAATAGCAAACAACTTCTCTCTCTCCTTCTTCCTTTCTTTTGTAAATTTTCTTTATCTTCTTCTCTCCCTCCTTAGCCCCCTCTTCTTCCTTCCCTCTCCTTATCTCTCTTTAGTCTCCTCTCTGTTCTTCCCTCCCTTCTGTTCTCCTTTCAAAGTAGATCACAGAAAGATGTTTAGGAGACATTCATTAGAGAATGTTCAGTAGCACAAAGACAGCAGAAAATGTATACAGTATCACATTTTCCATCCTTTCTTTTCTTTTTTAACTAAATCTTGAAATTCTGAAGTTATGTGACTTTGTATGTTTTAAAGGGGTGTTGTCGTGTTGCATGGGTGTCTTGTGTAACTAAAACAAACTCTCCACCCTGCCCTTGTCTTATTGTGCAGTTTCTTTCTTTTCATTTTTATTTTATTTACTTATTTTTTTGAGGCAGGGTCTCATCTCACTCTATTGCCCAGGCTGGAGTACAGTGGCATGATCTCGGCTCACTGCAGTCTCACCCTCCCTGGGCTCAAGCAATCCTCCCATCTCAGCCTCCTGAGTAGCTGGGACTACAGGCACACAACACCACACCCAACTTTTTTTTTTTTTTTTTCCATAGAGATGGGGTTTCACCATGTTGCCCAGGCTGGTCTTGAACTCCTGGACTCAAGCCATCTACTCACCTTGGCCTCCCGAAGTGCTGGGATTATGAGCATGTACCACCACACCCATCCCACAGTTTCTAAGAGAATCTGACCTTTTTCAGTTTCCAGAGACAGTCTTTGTGATTAATGATCTATCTGTGTTAGTCTAAGACTCCAAGACCAATCTCCCATTTCCAAAGACAGAACTGGGAGAAACTTCCCTTTCCTCTAAAGAGGTGATTCTGTATGTAAGCTAAGAGTAATCAAAGCAAGTTAGAATGCAATCTCCTTATATCCTTGTGAGAAGGATGGGAGAGGCTCCCCACACATGAAGGTAAACAAGAGGTTGCAGATTTTCACCATCGTTGACAGGGTGGGTGGTGTGCTGGCAGAGGGGAAGCAGTAGAGTTATTCAGGCTGAATGGACATCACTAAGGGAACCAGGTTCTTTCAGGTGCACAGGGGAAATCAGCAAGTTTCAGTGAATTCATGACAACTTGCCTCAGGCTGCTATGAAAGATGGCCACAAGGTCTCCTCTATTAGTGAGGCTAGCTAGGTGCAATCCTGACCTTTATTAAGAGTAACCAGACATTCGGGAGCTGGTTGCCTAAGTGCCCAGTAATCAGTTAAAAAGATGTCACAGAAAGGCAATTTCACTCTTACATTTCAAATATAATATTGATGCTAAGATTCAAACTGACTGGAAAAACAGAGATTCATCCAGCCGCAGAGGGCCTGATAGGGATAAAGGAGGCATGCTAAGGGATATAAATTACTACTTCTGTGAACTCCCAGAAAAGATTCTACCCTTGTTAATTTCATCCTGCCTCCTCCTCACTCTCAGATCCCCAAACCTCCACCCTTGTCTGCCTCTCTTCCCATCCATCCCTGCTGTGGGTTCTAATCCCAATCCTGCTGTTGTTTAGCTGGCTATATTATCTTGAACAAGTTATTTTTCTTTGAGTCTCAGCTTCTTCATCTATGCAATGGGGAATAGTAATATCCGGCCCATTGATATGAAATAATATGAGCAAAGGACTTCATGGAGGCAATCAATAAATGCTAGATACATCCCAAATCCCACTCTCTAAAGAATAGTCTTAGAAAACTAAAACTTTCAAATCACAAGCCTAACTCTATTTTCCAAATGTAAGAAATTTGCCTTATTTCTCAGTTGCCCTGATGCATTCCATCCATCATATAAAATAAATAATTTAAATGAAAAGTTAATTGAACGCTTAGAGCACTAAAAGTCATTCTAA
The DNA here is from genome assembly GCF_000001405.40 of Homo sapiens. NCBI lineage: Eukaryota > Metazoa > Chordata > Mammalia > Primates > Hominidae > Homo > Homo sapiens. The sequence goes on from NC_000014.9 coordinate 59,443,700, forward strand.
GTTCTTCTTTCAGAGAATTAAAGATGCAAAAGGAAAAACTAATTTCAACATTATGCATTCAAAGAAATCTAAATTGTAACAAATTATTTATGTATATATTTAGTCTCTATTTCCTGTTCAAATACTTCAAATACATTTATAACCATTTGGAACTGTTATTACCAATATTTTAAGATGTTACACGATCCAATAGGAAATATTAACTGTTTTATTGTTAAAGAGTCATATTAAAATAATGCCATGACATATGTGTTATCAATTAGGCAATGAGCTACCAGTCAATATGTTTTGCCTTATAAAGAATTTTAGCCAAGATAAAGCTTGTTTGTTTGACTTAGAAAGCCAAAGTTGAACCTGTGTGATAACTCTTTGATCACATGTAATAACTGAAGCATAAGAAAATTGGTTTTTAGTATAATCACCAATCGTCCTCCCTTCCTCCCACTGAGAAAAAAATTCGGCCTTGTTTAAATACTCAGCTTAATTAAATTATGTATTTAATATATGATACATTTGTCTTGGCTTTGCATAGCACAAAAATGATAGATTAAATTTTTATGTGATAATTAAAGCCAAACTGTTATCAATAAGAATGTTAAAGCATTTAAAGATTATGAAAGTTTAATGTGTTCTGATGTGTTGCTTTTCAAAATCGTTGGGGCATTCCCGCTTTGAAAATTGTTGTACTTGATAATGGAGCCTCCTTGTGGGGAATCAGCAGTATTTCAGGCTTTCAAATTGCAGGTGAACTGCTGTTTGAATTTTCCCCCTTCACAACGGGAATAGATGTACTGTAGTAGTGCTATCAAGAAAATATGTACTTGTCGCCGGGTGCCGTGGCTCACGCCTGTAATCCCAGAACTTTGGGAGGCCGAGGCGGGTGGATCACGAGGTCAGAAGATCGGGACCATCCTGGCTAACACAATGAAACCCCATCTCTACTAAAAATACAAAAAATTAGCCGGGCGTGGTGGCGGGCGCCTGTAGTCCCAGCTACTGGGGGGGCTGAGGCAGGAGAATGGCGTGAACCCGGGAGATGGAGCTTGCAGTGAGCTGAGATTGTGCCACTGCACTCCAGCCTGGGCGACAGAGTGAGACTCCGTCTCTAAATAAATAAATAAATACTAAAAAAAAAAAAAAAAAAGAAAAGAAAATATGTACTTGTCTCTGGACCCCTGACATCCAGAAACCAGCAGGAACTTAATGACTGCCAGAAAGTAAGGAAATATGTGCTGCCTTTCCTTTGGTTTGTCTGTAGTCCTGGTAGCTAAAGATAAACCAGTATTAATTTTTTTCAGTCAAATCGATTATGTTCTCTGGAGAGTAAACAAGTAGATTGACAAATTTTTTTACTTTTAAACTGCCCAATGTAGCTGGGCATGATGGTGCATGTCTGTAGTCCTAGCTACTTGGGAGGCCGAGGTGGGAAGATTGCTTGAGCCTAGGAGTTGGAGGTTACAGTGACCTATGATCCTGCACCTCACTCCAGTTTGGGTGAGAGCAAGACCCTGTCTCAAAAAACAAACCAACAATTAAACTGCCCCATGTAGTGGGGCCCTTGAACATATTGAATCAGGTAGATGCATGTTTTGCTTTAATCTCATGGAGTTATTCTCTACTTTTGACCAGAGAGCACATTCCTCTAAGAAAGATGTCAGGCCTCTGCTACGACCTCAGGTCCTCAGACCGACCAGCCCAAAAAACATCTCACCAATTTCAAATCCAGTAAGCGGCCTCTTTTTACTGTCTTCTCCAACCTCCCTCGCTATCCCTCAACCTCTTTCTTTCAATCTTGGCGCCACACTTCAATTTCTCCCTTCTCTTAATTTCAATTCCTTTCATTTTCTGGTAGAGACAAAGGAGACACGTTTTATCCGTGGACCCAAAACTCTGGCGCCAGTCACGGACTAAGGAAGGCAGCCTTCCCTTCGTGTTTAATCATTGCAGGGACACACCTCTCTGATTATTCACCCAGGTTTCAGAGGTGTCAGACCACGCAGGGACGACACCTCCCCTCCTTGCCAGGCCAAGCTAGATCCCAATTCTTCCTCAGCCTCTGCTCCTCCACCCTATAATCCTTTTATCATCTCCCCTCCTCACACCCGGTCCGGCTTACAGTTTCGTTCCGTAACTAGCCCTCCCCCTCCTGACCAGCAATTTACTCTTAAAAAGTCAGCTGGAGCCAAAGGCATAGTCAAGGTTAATGCTCCTTTTTCTTTATCCCAAATCAGATAGCGTTTAGGCTCTTTTTCATCAAATATAAAAATCCAGCCCAGTTCATGGCTCGTTTGGCATCAACCCTAAGACACTTTACAGCCCTAGACTCTAAAAGGTCAAAAGGCCGTCTTATTCTCAGTATACATTTTATTACCCAAATCTGCTCCCGACATTAAATAAAACTCCAAAAATTAAATTCTGGCCCTCAAACCCCACAACAGGACTTAATTAACCTTGCCTTCAAGGTGTACAATAATAGAGGCGGCTAAGTAGCAACATATTTCGGAGTTGCAATTCCTTGCCTCCACTGTGAGACAAACCCCAGCCACATCTCCAGCTCACAAGAACTTCCAAACGCCTAAACCACAGTGGCCAGGTGTTCCTCCAGAACCACCTCCCCCAGGAGCTTGCTACAAGTGCCAGAAATCTGGCCACCAGGCCAAGGAATGCCTGCAGTCCAGGATTCCTCCTAAGCCACGTCCCATCTGTGCAGGACCCCAATGGAAATCAGACTGTTCAACTCACCTGGCAGCCACTCCCAGAGCCCCTGGAACTCTGGCCCAAGGCTCTCTGACTCCTTCCCAGATCTTCTTGGCTTCTCTGACTCCTTCCCAGATCTTCTCGGCTTAGCGGCTGAAGACTGATGCCGCCCGATCGCCTTGGAAGCCCCGTAGACCATCACAGATGCTAGCTTTAAGTAACTCTCACAGTGGAGGGTAAGTCCGTCCCCTTCTTAATCAATATGGAGGCTACCCACTCCACATTACCTTCTTCTCAAGGGCCTGTTTCCCTTGCCTCCGTAACTGTTGTAGGTATTGACGGCCAGGCTTCTAAACCTTTAAAACTCCCCAACTCTGGTACAATTTAGACAATACTCTTTTAAGCACTCCTTTTAGTTTTCCCCACCTGCCCAGTTCCCTTATTAGGCTGAGACACTTTAACTAAATTATCTGCTTCCCTGACTATTCCTGGACTACAGCCGCATCTCATTGACGCCCTTCTTCCCAATCCAAAGCCTCCTTTGCATCCTCCTCTTGTATCCCCCACCTTAACCCCCAAGTATAGGATACCTCTACTCCCTCCTTGGTGACCGATCATTCCCCTTACCATCTCATTAAAACCTAATCACCCTTACCCTGCTCAACGCCAATATCCCAACCTGCAGCGTGCTTTAAAAAGATTAAAGCCTGTTATCACTTGCCTGCTACAGCATGGCCTTTTAAAGCCTATAAACTCTCCTTACAAATCCCCCATTTTACCTGTCCTAGAACCAGACAAGCCTTACAGGTTAGTTCAGGATCTTCGCCTTATCAACCAAATTGTTTTGCCTATCCACCCTGTGGTGCCAAACCCATATACTCTCCTATCCTCAATACCTCCCTCCACAACCCATTATTCTGTTCTGGATCTCAAACATGCTTTCTTTACTATTCCTTTGCGCGCTTAATCCCAGCCTCTCTTCGCTTTCACTTAGACTAACCCTGACACCCATCAAGCTCAGCAAATTACCTGGGCTGTACTGCCGCAAAGCTTCATAGACAACCCCCCTTACTTCAGTCAAGCTCAAATTTCTTCCTCATCTGTTACCTATCTCAGCATAATTCTCATAAAAACACACGTGCTCTCCCTGCTGATCATGTCCGACCAATCTCTCAACCCCCAGCACCTTCTACAAAACAACAACTCCTTTCCTTCCTAGGCATGGTTACTGCGGTCAGAATTCTTACACAAGAGCCAGGACCACAGCCTGTAGCCTTTCTGTCCAAACAACTTGACCTTACCGTTTTAGCCTACCCCTCATGTCTGCGTGCAGCAGCTGCCACTGCTTTAATACTTTTAGAGGCCCTAAAAATCACAAACTATGCTCAACTCACTCTCTACAGTTCTCATAACTTCCAAAATCTATTTTCTTCCTCATACCTGACGCATATACTTTCTGCTTCCCAGCTCCTTCAGCTGTACTCACTCTTTGTTAAGTCCCACAATTACCATTGTTCCTGGCACAGACTTCAATCCAGCCTCCCACATTATTCCAGATACCACACCTGACCCTCATGACTGCATCTCTCTGATCCACCTGACGTTCACCCCATTTCCCCATATTTCCTTCTTTCCTGTTCCTCACCCTGATCACACTTAGTTTATTGATGGCAGTTCCACCAGGTCTAATCGCCACACACCAGCAAAGGCAGGCTATGCTATAGTACAAGCCACTAGCTTGCCTCTTAAAACCTCTCATTTCCTTTCCATCGTGGAAATCTATCCTCAAAGAAATAACTTCTCAGTGTTCCATCTGCTATTCTACTACTTCTCAAGGATTATTCAGGCCCCCTCCCTTCCCTACACATCAAGCTCGAGGATTTGCCCCCACCCAGGACTGGCAAATTAGCTTTATTCAACATGCCCTGAGTCAGATAACTAAAATACCTCTTAGTCTAAGTAGACACTTTCACTGGATAGGTAGAGGCCTTTCCTACAGGGTCTGAGAAGGCCACCGCAGTCATTTCTTCCCTTCTGTCAGACATAATTCCTCAGTTTAGCCTTCCCACCTCTATACAGTCTGATAACAGACCAGCCTTTACTAGTCAAATCACCCAAGCAGTTTTTCAGGCACTCAGTATTCAGTGAAACCTTTATATCCCTTACAGTCCTCAGTCTTCAAGAAAAGTAGAACGGACTAATAGTCTTTTAAAAACACACCTCACCAAGCTCAGCCACCAACTTAAAAAAGACTGGACAATACTTTTACCTCTTTCTCTTCTCAGAATTCAGGCCTGTCCTCAGAATGCTACAAGGTACAGCCCACTTGAGCTCCTGTATGGACGCTCCTTTTTATTAGGCCCCAGTCTCATTCCAGACACCAGACCAACTTGGACTGTGCCCCAAAAAAACTTGTCATCCCTACTATCTTCTGTCTAGTCATACTCCTATTCACTGTTCTCAACTACTCATACATGCCCTGCTCTTGTTTACACTGCCGGTTTACAGTGTTTCTCCAAGTCATCACAGCTGATATCTCCTGGTGCTATCCCCAAACTGCCACTCTTAACTCTTAAAGTAAATAAATAATCTTTGCTGGCAAGGCTATGCTGAACCTCCTTAGGCACTCTCTAATTAGATGTCCTAGGTCCTCCCAATTCTTAGACCTTTAATACTTGTTTTTCTCCTTCTCTTATTCCGTTTAGTTTTTCAATTCATACAAAACCATATCCAGGCCATCACCAATAATTCTAAATGACAAATGTTTCTTCTAACAACCCCACAATATCACCCTTTACCACAAAATCTTCCTTCAGCTTAATCTCTCCCACTCTACGTTCCCCCGCCGCCCCTAATCCCGCTTGAAGCAGCCCTGAGAAACATCGCCCATTATCTCTCCATACCATCCCCCAAAATTTTCACCGTCCCAACACTTTACCACTATTTCGTTTTATTTTTCTTATTAATATAAGAAGACAGGAATGTCAGGCCTCTGAGCCCAAGCTAAGCCATCATATACCATGTGACCTGCACGTACACATCCAGATGGCTGGTTCCTGCCTTAACTGATGACATTCCACCACAAAAGAAGTGAAAACGGCCTGTTCCTGCCTTAACTGATGACATTGTCTTGTGAAATTCCTTCTCCTGGCTCATCCTGGCCCAAAAGCTCCCCTACTAAGCACCTTGTGACCCCCACTCCTGCCCACCAGAGAACCCCCCTTTGACTGTAATTTTCCTTTACCTACTCAAATCTTATAAAACGGCCCCAACCCTATCTCCCTTTGCTGACTCTCTTTTTGGACTCAGCCCGCCTGCACCCAGGTGATTAAAAGCTTTATTGCTCACACAAAGCCTGTTTGGTGGTCTCTTCACACGGACACTCATGAAAGTAGACTTACTCAAGAAAGTCCCGAGGTTAGGGAGAGAGATGGCAGCCATCCAGCTGAGCCACCTCAACTTTTATGTTTGAATCTGATGGCTTGTGCTTTCTTAGCCAATGATACAGGGAGATCCAGGTGTCTGGACCACCTGGAGTAGTGATGGTGAGGCTATCTTCTACTCCTTCTCTCATATGTGGAGAGGAAAGAACTAAGTGTTAAATGTAAAAATGATCTCAATCCAAGAGAGTGGGATAATATAACAGCATGATTAAAAATAAAAAGATAAGACTGGTTTATAACTTAACTGAATTTTCTCCAGGATTTTTTTAACTACTTAAATACACAACTCAGAAGGGTTCCTACAGTCTGGTATATTGTCAGGGAACCAAGCCAGTAACTCAGGCCTCCCTCAGAGGCTACAAAGGCAGAAATGGCAGTACCTCCAGCCAACAGGCCCGAAAATGCTGAGGTCCCAGTGTGTATAATAGATAGGTAAATTATTTTACTCCCTGCAAGGCTAAGTAGAGAGCTTACCCCTTTCTTCCCTTTCAACACAGACCCCTCAAAATGCTCTTTAGTAGTTTATTTTTATTCAAAAATAAATTCTTTCATTTTAAAAAGTAATGCTTATTATACAAAATATAATGGAGTAAATTATTAACAATTGAAGAGCATCTATAATTATATTGTTTGGTAAAGATATTCTTACTTGATAGTAATATTATTTGGTAGATATCCTTCCTAATTTCAATATGTTTGTTTCCAAAAATGAGATTACTCTCTACCATTTTATAAGACTTTTTTCTTTAATAAAATATTATAGATAAAATTTGTATCAAATACAGATTTCATAATAAAAATCAACATTTATTGGCCATTTACTCTGTGCAGACATCATGCTAAGTGCTTCACAGGCACATGCATTATGTAAATTATTTCATCCTTCTACCTAGGACTATTTTTCAGACTTTGACCCTGGGAGGTAGAGCTCCAGTAGAAAATGGTGGTCTTCCCAAGCTAGAAGACAGAGCAGAGTTCAACACAGTTGAAGTGACTGGAATTTGTGGGCAAGAGAGAAAGGAGTGATGTGATGGAGGGAGACAGCTGTCTGCATGGAGGCTCTCCATAAATCTTTGGTATAGAGCTGGGTTGCACATGTGTAGAACAAATCGCCACGAGAACTAGGAGAAAGTGGCTACTGTAGGAGTGAGTGGTGAACAAAGATACCTAAAATTACACTGGATTAGATGATGTTGTACATGTTATAGTCTAGCCAGAGTGCAGAGAGTTCATTGAGCGCCTCAGGCATTTGTTTAAGACAACAAATACCTTGAAAATAAAAGTCAAGCTTTAAAATAAGAGCCACATGCTAGGACAAGAGACAAAACCGAAAGAGACTGACTCCAACATGGAATGACACCAAGCCTGAAAGGATCTGGAGGACCTTCTAGCAATTTAAATAAATGCCCTTTAAAACAAGACATAAAATCCAGCTTCCTTGCAATATGTCATCAATATTATGCATATAATCAAAGATAACTAGACATGGGAAAAAAAAGAGAAGAAAAGAAAATATGACTCATAAACAAACAGAGGGAAGCAGTAAATAAAGGCCCAACTTTATATAACCAAGATGTTTGCAATAGAAGACAAAGACTCTAAAAGTACCTGTTACAGATATATTTAGGGCTTAAAGGAAAACACGGATATAGTGGATGACATAGGGGAACTACCAGCAAAGAGCTAGAAATTGTATTTGTTTTCACCATATACTTATTTTATCTGTTCTGGAACTTCATATAAATTGAATTATATAGTATATACTCTTTTGTATCCAGATTTTTCTCTTTGCAAAATGCCTGTAGCATTCATTTATGTTGCTGTATGATCAGTAGGCTCTTTTTATTGCAGAATAAACAAAATGAAGTAGTTAGGTGCTTACATTTAAATGTAGACTCACAGCGATTATAATAGCTACAAATGTAGACTGATACAAAAGTGTTTTTTCACAGTCCATTAGCTCAAGCGGTGTAGTAAATTATAACAGTGCTTTCCAAATGGGTGAATATTGTTTAATAAAAATCTAAACAAAATAGATGTAATAAAAATTTCAATTTATAGAGTTGCATCTCTAGAAACTTTCTGTGTATATTAAAACCATGTTTAAAACACATTTTTCTATGCAGAATGAACTAAAGTTATGGAAGTACATAATGATTCATAAATTTGTCAGCTATTTCAGTGTCTGGTGGGACATTTGAAAGCTGTACAGGATGTGAGACAATCTGCATTGGTCAGTATTCTCTCATGCTTTATAGGACATCCAGAATTTTTGGACACCATTTGCTAAATGCTAGTGATATTGTGAGACAAAAAATCCTTCCCCAAATTTCTGAAATGCTCTTTAGGGAGGAGTAATATTCCTACTGATAAGAGCTACTCTATGCCTTCTCATCGCAATCTTACCAACTGTCATATTTATGTATTTTCTTTTTGAAAATGTTGAAAAGAGATGAGAAAACCAGCCCCAGACTGGGAAAAAAAATTTTGCAAAAGACATATCTGATAAAGAACTGTTATCTAAAATACAAAATAACTGAAAACCCAACAAGAAAATGAACAACCTGATTTTAAAATGGACAAACGATCTGAATAGACACCTCATCAAAGAATATATGCAAATAGAAAATAAGCATATGAAAAGATGCTCAACATTACATGTCATTAGGAAATTTCAAATTAAAACAACATTGAGATATAACTGCACACCTATTAGAATGGCCAAAATCTAAAACACTAATAACACCAAATGCTGGCAAAGATATGGAGCAACAGAAACTCTCATTCATTGCTGGTGGGAATGCAACATGGTACCTCCATGTTGGAAGATCATTTGGCAGTTTCTTACAAAACTAAACATATTTTTAATGTACAATTCAAGACTCATGTTCCTTGATATTTACCCAAATGAGTTGAAAACTTGTTCACATAAATGTGCACACAGATGTTTATAGCAGCTTTATTAATAACTGCAAAATATTGGAAGCAACCAAGATGCCATCAGTAAATAAGCAGATAAATAAGCTATGGTACATCCAGACAATGGAATATTAGCACTAAAAGGAAATGAGCTATTTAGCCATGAAAAGCTATGGAGAAACCTAAAATGCATATTACTAAGCGAAAAAAGCCAATCTGAAAAGGCTTCCTACGGTATGATTCCAACTATATGACATTCTGGAAAAGGCAAAACCATGGAGACCGTAACAGTAGCAGTGGTTTCAAGAGACTGGGAGAAGAAAGGGATGAATGGATGGAGCACAGAGGAATTTTAGAGCAATAAAACTCTTCTACATATTTCTATAATTATAAATACATGTTATGACATTTGTCAAAACCCATAGAATGTACAACACGAAGAGTGAATGAACCCTAATGTAAACTATGGACTTTGGGTGATAGCAATGTGTCATTGTAGGTTTATTGATTATAACAAATGTACCTCTCTGGTGGGGGATATTGGTAACAGGTGAGGTTTTGCTTGTGTTGGGGCAAAGAATAAATGGGAAATCTCTGTACTTTCACTCAATTTTGCTGTGAACCTAAAGATGCTCTGAAAAATAAAGCCTACTAAAAAAAAGTTGAAAAGATGCCATGTTTGAAGAATGCTGTCCACTAAGCACAATCTCTTCTTCCTTATAGCTACTGTTCTTGGCAGAGCTACTTGGATTAACAATGGTGCCTGGCAGAGTAACACAGAGACCATAGGAATAGACATTTTCTTGAGTACATGTGGAAGACCAACTGGGAACTCCAAAATATTTTGTGATGGATGTTAAGGTGGGTTTCTCAGGGAGAACCCAGAACTACGTCATCAAGTCCATTGAAATTAGTGATAAGAGGCTGGCCTAGATAATGACTTTGGGGTTGAAAAGGAACAGATTGGGGAAAAGGGACTTGATGATTGGCAGGTTTTAGTTGTCAAGGGCAGGAAGGAAAAGGAAAACATTTATTTTTCACTCTGTACCCTTTTGTACCTTTTCAAATTCATATCGTGTACATATTATCTATTTTTAAAGTAATTTTTAAAATGTAAGATGGGGAAGCAGAGAAAGTAGTCAAAGAGGTTAGGAAGGAATGATCAGAGTGGTTAGCGGAAAACCAAGAAAGAGTAAAAACATGAACACCAGGACAAGAACATTTCCAAAAGGGAAGTGGGGCCAACTATGATGTGATAATTAATATTGAGTTTCAACTTGATTGGATTGAAGGATACAAAGTATTGATCTTGGGTGTGTCTTGAGGGTGTTGCCACAGGAGATTAACATTTGAGTCAGTGGGCTAGGAAAGGCAGACACACCCCTAATCTGGGTGGGCACAATCGAATCAGCTGCCAGCACTGCTAGAATCTAAGCAGGCAGAAACATGTGAAAACAGAGACTGGCTTAGCCTGCCAGCCTACATCTTTCTCCTGTGCTGGATGCTTCCTGCCCTTGAACACTGGAGTCCAAGTTCTTCAATTTTGGAACTTGGACTGGCTCTCCTTGCTCCTCAGCCTGCAGACAGCCTATTGTGGGAACCCTGACTAATACACGTGGTTTATGTTTGGCAAGGTCAAGTAAGATGGCTGAGAAGTATTCACTGGATTTAGGTCATTTGTGACCTATTCTGTGACTAATTCTGTGAAGCAATGAGTGTAGGAGCCAGATAAAAATGGAATGAGAAAGGAATCTGAGTTGAAATAAAGACAATATGTGAATAACATTTTCAAATATTATTTGAGGGCTTTTTCCACTGTATTTCCTTGTACGCACAGGACTTCCTTTACCTTTAGGATTTTCTGTACTAAAGGAGGCTGTGCCAAAAACAGAGAGGTCTTTGGTTTGTTAAAATTTTGGCCCTGCTTTAAATAGGAAGGTTTTAAATCAAGATAATAAGTCCAAGAGAACACACAAAGCTGTAAAAGCCAGAATGACTATCCTAAAGACTAGATAAATATGTTTTCAGGTTGGATGAGAGGAGCTTAGAAAATCAAGGAGAGGCCGGGTGCGGTGGCTCACACCTGTAATCCCAGCACTTAGGGAGGCCGAGGCAGGCAGATCACGTGGTCAGGAGATTGACACCATCCTGGCCAACATGGTGAAACCCCATCTCTACTAAAATACAAAAAATTAGCCGGGCCTGGTGGTGCATGCCTGTAGTCCCAGCTACTTGGGAGGCTGAGGCAGGAGAATCACTTGAACCCTGGAGGCGGAGATTGCGGTGAGCCAAGATCGCACCACTGCACTCCGGCCTGGTGACAGAGTGAGACTCCATCTCAAAAAAAAAAAAAATCAAGGAGAATTTAGATGTAAATAGAGCTCTGAGAAGTGTCCTTGTATCCTGTGTATCCCTGCCCACCCTTGGTGACTGGCCTAGCTATAGAATGATGGGGCAATAAAGGCTGCATGAGCCACTAATAAGTTTGGGGCACCTGAAAGCAAAGAGGACCTGCGTCTTGATTCCCATGTAGACCTCAGGAAGGCAGCAGCAAGACCTCAGAGTAGAAAACTGTTGCTTGGTTTGTTTTGTGCACAATTTTCCATTTTGTTTTTTACTGCAACCTATAAGAAGGGGTTCATTTTACACTGAGACCTAGCACACACTCATATACAACTGAAATGTTTCGTGAACCCATTCTTATTTCTACTAAGTGTATTAGTTATTATTGTTGTGTAACAAGCTAGCTCCAAATTTAGCAGCTTAAAACAATTATCCTCTCAAAGCTTCTGTGAGTCAGAAACTTGGAGCAGATTAGCTGGGTAGTTCTGATACAGGTCTCTCAGGGGGTTGTAATTAAGATGTCAGCTGGAGCTGCTTCCAAGATGGCTCACTCATATGGGTGTTGGCAAGAGGCCTCAGTACCTCACCATGTGGGCTCCTCCATAGGGCTGCTTGAGTGTCCTCACAACATGGCAGTTGGGTTTCCCCAGAATAACTGACTTGAGAAAGAGCAATGAGAAAGCCACAGTCAATACCTTTTTTTGTCCTAATATTTAAGACATCTTCACTTCTGCCACATTCTGTTCATCAAAAGTGATCATCATAACACTATTTAGGGGAAGGAAAATGCACTCTGCTAAAAACTTTCAGTTTTTCAATCTCCCTAACACTTGAGGATAGCCATGTGATATAGTTCTGGCAATAAGATGTAATCAGACATCTCTGGGAAGGTCATGTCTTCCTGATTAGAAAGACAAAACTTTTTGGAAAAAGCCCTTATTCTCCCTTTTCTCTTTCTTGGAATGGAGAGTGGAGACCTGGAAGTGCAAGTCATCTTGCAAACATATGTCAATATGAAACCTGCAAGTCCAGGATGGAGGCCTGGAAAGCTGCATCTCTGATGGTATTCTTGGGCTGCTCTTTCCTTGACTTGTTGACACAAATAACCCCTAATGAGTTAAAAAAAAACAACAAACAAAAGTAGTGAGTCACTAAGTACAGCTCACACTTAAGGGGAAAGAAAATTAGTTTATATCATTTGAAGGGAGAAGTATCAAAGAATTTTACAACTATCAAACTATGTGTGGTGAAATCTGATATGTTTTATTCTGTCCTACGCCACTTCAGTTTGTTTTAAATGTTGGTTATAACCCATTACGCTAAATTCATGACTTACCATTGGTTGTAACCCACGATGTAAATAGTCTAAAATCACTCTATTGGCAAAACTGCAGGGAAACAATCACACTCATAACTTGATGGTGGAAGTGAAAAATCGTACAACCTATAGAGAAGGTAATGTGGCAATTTGTATTAAATTATAAATGTACTTAGCCTTTGAACCATCACTCCTACCTATAATATTCTACCATATAGAAATACCTGCACACATACAAAATGTTTTATGTGTAAGTTGCTTCATTGCAGTATTATTTTCCAATAGTATAAAATTAGAGATAACCTGTCAATCAAAAGAAGGTGGCTACATTTTGATATTATCAAATATTTTGATATTTTGATATATCCATACAGTGGAATACCATGAAGCTATTTAGAAAAAGAATAACTTTGAATATATCATAGGGAACAATTTCCAGGATATATTGTTAAATGAAAAAAATCAATGTGTATATAGTATGCTAACTTTTCTGTACAAGAGGGAGAAAATTAAGAAAATATGCCTTTCCTTACTTTTACATAAAGAAACAAAAAATTAATAAACAGTGGTTGCCTGAGAAAGGTGAGGACAAGGTGAATAGGGCAGATGTAGGCAAGAGACTTTTAATGTGTATTTGTTGAAAGATAGTTTGGCTAAATATAGGATTCTTGGTTGACAGTTTTTTCTTTTAGCACTTTGAATATGTTATCCCTCTACCTTCCGGCCTCCATTGTTTCTGATAAGTCAGTTGTTAATCTTACTGGGATTCCCTTGTGTGTGACAGGTTGTTTTTCTCTTGCTGCTTTCAAGGATTTTCCTTTGTCTTTGTCTCTCAGCATTTTTACTATTTTACTATTTACTATCTGTGTGTGTCTCTTTGTGTTTGTCTTACTTAGGAGTTTCTTCAGTTTCTTGGATGTGTGTAGATTAATTTTTTTAAGACTCAAATTTGGGAAGTTTTCAACCATTATTTCTTCAAATACTTTTTCTGCTCTTTTTTCTCTTCTTTTTTTGGTAGTCACATTACACATATATTAATGCACTTAATGGTCTCCCACAGGTCTTTGAGGCTGTATTCATTTTTTCTGCATTATTTTTCTCTGTTGTTCAGCTTACATAATCTCTATTGAACTATATTCAAGTTTGCTAATTCTTTCTTCTGCCAGTTCAAATTTACTGTTGAGCCCCTGTAGTTAAGTTTTAATTTTAGTAATTGTAATTTTCAACTCAAGCATTTCCATGTTTCTTTTTTTATAAATTCTATCTCTTTATTAATCTCTATTGATGAGACATTTTCAACATGCCTTCTTTTACTTAAGCATAGTTTAAAAATTATTTGAACATATTCATAATGTCTACTTTAAAGAGTTTGTTAAATTTGCCATCTGATCCCTCTCATGGAGAGTTTCTTCTGTTGCCTGCTTTTTTTTCCTGGGTACGGTTCATATTTTCCTATTTCTGTGCATGTCTCATATATTTATTGCTCTTGTTGTTGTAAACTGGATGCTTTCAATAGAGAGAACCAGGGAAAAAGACAGCTAAGAAAAACCCTCATGGAACAACTCTGTAGCAGCTCCAGATACACGTTTCTACTACTCCTTCTGTGAGGCTTATTACTATTGTTTGTTTGTTTATTTGTTTAGTTACTGGACTATTTTGGGGTAGTCTTTTTGCTCTGTGGTGTGAAGCTTCTGGTGGTGTTCTTCAGAGGACACAGCCTTGGGTATGCCTACAGTCACCCTTGGAGAACAATAGCTTTAGTAGGGCTCTGTTTGACTGCCTCTTTTCCTGATCACTTCTAGATGTTAGGTGTCACTAATTATTTGCTAATTGCCCTATTGTTTTTGACAATGCTCTTGGGCATAAATTGCTCCACAGTCTGATCCAATTGCAGGGGCAGTTTTTGAGGTTAGTTTAGACCTCAGGAGAGCTCTTTTTAGCTGTCTCTTCTGGGTTCTCTCTGGTAAACTAGCTGCCCTGTGGTTTAGCTTCTATCTCTCATGAAGTTTTTAGCCTCCTCTTAATTGTTTACCACCAAAACTCCATTGTTTTTGAGAATGCCTTAGACTTGAACTTCTCCACACTTTGTTTCAAATAAAATTAGTTCCTTTGGAGAGAGCTTCAGGGCTGTCTAAAGGCCTGTCTCTACTCCTATGCGAACTCTCTGAGACATGGCTCTGAATTGTGGGGGCAGGGATGGTGGCCTGCTTCTTTTGGAATGGTTGCTCCAAAAGTAGGGCATTGGGTGGGGGGGTTCATAACATCTGGTCTTCTCAGCTTGCCCGTTCAAGCATGAAATCTCAGTCCTACAAATGAGCTTGTTTGAGAATAATCATGGCCCCAGTATTCCCAGCATGCCACACCCTAGTAAAGCATTTGCTCTATGAATGGGAGGTAGGTAGAAGAAGACAACCCCCAGCTTCTTGGCTGCACTCACCTGGAATTTAACCTTTGCAACATGTAGCCTGAGAGATGTGAAGTTCTTGTAACCTGCCCCTCTGAGGAAAATAAGATAGTCCTGGGATCTCGGAGAAGAAAGAGCCATGTGCTTTTTCCACCTGGAATGGAGTCTCTGTCATGCTGAGCTGGGAATAGGGAGAGAGTGGGTTATAAATCAAATGCCACAGACTCACTATTCTTACTGAGTTTTAGATTTTCTTAATTAATGTTTCTGCATTTTCTATATGCCATTAGGACAATTTAAAAAGATTTAAAATGGTTGTCTTGAAAATAATGTTCACCAGTTAAACTTGTTTAATTGGGATCCACAGAGCTCCTCATTGCCATTCCAGAAGTGGAACTTCCAAAGTATGTTTTATGTATAATTTTGATTTATTGACCCAACAATATCAAAACATATCAAAAACCAAAAATATTGGAAAAAATTCTTAAAAAGCAGCCTGTGACCTCCTAATAGGTGTGGTCACAGCCCTCTATGGTTCTGAGGTGGAGTAATAATTTTTTTGTGTTTAGAGAGGGGCTCTAAAGTGGTCATTTGAGCTGGGTCCTCTTGGACTGAAGTGGGAGATAATTACTCAGCAAGCCATGGATATAAGGCCAGAGACAGACTGATGGATGCCTTGGCAGATGCCAGGGTGAATGGATGACAACTGAGGACTTATGTTCACCAATGCACTGGCACTAATAAGCCCCTAGAACCTAGATGCTGTCATCTTAAGTTTTACCATCTGGCAGAGTAAGATGTTGAGTTGCAGAAAAATAATTACTTTCTTTCTTACACCACTAAAAGTGTAGACTAGAATTTAGATCAATTGTAAAAGTACAGGCAATTCTTTTGATGAGTTAGCTAAAGGAAAGGAACTGAGGGAGAGAAAAGGAGGGAAGAATGGGCATTTTTCCTCTCAAGTGAGAGATTACGGCATGCTTAAGTGCTCATGGCAGGGATATGGTTCAGTGGGAAGGCTAAGGATACCAGGGAACAGAAGTAATAGATAGCATGAGATTCCCAAGGCTGGAGAAGGGACCAGCTTCATTATAATTGGAAAACATAGCTGAGAACTAGTACAAATCTAGTTGAGTTAGGTTTGGTGGCTAAAATATGAAGAAATGTGTATCTGATGTCTTCTATTTTCTTGGAGAAGCAGCACCAAAAGTCATATTCCAAGAGGTTAGGGTTGGTTAAATGTTTGCATGGATAAAGTTTGAAGGGTCAAAAAAGGGGCAGAAGGAGTGAGTTGACAAGTGAAAATGCTCAGATTGCCAGCAGGGTGGAAGGGCCAGGCAAGGCTATGGAGTCTAAGTGCAGTGGGTACTAATCTGATTCTGTAATTTTTCTCCAATGCTGTTCAGATGCACTGGAGCAGGAATGGGGAAGATGGATGACTGGGGTCATCTTGAGTGGAATTATTCCAGAAAATAACTGCTCAGAAACCCTTATATGCTTTTTAGAAACACATATATATAGTTGTTTTCCAAATTAGAAACAAAAATCTTTTCTTTTAAATGTTATGCTGTTTTCCCATTCCTTTGATAGTTGTCTTTATCTTCCTTGTCACTTTTCCAGGGTTCTCATTGTCTTTTTCAAAAGACAGAGGCAGTACAGAATAGCAGTTAAGAGACGACTTCTGGCACCAATCTGCCAGGTGCAAATCTCATGTTTAGCACTTACTAGCTGTGTGATCACATAACACCTCTGTGCCTTGGTTTTCTCATCTGTAAAATGGGGAGAGTGATAATACAGTATGCCTTAATAAGATTGCTCTGAGGATTAAATGAGCTAATGCACCTACTATACAGAGTATTACTTGTTGCTGTTATTATTTCCACCCAAATGAAATACCCAAACTGGGAGCAGAATAAAACATGAAGGATTACATTCTGGCCTTTACATAGTACTCAATATTTAATCCATTCCAATATTTCATAGCTTTTCTTTCTCGTTTTCCCATGAAGTCACTATAATTGCATACTCATAGTAAGCACAACGAAAGGTCGAAGTCTTAGATTATTTTGAGAATCATTCTTTCTTCACCTTTTGAGGTATTGATTGTCTAAGTATTTACACTGGGTCAAATGGGTGGCTGACTTATACCTGCGTATCTCTTGCTTCCAAGTTCATCTCTTTTCTTTGATAGCCTCTTCTGAAAGTGCTACACCTTTTCTTTTCCACAAGTAAACTTGTTATGGCTGATTGTTGTTACAAAGCCACAAGGTCCTTGCTGAGGCTGTAAGCCCTCTGCAGATGAGTACTGTGGCTTCTACCTTTTAGTAGCCTTAGCTCCCAGGAAGTTGCCCTTATATAAAGTAGGAAACAAAAATGGTAGATGATGATCACGATGATGATAATGATGACAGTACCATAATTGATCATGATTGATTTCCTTACCTGTAGACTTCTGTGGGGATAGAGAGAAACAAACATGGAGTTCTGAGGCCAAACAGACTGCAGTTCAAATCCTAGTTCTACCACTAAATAGTTGGATAGCCTTGGATTAAAAACAAACAATTTAGAGCATTGTAAATTGTTCAGTAATTTATGAACAATTTTCTCTTTTTCCCCTCCAATTCTTGCCTACCATGACTCTCGGAGCCACTAACAGAATGGCCTCTTTCACAAGCCATGCCTTTCCTAAAACTTCCTGCCACCGAAAAGGTAGGGCTGGAATTCCTTTTCTTCCTTAAAGTCCTTCATGCCATCACCTTGTCACTTCCAATCTCTCAGATTTTCCCTTCACTCACCAGGTAGGTTTATTCTATATCACATTTATTTTTCAATGCCTTCCTTCAATTCTTCTTCTCAGGCAACACACTATTTTGCAACACGCTCACCTCCTTACTCTAAGATCTCTAACCCTCTGCCCTTTATTCACAACTGTACTTCTATTCTATGATGTCTTTTATAATTGAAGACTTTATCATTTCTCTCTAAATCCCAAAAGTGACTCGGTGCCAAAAAATACACAATTTTTTGCCTTTAACAGGCAAATACCGCAGACACCTGTTTTTGTTAGTCCAGCTGCATGAAGTCTGTATATGCTTTATAAAATAAGGGCTAGAGGGGAGGGATTATCTCATCTACTTTGTACTACATTGAGTGTAGCAAAATATATACAATTTACAAACTTCTGATTTGTGATGATACCCTGAGAAGCAGAAAAAATTAAAACATCTTTAGCTCTGACATGACTCATATATTTCCACCTTTGATTACAAAATAATGACATGTACCCACCTGTCAAACAAAGAAATACTTAAAAACATATTTAAATACTTTACAGGAAGAAAATGCTGGCTATTTCACATTGAAATCTTCATACGACAGCTAATGTCTTTTCATATCTACTGTAAATAACTTGTTCAATTAAGGCTATGAAATACTGAAGAAAAGGGGCAGGATGGAGGAAAAGAAAGGGAAAAATAATATTTAAAAAAATTCTGAGTAAATGATTCTGTGTATAGTCGTATTTAACATTAGAAAGTTCACATACGCTTTTGAATTATTGTAAAACCATCTTTTCTGCTAAGATAGAAATTTAAAAAGCATCTTTGATTTGCATATTTCTAAAGATATTTTCAGTTTGCTTGAAGTTCTTCTCCAACTTTATGCCTGTGTTTTAATACCGTTACATATAGTCCCACACCTATTCTCCCTTTAATAAATACATTATCTTCGACAAGTCATAGCTATAAAGCAACCATCAGCTATTTTAAAAAATACAAAATATACCAAATTTCTAAATGTAGGAGGGTATGATCTATTTGGAAAAGTCTACGCTAATTCCAAGAGGCTGCTTCTCAAAATAGTTTTAGAATTTCTCTTTGGAATCGTTTTCAGTTAGCTAAAAGCCACGTAGGAAACCCAACCTTGTTGTTTTATAGAGGTCTCATTTTAAAAAATAATAAAAATTTAAATAAAGTGGCATCACTCACCTTATTCAATCAACTTGACTTCAAATTACATTTTTGGCTATATCCAAAAATCAAATTTACCTCAAAAGACAAAAATTTTCTACAATGAAAATATTTTTTTAAATGTGAAAGCATTCTGAGAGCAGCATTCCAAAATTTATCAGAAATAAAAGTAACAGGTTAGAGTAAGGATAAAACTTCAAAGTTTTCCAAGGAAGATCATTTTGGAGGTATGACGCGGGTGGAAGGAATGTTAATTTTTACATATAATCTTGGAAAACATTTAAAAGACACATTTCTTTATGTTCATACTTCTATTTGTCCTTCAGATGGTTGAATTTTATCTAATAATAACCAGCTTTTCAAAATCCTAAAATGATTTTAAATGGGTTATGAATTAAAAATTTTCCACAAAGGTTATTAGGGGGTGGGGTGAGGAGGTGCACCAATGTGTGTAAGGATAAGACTTTTCCACTTGCAATCTAAGCACCCAAAGCATGTCAGAGGTGCAAGCTCTAGAAGCTAAAGTTTTGTTGGATGGTAGCGATTTAGAGGGGCTTTCAAGCAGCTCTGAAGGTCTCCATTCATTCCTGAAATTCTGTGTAGTTGAACAATACTGGTTGCATTCAATGTTTTGTTTGTTTCACAGTGTGGTCCTATAATATGAGCTTTTCAGTTATAGTGAATGTTATTTTTGTCATTTTTGGCACTTACAGTTCACAATGCTTGGTTATGTGGTTTAAGATTGTTTTAATTTTTGCATTTTACATTCCTTTTGGCACTTTTGAAGAAGGGACATTGTCTTTTATGTTGTTTGGGGAAAGTGGTAAGCCTCCCCCGTCTCTAGCTTTAAATGTTTGGCTTTATGAAATCCACAACTCTCCCCCAGAATCTTCCATCATTAAATAATGCGAGTGGAAATTTGCCTTCATAAGCTGGCCATTCCAACCGTCTTAGAGGCTGGTATCCCCAGCTTCGGATTTAGGCTGTTTGGTCACTGCCGTCACCGGCTCTGGTGGTCCCTCTCGGCAGAAAAGTACAACTGGATTTTTGCGGGCCCACATGGCCACGTCCCCTGCCACTCCGCTGGCCGGGTTGGAAGAGGACATCCTGTTGCAGGCCCCCAGCCGGTTGGCATAGCGGTTTCGAAGGCGACTGCGGCTTCTGGCTTGCAGACCCGGGCCCTGGCTGGGCAGGAAAGCGTCCACATTCCTAGTCCGGTAGCCCTCCTCGCGGTTGCGCCCTAGGAGCATCGAAATGTTGGGATTGCGGATGGCGTAGATGACAGGGTTGATGGCCCCATTGGCCCAGGTCAGCCAGACGGCCACCACGCTGAGGAGCGAGGGGGCCTGCATGGTCTGGGCCTGCCGGGCGGCGGCCAGCAGCACCAGGAAGCAGTAGGGCCCCCAGCAGCAGATGACGAAGACGATCATGATGAGGACGGTGGTGGCCGTGCGCACCTCGCTGAAGAAGCGCAGCACGCGCGCGTAGGTGTTCACCGGCCGCACGCGCACGTCCGACAGGCGCACCGTCTTGCAGATGTGGTAGTGGCAGAAGCACATGAGCAGGAAGGGCAGCAGGTAGCAGGCCACCACCAGCCCCACGCTGAAGGCCGCGCCCAGCTGCGCGGGGTCCGGGGAGGTCCGGTAGAGGCAGCCGTGGAAGCTCTGCGCCGCCGCGAGTTCCCGGGGCGCCCCGAGCAGCTCCCAGGGCAAGGAGAAGCCCAGGGCCGTCAGCCAGGCGCCCGCCAGCAGCTGCAGCGCGCGGCGGCGGCCGATCTTCTCCCGCGGCGGCCGCACGATAGCGCAGTAACGGTCCAACGAGATGAGCGCCACGCTGAGCGTGGACACGATGCCGAAGCACGAGCTGAAGAAGCGGCTGGCGGCGCAGAAGCCGCGCCAGGGCCCCGCGGCGGCGGCAGGCGCCGAACCCCCGGGCGGAGTGAAGAGGTCCAGGAAGGCGGCGGGCAGGCAGAGCAGCGCCGTGAGCAGATCCGATAGGGACAGCGACAGGATGAAGGCGTTGGTGACGGTGCGGAGCTGCCGGTGCTTCACAATCACCCCCATCACCGCGCAGTTGCCAAGGCTAGACAGCAGGAAGATGAGCAGGAGGACGAGCGCCTGGGCCGCCACTGCAGCTCCGTGCGACAGCAGCGGCGCCGCCTCCGGGCCTAGCGGCCGCCTCACCGCCGCCCCCGCCTCCCGCGCTGCCCCGGACCCGCCAAGGCCGCCGCCACCGGGAGCGGCAGCTGTGCCGCCTCCGCTTGCGTCGCTCAGGTTCCCCAGCGCCGCGGTCGCCACGGTGCTGAAGGAGAGCACGGCCGCCGTGGCCGCGGAGGAAGTCCCGCCAGGTGGGCCGGCCGCGGAGGGGGCGCCGGAGTGCTGGCTGCCCAGTAAGGCCATGCTCGCTGGTGGGCGGGGCGGCTGCGGCTCCTCCATGGGGCCCAGTGGCGGCCGCGGATCTCCTCATCCCGCACCGGGGGCGGCGGCCGCTAGGTCGGAGTGGTGGCTCGGGGCCGGGGGCTAGCGGCCGCCGCGGGGAGCTGGGCTCGGCCGGAGGGGTGGCGGTCGCTGGGGACCTGGCGGAGCCTTTGACGTGGGTTCCAGCGTTGCCGAGGGAACCGCGTGTTTACGCAGGAGCGCGGGGCGGGACGGCAGCCCAGTACCCGCTGCAAAGCCGACCCGCGACACCGCCACTCCGGAGGTTACCGGCCCGGGTGTTCGGGTTTCCGAGAGTGCCAGGTCGACCTCCTGAGGGACCAATGTCCGGCCAGATAAAGTGCCGACTGGCATGCAAACAAATGACCAGATTCAACGAAAGTTCACTCTTGCTCTCTTTTGTAGGGTACAAATGTTCTACAGGCAGGCCTTTTGGGGAGTGGTGGGGGGGGCACTCTGCTTCCTGTGGGTGCTTTTGGTATATACAGGTAGGAAAGGAATCTAGAAAGTGAAGTGAAAGAAAAATCCAGAAGTCTACATCCAGACATCTTAAACTTGAGAAGCAGACTAATTTAAACCAGTAATTCTCAAACTTGAGCTAACAGAATTCACATAGAGGGCGTGTTAAAATACAAGTGACGAGGTCTGAACCCCAGCGTTTCGAATATGTCTGGGGAAGTACCCAAGAATTTGTATCTCTAACGGGTTCGCGGGTGGTGATGATGATGCTGGTCCCAGGACCACACTTACAGAAGCACTGATGTCAAGAGTTTCATAAAATGCAGATTCCCAGGCTGACAGAATTACTAAGGATGGGCCCATGACTCTAAACCCCGTAGGTGATTCTGATACAGGTGCTCTGAGGAGCTAGGATAGTTCCTTTAGATGTTACTTCATTTCCAAGGGCCTGGACCTCAGGCCCCTACTGGCTGATAAATGGGGGGAGAGGGATTGGTGCCTTGCCCTGCTAGCAGCCTTCATCTGTTCTCAGGAATGGGGTATGTTTTGAGTCTAAGGTGCTGCCAGCCTGGCAATCACCACAGATGCAGCTCCAGGTACCTGGCTGGGAGATACGGGGAAAAGAAAGGCAGGGCTACCCAGGGAAGTTGCATCTCAAGTTTCTGGGCATGGCCTCTAATGGGGAAAAGTGTGATAAACCCTCAGGTTAACTAACCCTGGGCTCTTCGCTAAAGCAGTGGTTCACAGAGTATGGACATTGGACCAGCAGCATCAACATCCCCTGGAAACCTTGAGAAATACAAATTATCAGGCCTACAGTGCATAGGATACCCCTGATCTACTGAAACTCCTGTGGTGGGGCCCAGGCACCTATGTTTTAACAAGCCCTCCCAGTGATTCTGATGCACAAATTTGAGAAACACTGCTCTAAAGAATGACTAGTATATTTGTAGATCTTAGAATCAATGGTATTAGTATTGGAGTGCTTATTTCATTCAGAAAAAATATCCTACAGGAAATTTACAGTATAAATAGAAGAACGTTTAAGGTGGCAAACCAAAACTGGGTTTGTCAGCCTAAGCGTCATGGACTTTTGGGCCAGATAATTCTTTATTGCAGGGGCCATCTATACATTGTATGATGTTCAGCAGCATCCCTAGTTCCTACCTACGAGATGCCAGTAGCACCTCTCCCAGCTGTGACAACTAAAACTGTCTTCAGATATTGCCAAATATCCTCTTGGGAGCAGTCAATGCCAGCTTAATCTAGACTGATTTTGTCTTAATTTTGTCAATCAAAGCAAAAATATAATTATCATACATTAATTTATTTGGCAAACACAATCTTCTCAGATTGTGCTTAGTTTTAGGAAACAACATATAAGATAGGAAACCCAGCCCAAATAAGCTTAAGCCACCGGCCAACACAGTATATTACAGTGTGCTAAATATTGTCTTAAAAATATGTGAGTGAAATTATTTGTCTTCCTGACAAAGACTTTGTACAAGAGGTGACATTAGACTTTTTAAAAAAAGAAGAAAGGGAAAGAACATTTGATGAATGTGCAAAGTCTGGAGGTTAGTGTTGAAGTGAGCAGTGTCTGAATTCTAGGATATTGGAGATGGGGAGTGAAGAAGGAAATAAATGATCAAAGTTTATTGGGGCTACCTTATGATGGGCCTTGTAGGCCATGCTCTGGAGACTGAACTTCATCAGGGGAGGAGGGGCTAATAGCATAAGGGAGGGCCGTGAGCAAGTGCATGGTTCAGAAGGACCAGAAGGACTGCACTCTTCTGCTTCCTTCCTTCCTCATCTTTCTCAGTGTCCTCTCCTCTGCCAGTTCATCCTCTTCCACCTGCCTTTACATGCTGGAGTTCATCAAAGCCCTGTTCTCAGCTCCTCTGGACTCCCCCCTCGGCCCCATCTCACTCACATCCAGGACTTCAAAGATAATCTATATATTCATTACTCAAATTATGTCTGTGGCCCCAACCTACATGTCCTGCTACTTGGCATCTCTCTCCTTGATGTGCCAGTGGCACATCAAATGGGTGCATGATCTTCTTCCTACTTCCCCGGTAAAACTTGGTCTTCAATACTCTGTATCTCAGAATATGGTAGAACCATCCTTCTAGCTTTTAAGCCAAAAACTTAAGAGTTTTCCTTGATGAATCCCTCCTCCTTACCACCAGTCCACATCCAATTCATCAACCAAGACCTATGGATTTTAGTTGCGGACTATCTTTGCATCCATTCATCTCCTCCATCCTGAATCTTGGCTCTCATCCTCTCTTTGGACTACTGTTGTCACTGTTGTCCTAACCGGTCTTCCCACATCCAGTTCCTACATTGTAGGCAGCTAGGCATAATGCTCTTAAAAAAATTCTTCATGCCACTTACTTATTTAAACTCTTCTAATTAGGCCAGTGTAGTGGCATGTGCCTGTAGTCCCAGGTACTTAGGAAGCTGAGGAGGGAGGATCGTATGAGCCCAGTAGTTACAGGCCAGCCTGGGCAACATAGTGAGACCATGTCTCTTTTAAAAAAAATCCTATTGGCTTTCCCCATTTATTTTAGAATAAGGACCCCAATCCTTAATATTTCCTACAAGGCACTGCATGATTTGACCCTGCTTCCTCTCTAGTCTCATTCGGTACCACTTTCCTTCTTTTTTCTGTGTTCCTGCCACACTTGGCTTTTATGACTTCCTTAAACCTTCCATCTTAGGGTGTTTGCACTTGCTATCCCCTCTGCCTGGAAAGCTCCATCTTCTTCTTCCCTTCCCTAGCATCCCCATCTTCGCGTTAAGGTTAGTCCATGGGGGAAGCCTCCCTTGACTGATACCGTCCTTTCCCCACGTATTGGGCCATGTTCCCCTGTTAGTTTCACAGCACTCTGTATTTTCCATTGTAGCACATAACCATGGTCTATAATTTTTTGCGTGATTATCTAAGCATTACCTGCCTCCCACTCTATACTATATGAGGACCTAAACCTTGCCTGTTTATTTTATGAGATCCCCAGCACTTAGCACTCTAACAAACTGCTATACAAATGCCAACATACAAAAAAATATTTTTTGAGTAACTGTAAGAGGAGAATCTGGAATTTAGGAGACCACTTAAGGAGAGGCATTCTAACAGTCCAGGTGAAAAGTGAGAGTCTGAAGTGGACCTTTGCAGTGAAGAAGGAGAGGTCATGTATAGATTAGGGTAGGTAGTATATGGATTAGGATTCTCTGGGCGTAAGTAACACATGAGGACACTGGTTCACATAAGCAATATAGGAATTTACTGGAAGGACAGGGGAAGTTCCATTTACAAAAGGACAGTCTAACAGCAGCTCCAAGAAGAAGAGAAGTCAGAGCAGTCCTGTGGGTAGGGAGAGCAGAAACTGATGGGAGTGATCTCTTTAGGCCACCATTGGAACAGATCAACTTCAGTTTTCAGACCTTATGTCATTTCTCAAGATCTCAGGTCTGGGGGAAAAAGTCTTGACTGGTGTACCAGTTTCCCAGCAGTCCTAGCAAGACTACATGCAGGTAGTTTCCCAAAGAAAAAGGAGAATGCTGTTGATAAAAGAAGGGGAGGCCAGGCGCGGTGGCTCATGCCTGTAATCCCAGCACTTTGGGAGGCCAAGGTGGGTGAATCACGAGATCAGGAGTTCAAGGCCAGCCTGGCCAACAGGGTGAAATCCCGTCTCTACTAAAAATACAAAAAAATTAGCTGAACGTAGTGGCAGGCACCTGTAATCCCAGCTACTCAGGAGGCTGAGGCAGGAGAATCGCTTGAACCCGGGAAGCAGAGGTTGCAGTGAGCCAAGATCATGCCAACTGCACTCTCGCCCTGGCGACAGAGTGAGACTCCATCTCATTAAAAAAAAAAAAAAAAAAAAAAAAAAAAAGGTTGGGGGGTAAAAGAAGGGGAAAGGCATGATGGCTGGAGAAATCCACAGCTATCCACCTCAGGAGCATCAACAAAGAGGACAAAGATTGTGAATAGGAGCCAAGGGTCAATCCCAAGTCCCTAGCTTGGTGGATGGTGGTGCCATTAATCAAGTTAGGAAATATGGGAAGAGGGCCACAGTCTAGGGGGAAAATGATCTTGGTTGTCCTCTAAGTACTGAATCTACAGTATGGCCTTAGACCTCAGAAATTAGGGATGTGGATGTGGTTAGTCTCTCTACAAGAGGGAAAACCATGGGAATGAATGTGACAATTTAAGGACAGAGTAGTCAGGGAAGAAAGAAAAGGACCATGGATGGAATGCTAGGGAGTAATAAAAGTTAAGAAGCAGATAAAGAAAGCAAAGCTAGGCAGGTGAATGATACAGTTAATGAGGCACAATGGTCTATTGAGAAATCAGCTGTTTTATGTTTTTGGTTTTCAGAAAAGAAGGTAAGGCAATTTTCCCAGCCTTTTATGAGGAACGTACTTGTGAGCGCTATCCTTTACCTCCAGGTGGAGAGCTAACAGGCTTTTCATGTGTTTCAGAGCTTAGAGGAGAAGTTGCCAGCCAGGATTACCCAAACAGGTAATTAAAATAGGCTCATCCAAAAGTTTGCTACTCACAGTACTCCAACCAGCAACATTAGCATCGCCTGAGAGCTTGTTAGAAATGCCCCACCCCGTGTCTGATGAATGAGAATCTAAGATTCCCAGGTGATTCACATGCACATTGAAGTATGAAGAACAGTGTCCTAAAGAGAGGTAGTATGCTATCTGTGTCTTTCAGGATTGAAGAGAAGGGTGACCTAACTCTTACTGAGTCTGGAGGACTTGGAGCAAAGTGCATTGTGAGTTCATGATGAAGAGGAGATGGGCCTGGGCCCATACAATTGCAGCACTTTGGCGGGCACTAATGGGGACTGGGTACTAACCTCATAAGCCTAACTGAGTGGTTCTGTGGGTGAGCTCAGCACCAAGGGACTAGAGTTGCCTGTTCTAAAATGGACCACACCTACCTGCAGGGAGCAAGCAGCGGGGGCCACCATGGATTGCATAAACCATAAGACCTGGCAATTAGGTAAAGTTTCTAATGAGTAATGAGGTAGAAGCCAGATTGCAGTAGTTGAATAGCAAAATGGAAGGTGAGAAAATGTTCCCAATGAGGAGACAGTAAGGAATCTAGAAGCTTAAATACCAAGGGAAGGAGTTAGCAGTGACAGCCATCCACAGAGGGAAGGAGGGACAGGGATGTTTGTTTCATTTTGTTTACAATTAGCACATTTAAATACTTAAGAGAAGGAACCAGTGTGGGGGTGGCTGGGGGCGGGGGGGGGGGGAGGGCAGGAGACTGGAGACACCTGAAAAAGGTTAATTGATGAGGCAAGACCCTCACTGAGATGGGAAGGGATAGATGTGAGCAGTATTGAGAAGGCAGAATCAACAGGGCTTTGTGACTGACTAGACATGTGGAGGTCAGAGGAGGAGGAGTTGATTTCCCTAATGTTTTTTAGTTCAAGGGAACCAGGGTGAAGTACAGCAGGAATGAACACTATTGCAAGAGTTCAGCTCTGGTTTGGATTGAAATTTAGGAAGACTTAGGTAATAGCTATTGTTTAATGTTCAAGAAATATAACATTCTTATTAAAGTACTATATCCTAGACCAAGTTATGGCCATCCTATCTTAGAACTGGAGGAAGTGTTGTAGGAAAATACTAGACTTGGAGTCGGAACTCCTAGATTTGCAGCCTCTAAATGACCTTAGGAGAGTTATTTAACATGTTCGACTTGCATCTCCCTTAAATGTATAAATGGGATAAAAACAGTGGCATACCACGGGTAGGGCAGGAATAGTTTCCCCTGGTGGAGTTGATAAAGGGGTGTGCTGTCTTTAGAGAATTTTAGAACAATAATAAAATCAACTAAAAGTCTTTTTAAAAATTATCACCAAATGCTGACAATTCTAAATGAGGTCAGTGAGTAAAACTACCCCCTACCCTGATGGCCATGGAATCATGCATTTCTGAATGTACTTCAGTATGTACCTGATAGATTATAAAATGCTACAAAATGTAATTTTTAAACAATTTCCTTCAAATTCATGTGACTTGTGAGATTTGGAGGGAAAATACTGGTTCTGTTTTTATTTTTTTTAAAAAGTATAGCAAATCTGATCTGCAAAAATTATTTGGTCATATTGTTAGTGATGTCATTTTTTTTGAGATAAGTGATTTATTTACCACAGAATTCTGTGGAGAATG
Organism: Homo sapiens; assembly: GCF_000001405.40. NCBI lineage: Eukaryota > Metazoa > Chordata > Mammalia > Primates > Hominidae > Homo > Homo sapiens. Next base: position 59,471,890 of record NC_000014.9, read on the forward strand.
AGTGAAAAACATCCTGTTTTTGTGTAACAGAGAAATAAACATTAACATGATAGCTTTCCTTTTGTTCAGGTAATTAAATCACAGACCTAATAATAAGGCCTATACAGACTCTCTGGGTGATAAAGCCTGTTAAATGAATTAATTACTTCAGTTTCTGGATGCTCCAAAATAAAATACTATTACCTATCTCACAAAAGACTCTACTGAATTCTCAGGGAGCGTCACATCTTAGAATATTTTAATGCTTCAGCTATTTTTAACAGGCTCATAGGAAGTATTAACTAGAAGGAATGCCAATAGTAAGCATTTATTTCATGTTTTAAATCTACCTAGCATGCAGCTGATAGAGTATGAGACTCATTCCATTGTAAGGATTCACTGCTTAATTTCTACTGTATATCTGTATTTTAATAATGCAATAAGCAACCCCTTTTATAAAAGCCCTGAAGATATAGCAAAAGTCTGATTACTAGTTGGTCTTCTCAGCATCAGTCTCTGATACTTCAGTACCTGTGGATGTAGAAGCTGGGCTTTGTGCCACAGAGAACACCCTGGCAGCAGCTATAACAAAGAAGCTGACTCCAGCCCCATCCTTCCCAGGCTGTTGTGCTAAGTGTTGAGTACTTTATAATAATCCATCTCCTTTACATGCTGCTTATAGAGAGGGCATTATTCTACTCAAAAAAATGGAAGACAAAAATAATGAGCTTGTAAAGTTCAGTTAAATTCCACATATTATTCGAAGAGCCTTTAATACAAAATATGATATTAATAGTAATTACTATAGAGCAATATTTTAAAAGTAACTACTGTTTTAATTTTACCTGATACGTTAATCACTAGAAAAAGACTCTGAATTTCTGGCATTTTGTATGCTAGACATAAGTGATATTTATACAAATACAGTTGCAAATACGAGGTATAATGACTTTATATTTAGCCACAGGGTAGTATTTTACAAAGAATGAGAGTTAGTTTATATGTATAATTTATTTGTTTTCATATAATTTAGAGAAAACAGTCCTTAAGGATAATGATTACTTTAAAAAGAAAGCCCTTAAAATCATGGAAGAAGTCACTTGAGAAGAAATCCATCCCTCAATGGGTCGTCATCTTCTATTATAAAGCTTGCTGTACCCGTGTAATGGGCTTGTCCTGATACTTCCACTATAACAGCTTTAAAATCACCACATTTCGCTTCCTGAAAAAAGATGAAGGGAGTATACTATCAAAATATTGCACTCGTATTATATCTGGCTTGAAAACTGTACTCTTGACTTTTATCATGTGAAGGAAAGGCCAAGGGTTAATCCTATGGGCCAGGGAAGGTTTTTAAGGAGAATGACATGGTCAGACTTGTGTTTTAGATAACTGTAGCTGTAAAGTGGGGATCAAACTGGAGAAGAGAGAGACAAGAGACCCAGAAACATGTTAAGAGATAACCTCAATTCACTGAATGATTGATTCCAGAGTCACTATGGGAGTTTTCAGTGAAGATGGAGAAGGGGAATATATACTAACATAGAGATAGTTTGGAGGTAGAACTGATAGGCCTCTTGATCAATGCATGTGGGAATTGAGGACTAGCAATAAGTTAATTATAACCATAGTTTCTAGCTTGGAAATGATGCTAGTGATGCCATTAAACACAATGGGGAGAGAAAGGAAGAGCACATTTGAGAAAGGAAGAAAGGAAGAACTTTTTAACAAGGTGAGTTTGAGACACCTCTGGGACAGTCATTTAGAGATGAGTATAATAAACAGTTGGGATTAAGAGCGTTATATTCAGAAAGACATACAGGGTAGGTAGTCAGGGCAGGGATAAACATTTGGGAGTCATCATCAGTAGATGGTTGAGAACTGAAGCCTAGGAAGTGGATGAAATTGCCCAGCAGCATCAAACTGTAGAAGAGATGAGAAGGAAGGTGGGGATGAAGTGACGGTAACATCTAAATGGAAGGACAGGGAAAGGAAGCTGCAGCAGGGGAAGAAACTGAGAAGGTACCATCAGGGAGCCTGGACGGGCCCACACAGACAGGGAGAGAGCATGATGCAAGTGAAGACATTCTGGCAAGCATGATCAATAACTATAAAACAAGTAACTGGAAACATTAACTTCAGCATATCTTTTTATGTTCTAATTTTTAAAAGAATAATAACTGAAGCTAAAGGTAAAATGTCAAATATTGTTAGGGTATAATACTTTATCTTTTTATATCTTTTTATAAAGCTGCTGTAGTGTGACAGGTCCTTCACCAGGTTATGTAAGGGTGTATGTCCACTGCTTGAACCCTGAAGGCTGGGGGGTAAGCCAAGGGCATGGTGCCCAGCCAAGAAGCAGGTATCCCTGAGAACCCAAATATCCCAGAGAATATCTGGGAACATACCAAGGAAAACAGTCCTATCACACATACACAGTAGGCAAAGAGCCAGAAAATTAGCTTAAAAGCAGCTTAGAGTCAGGAGGCAGGATGGGTCTCCACAGTTGTTCAGCTGCTTCCCAGGAGTGCCTTATATGGAAGTTCTAATAAATGCATCTACTTGCCAACCTGGACTTGTCTGAGTCATTCTTTGGTCTCTCGGCTCCCTCTCTATTTGGGGGGACATTGCAATCCCAGATTCTTCTCATAACAGCTCCTATAATATAAAGCCTCATTGACCTTTTGCTTTGTCTGACAGCAATATAATATAATGCTTAACAGCATGTGGTCTGTTCAGAGACCCACCTTCATGACCTGGATCTGCTACTCACTAACTAACCTCTGGTAAATTACCTAACTTCTCCAATTCTCCGTTTTATCATCTATTGAAAAACGATAATAACAGCACAGTACTGACCTTGTAGGATTCTTGTGAGGATTAAATGAGATGGCATGTATCAAGTGCTTAGCTTGGAAACTGATGCACAGTGAAGTATCCAATAAATGTATGTTGTTATTTTTATGTTCCATTTCAGATTTTGAAGACAGTATGTTCCAAATTTTTGCATACAACATAAATGGTTTCACATGTTTCAGATCACTATATGATGTAGAGATCCTTAAGGAAACTCTAATATTCAGAAACACCAAATCTTAAAAACAGCTATATTAGGATAGATTGTTTGCTATGTTAAAGGACTCTTTATGAGTAGAATAATTTACTGAATGTAGATCATTCTGTAGTAGATTTCATTTACTACTGAGATAAGATTCATTACTTAGCTGTTAGCACATTTAAAATTTTATTCCATTACAAAAATTTGATGTTCCACAACTTTTCAGGGCTTTCACATCCTATTATATCAAATAAAACACTATTATAAAATAAAACAAAAAAACAAAAAAAAACCCCAAATCCTAATGGTTCTCAAACCTTTTGGTCTTAGGACCCTTTTATACCTTAAGATTTGAGGACCCCAAAGAGTTTTTCTTTATATAAGTTATATCTATCAATATTTACTGTATTAGGAATTGGATATATCTGTTCATTACTTCATTTTAAAAATAACCCATTATACATTAACATATGAATAACACATTTTTGTGAAAATAACTGTTTGCCAAAACAAAAAAAATTATGAGAAAAGTGGCATTGTTTGATATTTTTGCAAACCTGTTTCATGTCTGGCTTAACAGAAGACAACTAGGTTCTCATATCTAGCTTCTGCATTCAATTGGTTGGGTTATCACATATCACATCGTAGCCTCTGAAGAACCCCACTGTACACTCTTGAGAGAATGAGAGTGAAAAGCAAATAATGTCATTATTATGAACACAGTTTTGACCCTCTGAACCCATGGAAAGGACCTTAGGGGCCCGCTGGGGCCCCAAGACCACACTGGATAACCAATGTCCTAGTTGAAAAGAAGTTTTTACAGGCCTGCTTTAAAATTCTCTTCTGAGAGCTGAGTGAAGAAATTTATCAAACACCCAACTCAGGCCTCTCCAGTCTCATGAGTGACACATTTATAAATAAGAAGCTAAGGGTGCCACTTACCCTCACAGCTTTCCCTGTGAATACTGAGCCAGTTGCACTGCTTTTGAAGGCTCTCATCTGGTTCAGTTCCAGAAGCCCTTTGTGATACTGTAAGGCAATTCGGGCTGTCACTCCTGAGCCAGTGGGACTTCTGTCAACCTGTTTCAGAATAAATGAAGACAGAATGTTCATAGTGTGTTCCATATTACCTGGCTTTTGTCCCTAAACATTACAGTTTTAATACCTGTTCATCTGCAAAAACACAAATGTTGGTGGTTGGTTCCTTGGTATAAGCATCTTTTCCATCTGTTAATATAGTTCCATATAAAAAGGCAAGGTCTTCACTATCAGGATGATTAATTTTAAACTGCAAGTAACAAAAAAAGATCACATGCAAAATAAATATTTTGATTCAAATTTATAAATAATGCAGATGGGTCATTCTTAGACATAACTTTTTAATCCTTATCATTTTTAAAATACCTTTTTGGGCAACGTATACTAATTGCTAGAAATTATGTCTTTGTCTAGATGAAGAAACATAGTTTTACTGCAATTTATAATTCTTATCATACTTTGAGTCCCTTCTAAGGAAGCTGTCCTGCATATAGCCTTTGCTAAAAAAGCAGTCCTATTTTATACACCCCTCCCACCCCAAATACACATAGTCTTTGCAGCACTGACCCCAGGATGGTCAATCCACAGGCTGGCGATGGCTGCTCAAACAGGATGAGCTAAGGCAATCATAGTCTTATTCTCAGGAGCTTAAGGAGGATAATGTGGGAAAATCAGGCTCTGAGTATCTAGAGCTGAAGTTAACACCAATGATAGAGACAAAGGCTGTGAGAGGATATAACATTCTGTAAGAATGCAGAAACTATTAGGCAAGAGAAACAATTGGAGGAAAAAAAGATTTATTGTAGACGATGAAGTCAGTTGATTCATCAAAAAGCAGCAGATATGCACACAAAGAAGCAGGCACTGGCAGGGTAGCTAAGTCACTCAATGGTAGATTCAGGCCCAAATATGCAAAGCTACTTGTTCTTGGAAGTCTAGTTCTTTAACTTTTCCTGGATTTCTGCAAACATTTACAGTATGACTGAGATTGCTATAATCTGACTTCCCTTGTATATGCTTACAATTAGTACTTTCTACTTCCAGTTACATGTCATTTAAAGCAATGGAACAGCTTTGGGTTCTTAACATCCAAAGAGTCCATCTGAAACCAAGTTAAAGCGGCCTGCAGATTGAATCTTTGTTCTCCATCCTCTTAAAGTGATACGCCCCACCTCCACTATAGCACATTCCAACATAACACTGTTCACAGGTATGCTCGCTTCCCCAACTGGAGCTAGCTCCTCAAAGGTGGGGTTTGTTCTTTCTTCGAGTCTCCAGGATCTAGCAGAATGTCTAACATATATACAGTATGTTTGTGGTAAATGTTTGTTAAAAGAGTGAATGAATTAAGATGAATTTATATTAACTTTAACTCTCCATCCCCATGGCCTTTTCCTAAATCTGCTTCAGCAGTGTGAATAGTCAACAGTTCACAGAGTAATTAATTGTACTGTCTGATACATCAATAACAGAACTTGTCCTCATTTTTCTCAGAATCCTTCCTCCCTCAAAGTCCACCCCTTGCCATCTTGTTGAGTTCAAACTCAAATGAGAAGTACAAAATTACACCTTTTATTAAGATATCCATGACTTTTTCTCTTGAATTCATGAAAAATTAGGAGAAATTATTTTGTGCCAAATTGTTAACTCAGACTATTAGCTGTCCTGCTTAATGGAACAGAAAACTGATGTAAATTCAGAGCTTCAAAAGTTGCTATCATAATATAATTGCACATATTGGTACTGGCAGTACCAGAAAAATAATTTAGAATACTGATACAGTGTATATTCTCATTTTAAGTTATAAATTATTTTAAAATAAAGCTTCAGAAAATGATAATTATTCGTACATTAGACACTATCTTACACAAGTTACTTTTTACTACTAATAAATTCTCACATACTAAATTCTCACGTACTAAACATTCAAATACTGTACATGTGTTTTATTTATAGGTCCCAATTTCAAGGTAAAATGTGCTTCACTCGTGCTAGAAGTGAAAGAATATCCTAGAATTATTATCTAAACTGATTTTATCAAATTAGCTTTCCCAAGTAAAAACTAGAGTTATTTAAGTAGTTATTTGAGTAACTTCTTAGCAATGTAGGAAAAAAATAATAGGAATTAATGTTCTCTATGAAATAAGAAAAAGGCTTAAATCTATTCTGTACACTATATTTTACATTTATTATTTTCAAGTTTAACAGAATGACCACACACATGCATTTAAAATTTGCAGAATTCTATAAATATATTTCTACACATTTAAGGAACTATAAACTATATTAGTATGTATGTATTATTAAATTTAGTAACTGCTAGGTGTGGTGGCTCACACCTGTAATCCCAACACTTTGGGAGGCCGAGCTGGGAGAATCACTTGAGGCCAGGAGTTTGAGGCCATCCTGGGCAACATAGTGACATCCTGTCTCTATATAAACACACACACACACTCACACAAACACAGATTTAGCTGGGTGTGATGGGGCATGCCTGTGGTCCCAGTTACTCTGGAGGCTGAGGCAGAAGCATCATTTTGAGCCTGGGAATTTGAAGTTACAGTAAGCTATGATCACACCACTGCACTACAGCCTGGGTGACAGAGCAAGACCCTGTCTCAAAAAAAATAATATTATCATTTACTGAACATTTACTATTGGCCAGACACTACTCTAAGTCCTTTACATGTATTGACTTATTTCATTCTCACAACCCTACAAAGCAGGTATTTTTTAATTTCCATTTTGCAGACAGGAAAACTGAGGCATATGGAGGTTACGTAACTTGCCCAAGGTTATATACGTTACCAGTGGTAAAGCTAGAACTCATAGATAGTTTTGCTCTAGAGCAGGAATGTCCAATCTTTTGGCTTCTCTGGGCCACACTGGGAGAAGAATTGTCTTGGGCCACACATAAGATACACTAACACTAACGAGAGCTGATGAGCTAAAAAAAAATTGCAAAAAAACTCATAATGTTTTAAGAAAGTTTACAAAATTTGTGTTGGGCCACATTCAAAGCCATCCTGGGCTGCATGTGGCTCACAGGCCACGGGTGGGACAAGCTTGCTCTAGAGCCTAAGATTTTAATAAGTACCCTATTCTTAGTACTATTAATAATTTAAACATCATTTAATTTTCTTTATAGACATAATAATGTATATTTCCTCCATGCCACAGAGAAGGGAATTGGTTATGAAGGCAGAGTATTACTGACCTGAGCTTTCACTGCCTCTGTCACTGCACTCGCTGCATCCACAAGGTCCCTGGTCTTTGCAGAACAAATGTCTAGTCCTAACTTTTCAGCAGTAACAAATGCATAAAATGCACCGCCATATGCAATGTCCACCATCACCTTTCCATGTCCAGGAACATCCACCATGAGATCTAAAAAAAAGATGTGTTTGGAAAGAAGATGTGTTTGTTAATAAGTATTTTAGCAATAAAATTCAAAGGATTTTTAATATGTTTATTTTTCAAGAGGGATGTTCTTTTCCTATCATAAAAATAATGAAGTAAAAATCCGTTTTTTAAATGAATAAGCATCGAGTGAATAATAGCTAGATGCATCATTCTATTTTTAACTTGATGATTGCAGAAGTTATAAACTAAAGCCATGCTTTCCCTAACTCATACAGACATATTCATTAACTTCCCTGAGGATCTTTTCTAGGAAACACCCCTGAGGCCGAGAGAGGGAAACCCAAGGGCATCCCTGTGAACACTAAGAAGGAAAATGTCTATTCCCCACTTGTACTATGAGAGATGGTTTAAAATAGTGAGGGTCTTGGATCCTATTTACAAATCAATTTTCTTCAGCCGTAATGTCAAAACATAAATTTTAATAAAAGATTTTTCTATATAAATTATATACACTTATCTACATGTTTTCATCTCCTTAAGGTATCCTGCAGGCAAACACAGAAAAATGCCATTGTAGAATCATTGACTGCTACAGCATCATTTTGCACCAGGGTTTTTATTTGAGCATTTTAAGTCTCAACATCCCCAAAGTTTCACCTGAAGGTCAGTAGTTTGAAATCTTGAATCTGTATTTCCAAAGAAAGGGGGCTGGGTGATGTTTATTTCGCCCCTTCTCAAATTTTCCTCTTCCCTAATTTAAGCTAGCTTGGTGATCACTGCCTTTTAGGGAAGCCTATGGCAGGGGAGAAAGCTTGTCTTTCATGTTTTTATTTTAGGGAAGCCTAAGCTCTCAGGGGAAAGACATCTGTTGGCAAAGGAGTGTCCTGAAGGGAGAAATATTTCTCCTAGAGATAAATTTTTTCTCCCTTGAGAAGAGTGGAGGCTGAAGGTCCTTAGTGCAGAGAGGACGTGTGTTAACTTCCCCCAGGGCACCACAGGAGCAGGAGTGAAGAAACAGAGGATGGGGAGGCAGTGCAGAGGGCAAGGACCAGGTAGGGTGGGGCAGCCAATGCTCCTGCTCCACTTTGCTGGTTAACTGTGTAAGCTGAGGACTGAAGTGCCATCCTCTCCAAGGCCACAGCACTTTTAAGAAACCTTTGCTCACACATATCAGGAAAGGGGACAACACATGGAGTGATGAGGCTAAGTGAACCAAAAGGACAGAGTAGAGTTTCAGCTTCAGAAATTAAGTTTTGGGAAAGAAAATATATCTTGTGTTCCTGAGTTTTCATACAAGGTCATACAAAGATATCAGTATGCTATCAGTCCACAGAAGGCTATCAGTATGCTATTAGTCCACACTAGTCCACAGAAGCCCTTTTAACCCATGATGTGTTAAAACAGAGCAAGTTTATAATCAAAAGAGTAAAACATGCTGTGGATTGTAACAACAAAACTGAATAAAAAATGTCTTTATCTTGATGCTGGCGCAACATGAAAAGCAAGTTTAATGAAAAGAGAATGGGCAAGTTGATAGAAATGAGGGACTGCTGGAAGGTGGAAAGCTAAAGTGAGGGTGAAGATCAGCACTTACCAGGAGACACAGGTGACGGTCCCAGGGTTCAGTCGGCCTGCCCTCTTCCCTTGATTGTAACAACTAAATGGGGCATTGGCCACCAATCCCGGGACCAGGATGAAATTGGGAAGCTGGTTCAGGAGAAGTCATCCCTGAGCCTACAATCATTTCCCTGGCCCAACCTTTCTAGAATCTTGGGTCTGGTTTTCTTAGGGTGGGCAGTTGGGTAGGGTGCTACACCTCACTGAGTTTCAGTTTCCTTTTCTTTAAAATGGACCAAATTTCCTTTAAAGTTACTCTTGTCCACCAATTATCTGTGACTATTTCATTTTTTAATCACTAAATTACTAACATTAAAAATTAAGATATTTATTTCACCCATGAGTACTTCCTATGTGGCAGGTCTTTACATACACTAGCCCCTTAATTCATTACATTAGTGCCTTAATTACTACAGCCCTGAGAGGTAGGTACTGTTTTACTTACTATCTTTACATTATTCCCTGGTTTACCCACTAAATAAGTGGCAGAGCTTGGGGTCAAACCCAGGACCAGGTGACTCCAAAGCCCAAACCCTTTCTACTAAAATATACAACCTCTATCCAGAACACAATCCAAAATCTAAGGGTTTTTCTTTTCTTCTATACAAGCATATCACTGAAATTTCAATTTGATTTACTTTGCTCAAGATTTAGTGAGCACCTACTATGTGCCGATTACTGTAGAAGATACGAGAAGTACAAGGAATAAAACATAGGCTTTTCCCCTTCTTGGAGTTTAGTTGGACAAGACAGATTTTAAAATGCTTTAAAATACACTAAGCACTATTCTAGAAAATTGAAACATATCTCCTTAAACTACAAAAAATTTTAAGGATGAGAGGGAAGCAATATGATAGGCCAGGGTTCCAACCCTAGTTCTGCCATTAGTGTGGCTTTGGTGTCTTGTGCAAACTGTAACTGCTATTTCTCCTAAAAGAGTTGTTTTGAAAATTCCACGTATGGGGAGTTCCTGGCACAGATTAGGGACTCGAAAGCCAAAACTTTAATTTCCAGTGGCAATAGGTTTCTCAAGAGGACCAGATGTTTACATTTGTCAATCAGCATATTCTTCTCCAAATTTCATTTATTTAGTTACTCATTCAACAAACATTCATTGACTGACTACTCTTCTAGGCACTTAGAATACTGTGAACAAGAAAGAGTTTGCATTTTAGCCTGGTGGGGTGGAGATGAACTCAGCAACCCTCTGAGGTGGGTACTGTTGTCATCCTCATTTTGCAGACTGTGATACTGAGGCATGGACTCTCTAGCACAAGGTCACTGAGATGGGGAGAGGTGGGGCAGTGACCTTGAACACTATGTCTGCCTTGTATGCATTTTTCAAAGTAGAGAATATAGCATTTCATTTTCTTAACTCAGTGACCATTAATGCCCACTAATCATTGTACTGTCATACAGTGATGCTCTCAGGAACTACTGAGAGGAACTACTGAGGTCAAGTGGTTGACTGACCCTGCCCTAACTGACCCAGAAATGAGATGTAGTTTGTGTTCCTGCTGCCAGCTGCCATTTCCTACAGAAGTCTAGAGTGTTTCTACTCTGCTGCTGGAGTTGCCTAGGGGGAATTCTGGTAGCCACGCTAGTTAAACTGTTGAGGTTTTAAAAATGGAATCGTAAACATAAATTCTGTCTCCCTCAAGTGGCCTCCCAGTCTGGAAGTGACACCATTCTCTGGGAAAATGGCATCAATTTCTCCAGAGGCATTCTTCGTTAACTCGTGGATTTCAGCTGCCTAAGGTTGCTCTAAAAGTGCCTGTTCTATCAGTTATCATTCATAATCAGGCTAATCTGAAACCTAGTTCTTCAGGGGGAATCAAGGTCCAACTTTCTAACAGATGATTTGCATGGCTTGAAGATTTTTAAGAAAAGGATAACTCTATTCCTGGTAAACTGGCTCCTGGCTCACTTCCAGTCACAATGACTAAAGCATTCTTACTGATAGAATTCAGCTCCTGGGAGGTAGTAGTCTGATGAGAAACCAGATGCCAGCTTGCCAGGTCATCCCTCCTGTAAGGGTTATGGTTATAGAGATGCCCTGCTTTACATGATAAGCTGTACAAGGATCTGTACTAGAGAATCCAGCAAAACCTTTTAATGGCTCAATAGGCCTAGGGAACTTTAGCGATCATATAAACCTTGCAATCTATCTCCAGGAATACAGTATCTTGCATACTCTCATTTAATCCTAACAAAAAAACTCTATGAGGGAAAAGAAGAAACACAGGCACAGAGAGATTAAGTAATTTGCCTAAGGTTGCACAGCTTTAGGGGGTTATCAGGATTTGAAACCAGGCAATGTGTGTTCCTGTTCTTAAAGAAAAGCAACATTCGTATCTTAATGATTTATAAACTGCTTTGTTCATTCATTCTCATTTAATTCTTCAAAGAAGTGGGGGAGGTGAGGAAAGGAGACCAGGTTTAGTAACTTATTAAGTGTGATTCTGTGTCTACCAAGCATATTCTCAGCCAGCCTGGAACCCTGGTACATTGGCTGTTCTTCGCTCTTTCCTTGACCCCACCGTACCTTGCTTTATCCACCGGTGAAATCTCTAGGAATGCCTCACCAGTGCAGAGGGAGGCGCTGAGTCAGGGTAACACGCAATTCCTCGCTCCTCAAGGGTCTCCCAAAACCACAGGCGGATGGGAGTCAGGGAAAATCGAAATTACACGCACCAAATACGCAAGGCTGCTGACACACGTTGGCAGTGATTTACCTTTCTATTAATTGCAAGGTTTCGCGGAGTAGGTTAGTTGCCAGAGTTCCAGCCCAGAAAAACCGTTAATGTAGTTAGTCGCGTCCCGGTTGCAGCTCTGCCCTGGGCTGGAAAGGTCCCGCCCATTACCTGTGGCCAGCACGAAGGCCGGGACGCTGTGGAAGCGCACCGGTCCGTGGCTGCGGCCGTCCTCGCATGCCACGAAGGCGGTCACCAGCCCGCAGGGGCAGTGGATATTGACGCGGGCCTCGCGGGTGCCCGCAGGGGGCGCCGGCACAAGCCCGAAGTCCAAAGCGAAGCGGCCCAGCGCCAGCACTGCGTGGCCGCACATGGAGCTGTAGCCCTCGTTGTGCAGGAACAGGACGCCCAGATGCGCGTCCGGCAGCTCGCTCGGGACTAGGACCGCCCCGTACATGTCCCGGTGCCCTCGGGGCTCGAACATGAGCCGTCGCCGCACGTGGTCAAGGTGCTGGCGCATGTAGCGCCGCTTGGCCAGCAGGGTGGGCCCAGACACCTCCGGACACCCCGCCAGCACGATACGCAAGGGCTCGCCGCCCGTGTGCATGTCCACCACCGACAGCACCGGCGTCCCTGGATCATGCGGGGGCAGCCGGGGCACCGCCAGCGCGCTCTCCATGGTCTGCGTCGGGGGAGACGAGTACGGTCCCGCAGCTATGGCTTCAAGCCCGACCCTCACCCACTGACTCCGCGGGAGGAGGGCGGGACGCTAACCAGCCACGTCCGGGGGGCGGGGTCTCGGAGCCTAAACCCGGAAGCGAGGGAGGAACTTCGGAGCTGTCGCCCGGGTTACCGGGAGGCGGAGCCGCCGAGCTCGCTGTGGCCCGGATGTTCGGTGCAGCTGCCAGATCCGCTGATCTAGTGCTTCTCGAAAAAAACCTTCAGGCGGCCCATGGGTGAGTGGTCGCCAAGATCCCGGGAAGCGTTTCTGGTAGTCCCGACTACTTTCCTACACGGCTGGCCTCGGGCTCGGCTCTTTGTAGGCGGCCTTCGGTTGGCGGCGCAGGCTCGCCCCTTGACCCCGCCCGCCCTCGGGCCGGGCTCCGCACTCCTGCGGGGTTGGGGTGGTCTGTCCGCAACGGGCTACTAGGGGAGGCGCGCTGTCTGCGGCGAAATGCCAGGTCTTTGTTGTTTGGTCCGAAATGTCTCTTCAGTCCCTTAGTTTAATGTCGAGGGAACACTTGCTTGAGGGTTGACTTCGGAATTGAAAACGCGGGTGATAGTGCAGAAAAAACAGTAAAGCAGAAGCAAGTTGCTGCATAATTTGTCTACTGCTTCAACCTCAAACGTAGATTTATAGCGCCCGTCACAAAGGGCAGGACCGCTGCAAAAAAATGGAATCTTAAAACTTTAGCCATCGTTCGCTAAAGGAAATGAAAGGAGAAATTCAACAGTCGCTTGGAGCCTGGGTTTTGCTTAGTAAGTGATAGGCTGTTTATTTCAGTTCAGTTTATCATACTGGTTTTCAGGCCTTGGATTTTGAGAAACTTTAGATTATTGATATTCACGTGTATTTATTAAGCATCTACTAGATGTAAAGCCCATACAGAAGTTTCCAATTCCTTACCTTCTGCATTCTTGAAAAACCTGAAATATTCATTTTCATGTATTAATTTAGAACATTGTGATTACAATTGGTTACAAAAAAAATAAGCGCCCATTAAAGAGGCCAGTGGGTTTAAAAAGCTAAGTCCGAAATTTGTTAAAAGCGAAAATATTAAACTGGAGGAATATTATTCAATGCTGTTTCTCTTTTTCTCTCAGCAGCATAAGGAGAAGGAAGTAAAAAGTCTGCTTGAATGTGAAAGGAGAGAAGGCACTGTAGACCAGGCAGTCTAGATTGTGAATTCGTGAATAATTTGGGAAATGATTGTTCAAGAATAGTCAAAAGATGCATAATTTTTCAAATTAATTCACATGTAGACCGCAGTTTGTTTTGAGACGGAGTCTCCTTCTGTAGCCCAGGCTGGAGTGCAGTGGCGCGATCTCGGCTCACTGCAACCTCTGCCTCCTGGGTTCAAGCGATTCTCCTGCCTCAGCCTCCCCAGTAGCTGGGACTACAGGCGCGCGCCACCACGTCAGGCTAATTTTTGTATTTTTAGTAGAGACGGGGTTTCACCATTTTGGCCAGGCTGGTCTGGAACTCCTGACCTCATGATCTGCCCACCTCGACCTCCCAAAGTGCTGGGATTACAGGCGTGAGCCACCTCACCGAGCCTGTTTGTTTGTTTTAATCAATGAATGAATGAAGGGAATCAGATGTCACTGATGAAGAAAACTTCCATAATTTCTTGTGAATAAGGTCAAAGACAACGTATTAGGTTCTTAGTTGTTGGGGTTTTTTTAAGTAAGGAATAGCTGCTTTTCCCCTAAGCCTTTAGATCAGGGGCTTAATTTTAATGCAGTGGTTTCTAAAATATTGGCCCAGTGACAGCCTTGATGAAATTTTCACTTATCCTCCACAAAAATGATAAAAGCTAGGACAATGTAGGAAACTTTTTATAAAGGTAATTTGCATACCTCTGTTATGAAATTATGTTCTCTCTGCTTTTCCCATGTGAAAATGTGTTCTGTTATGAACATAGGTGATAATGATAATTGTGTGTCTACATGTGGGTGCTTAATGTCCTGACTGGGCAAAATACAAGGTGGTGACCCTCTACTGGTGCTCTAATTTAAAAATATATGTATATTTGAACTTTATAATCAGTTAAACTCAGAAGTATCCTCTAATCATACCGGGTTAGGCTTTGAGTCCTGGAGATAGATCCTGCTCTGCTGGTTGAGGACCTTAATCATAAGGCACGGTATTAACAGCAAGGTTCCAGGATAACTGTCTGCAGTGTCACAGTGTAAAAGGAGAAATGTAAATTTAAAAATGCTTCAAGACTTTTGTCTAATACATATTATTCAAAAATTTGAAACTGTTATTTTTGCCAAATGCTTCAGCTATTATTGCAATTATTTTTTATAATCACAAAAGATGTTACTATACTGGCATTTGTTTTTAAAAAGCTGTCGATATTCAACCAGCATGCCTTGGACTTTATTGTGGGAAGACCCTATTATTTAAAAATGGCTCAACTGAAATATATGGAGAATGTGGGGTAAGTCTTATGTTTGTATCTTATTTCATTTTGTAAAATCTATTTGCTTTTGAAATATTTTCACATACAACATTTTTTGTTATTATACTCATTAATTTATAAAAGAATATGGAGGACCAGGCGCAGTGGCTCATGCCTGTAATCCCAGCACTTTGGGAAGCCTAGGTGGGTAGATCACTTGAGGTCAGGAGTTCGAGACCAGCCTGACCAATATGGTGAAACCCCATCTCTGCTAAAAATAGAAAAAAATTAGCTGGGCATAGTTGTGTGCGCCTGTAGTCCCAGCTACTCGGGAGGCTGAGACAGGAGAATTGCTTGAACCTAGGAGGTGGAGGTTGCAGTGAGCCAAGATTGCACCACTGCATTCCAGCGTGGGCAACAGAGGGAGACTCTGTCTCAAAAAAAAAATAAAATAAGGAAATATAAAAGAATATGGAGGCATTAATATAGTCATTGTTCATGTTGGCATTTTGATGTCTATATTATTTTTTAAAACATTTAATAATTTTATAATAATTTCTAATTTATGATTTGGTACCGTGTCTTGTACAGTAAGTTGAACATCATGAATCCAGAACATTTATCTGCAGTTATTCTTATATAATGTTAATAACTAGGTTTTTCATTGAATGTTAGTCAACTATTTTAGTAACTTAGTAAAAGGAATCTTCTAAGAGCATTGTACAAATATAGCACATACAATATAGATTTCTTTTTATTTTACTTATGCCCTCTTTTTTATTTCTAAAAGCTGCACATGTAAACTTAAATATTTAAACTGAAATGGGATGTCTTATAGAATGATTTGGGGGGGTGTTAATGTTGTAAAATAATATCTGTACACAAAATATTGGTTTTATATATTATAGGTATGCCCAAGAGGACAGAGAACGAATGCACAGAAATATTGTCAGCCTTGCACAGAATCTCCTGAACTTTATGATTGGCTCTATCTTGGATTTATGGCAATGCTTCCTCTGGTTTTACATTGGTTCTTCATTGAATGGTACTCGGGGAAAAAGAGGTTAGCACATTTCTATGAACATATCTGGCTGGACTAATGTTGGAATAATTATCACTCAGAAGACCTTATTAAGTAATTATGCTTCTTCTGTTTTAAAAGTGGTAAACATGTTTTTCTTTATCTTCAGATTATTCTTAACTGTGACAAGAAAACTTAACAATAGGGCATGACTTAGTAATTTTTAAGGGAACTGTCCTTAGTCTGTTTTACTCTCAGTGATCTTGAAGGAATACTTTTACTTCTCAACTATAATCCTTATTGGTTTTCTACACAAAATTGGTTATGATTACAAGCTATTTATTGTTATGGAACACATTCTTTGTAATTTAATTTAATACTAATAATCTAGTATGATGTAGTTAAAAATGATATAGCTGTAACCTAATACAAAAACTCATATTAACATATTAAATCAGCACACATTTACTAAGCACTGCATTTTATGTTTGGAAGATCAGGGAAGGAGATATAAAAATAACTGACATGGCTTATAGTCATAATCTTGTGGAGAAAACAAGTGTGTACATAATTATAAATCAGTCTTAGAAATGTAGTGGAAGAGTTATAAACAAAGTACTCTGGAGTTACAAAGAACAGAGAGATAAATTATGCCTCATGGGATCTGAAAGATTTCAAAAAAGGAACATTTTAGGCAGAAGAAACAGCATGAATAATGGCATAGAGGTATGAAATATGTGATCTGTGGTAGGCAGGAATGGAAGTAATCTGGGGTAGTCAAGAGTGGGTTGCAAATGAAGAAAAGTAATATAAAGGGGAGTAGGAAAGATAGGTTGAGGCCAGAATGTGAAGGTTCTTGATAAGCATGTGAACTTTAATCTGCTGGGAATGGGAAGTCAAATTCTGCCTTACTGATTTTCTTTTAGTTCCTCCAACTTCTCAGGATCTTTCCTACTTTAGGTTCTTTCCCTTCCTGCAAACTCTTTCTGCTGTCTGAAATACTCTCTTCATCTGACTGCAACTTGTTACCTAGCTACCTTCTTTTCCTTCTGATTTCAGTTTAAAAGTCACTCAGAAAGTTGAGTACTAAAAACAAAACAACAACAACAAAACAAAGAGTGCCCAATTAAAAGAGAAAAATAAGGAAGACAGCCTACTTTCTATTCTTTCCTTCTAGGCCTCTGGGCCTGTGGTCGGACAGGCAGTCTGAAAGACTTCTGAAATGCCTTCAAGCCTTTTTCTCATTGTGTTGGCTATTAGCACTTGGCTCTCTTTTAGCCATGCTAACCTCTCTAGCAAGTTGCTGTACAGCCTGGTTGAATTCCTCTCCTGAAAATGCTTTTCTTCTCTACCACATGGCCAGGCTGCACATTTTCCAAACTTTTAGACTCCGCTTTCCTTTTTAAGTATAAGTCCCAATTTTTAAGTCATTCCTTTGCTCCCACATCTATCTGATCATAGGCTGTTAGAAGCAGCCACAGCACATCTTGGATGTTTTGTTGCTTAATGATTTCTTCCACTAGATACCCTAAGTCATCACTCTTAAGTTCCAACTTCCACAGATGCCTAGGACATGGACACAATGCAGCAGAGTTCTTTGCTAGGGCATAGTATGGATGACCTTTACTACAGTTCCTGATAACTTCCTTAATTCCATGTGAGACCTCATCAGCCTGGCCTTCACTGTCTACATTTCTGTCAGCATTTTGGTCACAGCCACTTAAGGCTCTAAGATGTTCCACGCTTTCCCTCACCTTCCTGTCTTCTTCTGAGACCTCCAAACACTTTCAGCCTCTGTCTGGTACCCAGCTCCAAAGCTGGGTATCTTTATAGCACTGCCCTACCCTTCAGTTTCAGTTTTCTGTTAGTCCATTTCCATTACTATAAAGGAATACCTGAGACTGGGTAATTTATAAAGAAAAGAGGTTTAATTGGCCCATGGTTTTGCAGGCTGTACATGAAGCATAGTACTGGCATCTGCTTCTGGTGATGGCTTGAGGAAGCTTACAATCATGGCAGAAGGCAAAGGGGAACCAGTGTGAGAGGAGGCAGGAGGCAAAGGGGAACCACATGGTGATAGGGGGAGGAGGTACCTCTTTCTTTCATTTTTTTTAATGTTTTATTTTTTAATTTATCTTTTCGTTTTTATTTTTCGAGACAATGTCCTGGTTTGTCACCTAGGCTGTATTGCAGTGGTGTGATCACTGGTTACTGCAACCTTGACTTCCTAGGCTCAAGTGATCTTCCCATCTCAGCCTTCCAAGTAGCTGGGACTACAGGCGTGTACCACCATACCCTGCTAATTTTTTATATTTTGTAGAGACAGGGTCTCTCTATGTTGCCCAGGCTGGTCTCGATCTCCTGGGCGCAAGCAGTCCTCCTGCCTCAGCCTCCCAAAGTGCTGGGATTATAGATGTGAGCCACCATGCCCAGCCACCAGGATCTTTTAAACAACCAAATCTCACATGAACTCACAGAGTGAGAACTCACTCATTACTGTGAGCACAGCTCCAAGTCATTCATGAGGCTTCCACTCCCATGACCCAAATACTTCCCACTAGGCCCCACCTCACTGAGGATTACATTTCAACATGAGATTTGGAGGGAATGAGCATCCAAAAAAATCACTCCGTATTTGAGTGAATCGTTTATTGGTGAAGGTCTGGTGTATGGAAGTGGCATCATTTGATGTATATTTTAGGAAGAAAATTTCTGTGGAGGGTAGGTAGATTAGAGGTGAGATATTTAATAGAAGACTGTTGTCAAAGAAATAGACTATGGTAGTTGGAATGGAAATGGAAAGGATGGTCAGATAGAAATAGAATCAGCAGTTTTCTGGGGCCTACCTAATAAATCCAGGGTGGTTATTTACATTGGGAAAGCATTTATAATTTTTTAGAATAATTTATAAAAATACTTTAAAAATAGCAGCTTTCATCCAGTTTTTAATTTCTGTTATATTAATAGAATGATGAGAGATGGGGTGAGAAAGGAGATATGACAAAGCTGAAATAGAATAATTGTCCAGTCAATTGGTGGGAAGTTCTCAGCCCACAGTAAAGAAGAGCTAACAGGCATAGGTATGTCTTCACCAAATGCGTTTGAATTCAGACGTCAGCTATGTTTTGAGGGAGAGACTTGAAGCAGAGACTAGAGGGTGGTTTGAGGGAAGGCGAGGAGTGACTAATGCTCAGACAGGAAAGGAGGTGGGTTTAAAAAGAGGGAGTTGTACAACTGTGCTTTGCCTAGGAAATTGGTAACAAGGACCACAAGGGCCATCTCTTACAGTTTCCTGAAATTTTGCACTTACAGTCCAGATAGATGGGGGCTGGAGGTGTCTTAACAAATGTTCATAAAAACTGGGGATAACCCCTGAGCTGATCTGGAAGGATGCATGGTTTGGCAGATAGGTAAAATGTGTTTGAGGTGGAGGGTGATGCATGCCCAGATGTGTGGAGGCACAAGTGAACTTAAAGTCATTTAGCATGGCCAGGAAATAGAGAAGACGATGCTGGTGGGGGTATTTTTCCAGAAAGACAAAAAGACTCAAAATTAGTTTAATGAGAGGAGTTCTAAAATTGTATTTCATTTTGTAAAGATTATGTGTCTGGCTGTAGATAGGTTGAAAGAGAACATGACAAGAAGACCAGTTAAGAAGGTTATCAAAGTAATGGCAAGAAATAATGAAGTTGGGATTTTGCCTCTGAAAATATTAATTCTATAAGGAAGCAAAATGTCAAATTATGTAATGTGAATGTGTGTTTATGTTTTCAGTGTTTTCATCTTTGTAAAATGGCACAGGAGTTCTGTTTCCAACAATGTGAGTTAATTAGGAGCTCCAAGTGACCCACCTGCATGAAATAACTAAAGTCTGGGAAAGATAAACTATGTGAGACATTGCTGGTCCCAGCTGGAGATGGAGAGATCTCCAGGAACTCTTCTCTTTCAAAACACAAACCAGCCCACCCTGAGTTAGGCCAGAGTGACAAGGCAGGCAGTTGGGATGAGAGGGTTGTCTGAGGTCAATTGCTGGTAGCAGCAGTGTTATCTGGATACTGAATCTTGGGTAGCCTCTGCTAAGACTAGACCCTCAAGGGCCTGAAGCCTAAGGTAGTAGTGGCCATGGCTGCTGACAAAAGTAGCAGAGCCTCTTTGCTGGAAAGCTTCCCCATTCTCAATTTAACCCTGTAAGACTCTTGCTCATTAAAATCTAGTAATGGCCTCATAGTCTGTGGTTACTAAATAAAATAGCACTAGGACTTATTGGTACATGCAACAAACAATATATTTATGCTCTGAGAGGACACAGATAATGGACTTTCACCTACAGGATATGTAACTGCTACCTATAAAGAAAGTAAGGATGTAGTCACAAGCTGTCCATAACAATAAGATTATTAGGAATAAATACATGTGATGGGGAAGAAAAGGAAACTTTTAGAAATGAAAGTTTATACTTGCCAAAATAAAAAAAAAGGTAGTCAGCAGATTAAACAGTTGAAGATAGAATTAGTGAACTAGAAAAAAATGCATAGAAATAATGGAATATTGCACTGAGAAAGAAGGAGATGGAAAATCAGGTGCAAGAAGGTGAGATCCATGTTGGGTAGGTGTGGGAGTGGTCCAGGCTTAAAGTCTTACACCTCACAGAAGCCAGTCTCTCTTATAACAATTCCATGAACTTCTGGGGTCCTGCAAGTGACATGCCAATTATAAGAGTCACTGAACTCAAGAAAGCCAAACCATGGTATCCCCATCAGGCATTTATAGTTCATTTATGGTTCTCCCCAGTCGAGATATAATTTACCAGGCAAGGATCATTTGTATCATAAGCAGTGTTGCCTAGCAATATAGTTGACATTCTATCCTTATCAGGCTTCCAGAGGAAAAGAGCTAGAGAGTTACCTGAAGCCCAGATTCTCATGCACAGCATAAATGTTTTGTTAAGTCTTTGCCCAAAGTATCTAATTAGGGTCTCTGGAAAAATAGAGACTATGAAGGAGAGCTGCTATTTTTTTTTTTTTTTTTTTGAGACGAGTCTTGCTCTGTTGCCCAGGCTGGAGTGCGGTGGTGCGACCTCGGCTCACTGCAAGCTTCGCCTCCCAGGTTCACGTCATTCTCCTGCCTCAGCCTCCCGAGTAGCTGGGACTACAGGCGCCTGCCACCACGCCCGGCCAATTTTTTTGTATCTTTAGTAGAGACGGGGTTTCACTGTGTTAGCCAGGATGGTCTTGATTTCCTGACCTCGTGATCCACCCGCCCCGGCCTCCCAAAGTGCTGGGATTACAGGCGTGAGCCACCACGCCCAGCCAAGGAGAGCTGGTATTTTAAGAGATAACTGGCTTCAGGTTTTACAAAAATAATGAGAAACCGATTCACAGATCCCAGAAGGAAAACACATCCCAAGCAGAATAAACAGAAATTCACACCTGCATGCATCATAATTAAACTGCAGAGTACTGAAAACAAAAGAGAAGCCATATGGAAGAGAACCAAGGCACACCTGTTAACAGCCTTGGTTGTGCTTCCAGCTAACAGCCAGCACTTACTGCAGCCATGTGAGTTAGTCCTTTTAAATGCTGCAGCATGGTCAAGCCTCTAGACCAGTGCTTCCCAAATTGACACCATGTGGAGCAGAAAGAACTGCCCAGTTGAGCCCAGTCACATCACAAAATAGTGAGAAATGATCAGTGGTTCTTGTTTCAAGCCACTAAGTATTGAGGTAGTTTGCTATGCAATGATACATAATGGAAACAGTGTTCAAGTAGAAAACTCAAAATCACCTATAGACTAGATATTAGAAATAACAAGACAGTTTAATAAAAAGGTTGACTATAAGATAAATATATGAAACTATTTCCTATATTCCATGTACAGTACAAGTACTGTGACATAGCTCAGACCATTAAGTTACATAGGATTTATCTGAGCACTTGACAAGCCAATTTTAAAATTTATATGGAAGAGCAAAGGGCCAGGAATAGCCAAGACCACCAAAGAAGTAGAAAAAATGTACATGACATCAAGGATTATGATCATATTATT
This sequence comes from Homo sapiens, assembly GCF_000001405.40. Taxonomy (NCBI): domain Eukaryota; kingdom Metazoa; phylum Chordata; class Mammalia; order Primates; family Hominidae; genus Homo; species Homo sapiens. The sequence continues at coordinate 59,493,832 of NC_000014.9, forward strand.
CTTCTGGCTCAGGAATAGATAAATGGACTCAAGAAACAGAATAGAGACCCAAAACACAGACAATTATATATGAAACTTTATATGAAAGAAGTGCCATGGCAAATTAGTTGGGAAGGTAGGGGTGGGAAGGAGTACCTGTTCAGTAAAATGCTGCTGCTGGGACAACTGGCAATTCAAATGGGAAAATGTAAAGTTAGATCCTACCTTACGTTAGGCACAGAAATCTCTTCTAGGTGAATTAAAGATAAATGTGAAAAGCAAAACCTTAAAATTTTTAGAAGAAAATTTGGGTGTGTGTGTGTGTGTGAGATACACACACATCTCAGGGTGTGGAAGGACTTTTTAAAACATTTAAACTGCTAAGTAGAAAAAAAAATAAAAGCCTGGTGTATTAAAATTTAGAACATGTTTATAAAAAGGCTTCACAAAGAAAGTGAAAATTGAGCCCACAAACAGGTACACATTTGCAACACATTTAACTAACCACAGAATGGATAAACAAATCACAGTATTGTCACACAGTGGAATCCTAACACAATAGCGAAAATGACTGAACCTCAGCTATAAGCAATAACATGGATGAAACTTGGAAATGTAATTTTGAGTAGAAAAAAAATCTCAGAAGACTTCCATTAGTGTGATATCATTCAAAAATAAGCAAAACTAACCAGAATAGTTGTGAAGCAGAAATACAGTTGGGATAAAAACTTTCTGGAAAAAAGTGGTAAAAGCAGTTTGGTACATGGTTGCCTCTAAGGGAGAGACAGAGGTATGGATGGGGAGGAACAAAGATGTAGTTACAAATTGTTGACAGTGTTCTAGTTATTGGGTAGGAGATGAGCTTATAATATTATAATTACTATACTTTCTAACAAACACGTTACATACCATCTTTTATGTGCATATTAAGATTAAAATGATACACAGATAACTAAGAAATTTTTAGCAACAATTTGGCAAGATACTAAAGATGCAGGGTAGATATAATTTCTGCTTTTCTGTTACACATTTAGATAATACTGCTACAGTGTTATTTATCCCTTTTGAGAAAAAAAGGTTATACTCGAGTAGTTTTTGACTTTTCTTATAGATTTAGAAATCTGTATCTTGACACATGTACATGTTTTATTAAAGCCATTTAAATATTGCAATTTTTCTAGTAATCATGCCTCTTTTCCTTCTCTAGTTCCAGCGCACTTTTCCAACACATCACTGCATTATTTGAATGCAGCATGGCAGCTATTATCACCTTACTTGTGAGTGATCCAGTTGGTGTTCTTTATATTCGTTCATGTCGAGTATTGATGCTTTCTGACTGGTACACGATGCTTTACAACCCAAGTCCAGATTACGTTACCACAGTACACTGTACTCATGAAGCCGTCTACCCACTGTAAGTGTTTATTTCGACTTAAGATCATTGTTTTTTTTTAAATCTCTGAGGATTATTATAGATTTTATGGCGTTTGGAGACAAAAACAGGTGTGGGTTTGAGTTCTGGGTCTGCCAGCGGCTTTATTACCTTGAACATGTAAACAGCCTCTTGTAACTTCAGTTTTCTCTTTGGTAAAATGGGAATAATGATCCTTATAAGGTGTCGTGAGGATTAAATTAATCCACACATTCTAGATACCATATAACTTACATATAGGAGGCACTTTATAGTAAATGGCATTATTACAGTGTTTGGATTAGTGTTTTTTCTTTTTTTCTCCCCAAATAAGTGTAATTTCTGTTAGAATGTTTTGTTTTCAAAATATTAAATTCATAAAATTCTGTATGCAATTATGCCAGACTATTCCAGTTTCAGAATTTTTATGAATTTTTGTAAATTCTAGAACTAGAAAATGAATCAAATTCATTTTGATATTTTTTGGGGGAAAGGGAAAATAGAAGTCTGGTATTTATATTCTCATAATTGTAGCAGGCTTTCAGTACATAATATGCTCAGGGAAATTAGTCCTTTTTGAGCAAGTTCTTAATAATAAAACATCAAAAACATAGAAATGCAAATAGGTACAAAACAACCAGATATCTTAGAAAAAATGAAAATCTTCTTTTCTACCTGCCAGTTTTTTGTTTGTTTTTGAGACAGAGTCTCGTTCTGTCACCCAGGCTGGAGTGCAGTGGCACGAGATCTCAGCTCACTGCAACCTCTGCCTTCTGGGTTCAAGTGATTCTTGTGCCTCAGCCTCCCAAGTAGCTGGGATTACAGGCATGTGCCACTATGCCTGGCTAATTTTTGTATTTTTAGTAGAGAGACGGGGTTTTGCCATGTTGGCCAGGCTGGTCTTGAACTCCTGGCCTTAAGTGATCTACCCACCTTGGCCTCCCAAAGTGATGGGATTACAGGCGTGAGCCACTGTGCCCGGCCTCTCCCTGCCAGTTCTTAGGTATGGCAAATTATTTTATAGATATATATATATAGCTATAATTTATATATAAAATACTATATAAAACACTGATAATGTCCTTTTTGTTGATTCATTGATTCGTAGAGCTTAACTCTAAGCATTAATTACCCTCTTGTCATATAACTCTCCTAAGGCCTTGCATAACTTAACGTGGTCCTATTTGGAAAACTTAATAAATGAATTGAATATTATATTTAAATAAGATATAATGTAATCTTATTTAAAACAAAATCAGACTTATTTAGCGATAGTCTCATTTATGTTATTTATTGTAATATTTATAAAGCCTATTACAGTAGGAGGGTCAGAAAATATAAGATTAGAAGAGAAATGGCAAACAGGTACTACCAACCCTCATCTGCACCTGTAATAGTCACTTCTAATTTATTGTAGCACTTTTTCTGCTGATTTGAGTGTAGCCTAAGAATCTTGTGGCAGCACTCTCTGTCAATCAGAATCATCACACAGCTTCATTGATTAGGACATTTTTTGTCTATTCACTATCCCTGAATCAAGATTGTTTGTTTTTCTTCCTCAGCACCCTTACCAACAGTCATTGTAGAACAGCTTGCCTGCCTTGTTTTATTATTATACAAAACAGTGATTTTTAAAATTATGAGATATTATATAGTATCTTATAGCATTGGGTTTAGGCATATTATTTATTTACCTAAGCATTCTAAATATAAATGTATGGTCAGACTGGGCTAAGCACTTCCGAAGGTTGTAGGGCTACCACAAGTCATAGTAATTTTTTTTTTTTTTTTTTGCAAGTCAACAAAAAGCAATAGCACACAGTTACCAGAAACCTTTGGAACACTAGTGCATTGACAAATGAAGGCTGTTTTTCCCAATGTATATATAGCCTAGTTTCTTACAAATTGAAAAATACCACAGGACTTTACTGATAATTATAGTTTTAAGGGGAAACAGATGAGGCATGAAAAAACATGTAAGCTTCTATCATTATAACTTACTGCAAAAAAATAACTTTTACATTACTAAAACTTTAAGAATGAGTTATGGAAAATGAGCAGTTATTACTCTTATAGCAGGAATTAGCTTTAGTTTGTCAAATTTAAACTATCCCCACATGTAGGCAGCATGGATTGAAAGAGGGGAAGAGTGGAATGGGATGAGGTCTTCTGGTGGAAGGCAGGAGTGGGAAACGTAATCACTTCCAGAAACTAGTTTCCTAGTTCATTTGGAGAAACACAGGATGGTTTCCTCCTGATTAAAGTGAATCTTTTTGGAGCTCTTAAGGAATTACAAGTTGTGGAAATGGACAGATTTTTTTTCTTTTGCTGTTGATAAGAGGTAGCAAACAAGACTAGGAAACTAATTCATTAGAAGAGGTAACACATAATGGTTTCCTCTTGATTAAAATCATCTTTTTTAGAGCTCTTAAGGAACTACAAGTTGCAGGAATGGATAGATTTTGTTTTCTTTTGATGTTGTTTGGGGGTGGTATAACAAGACAAAAAAATTATCACCCAAGAGATCAAACATGTACTAATGCATTACTGTACAGGACTGAACCTAAAAGCATCATAGGAACACAGGATTATGGTATCATGATGCTGTGTGGGGAGGAAGCATGTGGTCCGTGATCTGAAATGACTGCTGACTTCCTAGGACACTCCCCTGTATAGGGAGAGGGTTTGAGTAGCAAGATAGTAAAAATGATTTGAAAATACTCAGGAAAATTAAGGTAGAACTATGTGGATAAAAGTCCCATTATTCAAAATAAAGTGCTAGAAATCTGGTGACACATAGCTCTTTCTACAGCTTTTTTTTTCTGATTATAAAAATTACATTAAAAATGGGACATTCAAAAACAGAATAAAAGCACACACAGAATAAAATAATCTGTAATTCTGTTCCTTGAGATGATTCTGCTACAAATTTTATCTTTCCAGTTTTATTTCTGCATGTGTATGCATTTTAAGGAATATTAAGGCTATACTATGACATGCTATCTTGTAAGTTGTTGGCACTTAATGTATTAGGCACAGTTAATTTTGTTAACATTTATTTCATAACTAGATTTTTATGTCTGCATAATATTGCAGCATGAATATACTATAAAATATAACCAGTTTCTTACATTTGAATATTTATTTTCTTCTGGGCTTTATTATAAGTGATTCAATAAAAATCCTTGTACAGTAGGTTTTTTTATGTATCCCTGGTTGTTTCCCTTGGATAAATTTCTACAGGTAAAATTGCTGAATCAAAAGGGATAAACAGTTTTAGGATTTTTGGTACATATTTCCAGACTGCCTAAGAAAGCAACCATTGTACCCTTGCTAGCCGTGTATGACAGCCTGTTTGGCCAGCTTTCCACCAATCTGAATATCCAATGGATAGAGTAAATATGCTTTTTAAACCTCTTTTAGGCTCTTTCATTTAAAAATGATCAAGATTAAAAACATTTTTAAAACATTTTTGATGTTACAAATTCTTTATTTTATTTTACAGATATACCATTGTATTTATCTATTACGCATTCTGCTTGGTATTAATGATGCTGCTCCGACCTCTTCTGGTGAAGAAGATTGCATGTGGGTTAGGGAAATCTGATCGATTTAAAAGTATTTATGCTGCACTTTACTTCTTCCCAATTTTAACCGTGCTTCAGGCAGTTGGTGGAGGCCTTTTATGTAAGTTTGATGGGTAAAGTCAATGAAATATATTTATTATTGTATGTAGTAATATTTCCTCTAGATTTAATTTTGGAGATTTTTCCTTAAGATAGTTTGTTTAATCCTTTTTTTTTTTTTTTTTTTTTTTTTTTGTGATGGAATCTCACTCTATCACCAGGCTGGAGTACAGTGGCATGATCTCGGTTCACTGCAACCTCCGCCTCCTGGGTTCAATTGATTCTCCTGCCTCAGCCTCCCAAGTAGCTGGGACTACAGGCATGTGCCACCACACCCAGCTAATTTTTGTATTTTTTTTTAGTAGAGACGGGGTTTCACCATGTTGGCCACATTGATCTCGATCTCCTGACCTCATGATCTGCCCACCTCTCTTTGCATTTGAAGTTCATGACGAAATTAAAATATTTTAAAAATCTAAGTATGTAATAAGAAATAAAAACTGGTTTTTATTTAGGAATTTATGAAAATTAGTCTTGATAATGTATACTGTTTATTATTAAGTAGGGTCTTAGGTTTCTAAGTGTATTTATGAAAACCTTTTATAGTAAAAAGTCCTCAATATATCTTTTATTTTAATGTAACCATTAATTCATTTGTTTAGTAACCATTTAGACCAAACTGTGACTCAAAAGAATAAGACAAATTCACTGTTAAAAACCTCACTTACTACCAGGAGATAAAGTAGGCAAGCCAGTGGCTGAGAAAATGTAGTGTGGTTCTTTTGAATATGTGACATTGAACGTCCCAAGGATGTTGGACACCATCCTTTATATGGAGCTTGGTAATGTAATTTGGTAATATAGTTTGGGAATGTAATTTGGTTCAAGGTGATGGTGGGGCTTGAGGGTAAGACCAAGGGAACCAGAAATTCTGTTATCCGCCATATTCTGGTTTACAGATGAACTGTTTCATTTGGCCTGCACAGGATTTGAAAATCTATAGTTCCCTCTAGCTCCTCTATTTCCCTGTTAGATTTGGCCCATTCCCTTATACCTTCCTGGCTACCCTCTCTGTCTTTTGAGGTTGCCATTCTTGCTCTAGGGAATAGGGACCTGTTCTTAAAAGGATTTAGGCAGAAGAGTGACATGATTACATTTGCACTGATTTGCACTAATTTGGGCTTAGTTAGAAACTTCCTCTTTATTCCTTTTTACTGTATATGGCTTTTTACTACCAGGTCTTAAATTTGTATCATTAGCAACATTGTTTAGCTACTTATAAGTTAAGTAGAGTTTTTGTTTTGTTTTGTTTTGAAAAGTTGATTGAGGACCTAATAACTGTCTATGAAATAAAAAGTTATAAATGTCAAATAAGTCATTCAGTTCTTTAGTAAGTTGGAATCAGGCCTGTATAGATAATTCAGTTTCTAGCTGCTGAATCCTGAGTTAACATTTGAAATTGTTCCAAATGGGTTCTACTGCAATGATAAGTAGTTTCATAAACTGAAGTCATTTACAAATAATGTATGAAAAAAATTCAAAGTTTTTTTCTCAATTTGTCCATTTATTTTAGTGTGTTATAAATTTGAAACATTTTAAGAGAAAAGTGGTGTTTTAGAGGAAAAAATTTGCTTAAAGTATTACTGTACTGTATTTAAAGTAGAGATTGCAGGAATTTTGATATTAAGAATACTGAATGATCTCTTTATCCTTTAAGGTTTATTGCTAAATGACCTTTTCTAAAGATTAATTAAAGCTGAGTTACTCTTATAGATAACCTTTTTCAACTGCGGTTCCCCACCTTGACCACAAAACACAGAAAATTATTTGACCATTTTTTTGAATTCTCCTAAATTTAGTACATAACTGGTACTATTCTAGAATGCAGAGGAGAGAAGTTAATTATTTACATTCACTGGATGCCTTAATAAGGCAAGGTTCTTCAAAGCTGGCCCAAGGATAGTTTTTACAATTTTTTATGGTTAAAAAATCAAAAGACTTATATTTCTAGATGTGAGTATGAAACGTATGTTTTATTGTCCATAAAGTTTTTATTGGAACACAGCCGTGCCCATTCATGTATGTATTCTCTATGGCTGCTTTCCCACTACAACTGCAGAGCTGGGTAATCGAGACAGAGAAATGCAGGGCTGAAACTATTTACTATCTTGCCCTTTCCAGAAAAAGCTTGCTGGCCACTGCCTCAGAACCTTAGGTTGTAAGTCTCACAGAACTGGTTGAGAAAGGATTTGACTCTAAGGAAAATTACTATTTGAATTTATTTGATGGTTTATTGAGAAAATTTGTTTCATTTCCAACATAATACCAATGCTTATCTTTCAGATTACGCCTTCCCATACATTATATTAGTGTTATCTTTGGTTACTCTGGCTGTGTACATGTCTGCTTCTGAAATAGAGGTAGGAAGTCTTTTTTTCCTTTGTTAAAGACTTTTTGATAAATTTGACAATTCAATATCAGAATAGTCCATATGATATGATATAGTACAACTAATTGTTTTAGTAATCTTTGGCTGATTGATGCCACTTGGTAGCTTTTGGCTTGTTAACTTTATGAAAAGTTGTGTACTGGACTATATATTTCCCTGGGAAATTAGCAAAATAGTGAAGTAGTCAGGCCCAACTATCCAGCATGAAGGAGAAATGTCATTTCACATAATTTTCCCATGTAGCAAACATATAATTATTGAAATGTTGAAACTTATTAACAGTATTTTGAGAAAAACCATAAAAATGTTTTATATTTAGAACTAATTTTAAACTTTATTTTACAATGGCAACATTAATAGTCATCAGTAATTGTGCATTCCATATCCTTCTGTGTTTTATCACAAATTTTATTTTCCTGATTATGGATGTTTACTTTTACCCCATAATGTTTGGGGGATTTGGAGCTAACATTAATAGCCACATTATTCTGATACTGTTACTTTTTCACAGTATTCATTTTGTACCTCTAATATTTTAATATTTCAGTGGAAGGCCACTATTATAAAGAACTCCTTTTAAAAAATTGTGTATGTCTTTATTTTCAGAATATTTTTGGCCAAAAAAGTATCTTTTGACACATTTGTAGTCACTGGGTAGAATAGAACATCATATCATAACGTTTATATTTTCAAATATTCTAAAGGAACTAAGCTATTGGTTAAAACCATGAAGAACAAATGAGAAGTAGTAGTGTATTTGACTCTATATCTAGGGAAAAATGTATTCATTAAACTTTGAATCAAAATGGGCATTCTTGTACATTATTTGTTCATATGCAATCTGACATTTTCTTTCTAAAATAATTATATTTATTATTGTTACTAATATATTAGTAACTGTTATACATATTACATTTAAATGATTGCTTTTAAATACGTTAATGGCTCTGATTTAAGAACTCTTTGTTCTAAGGCCAAACTCTAGAGGAAGCAGAAGTATAAAGTGTCTCAGTACTCTTCCATCCTATACTTGCTAATCTAGGGACTATGAACTGTCTCAGACTACCCATGACAGTTGATCTGTGCTTTCTCATAATTCCTAACAGAGAAAACTCAACCAAGAGAAAATAAGTTGTAAACTATTTTGGAGTGGTTACTGCTGATGCCACTTTTTCTATTACCTTAGTGAGAGAGTGAGTGGGGGAAAACATCTAGGAATCATAGTGACTTTTAGGTAAGATAATAGTGGAGGAACTAGACAGAATATTTTTATAGTGATTATTCAGTTGTTTTCATCTGTAGATGATCCTCATTTTTCCTTTGTAATCATCTTTAACCAGCATTGAAATATAATTAAAGAAGATAGGAAAATTAGTTTTGGCGCTTTTATCAACTCTAGGGAAAGATTTGAGGGAGAAAATAGTTGGATATTTGGATATTTGAATAAAATGAGATTTTTTTTTTTTTTTTTTTTTTTCGGAGTCTCACTCTGTCGCTTAGGCATGAGTGCAGTGGTGCAGTCTTGGCTCACTGCAACTTCCACCTCTCGGGTTCAAGTGATTCTCCTGCCTCAGCTTCCTGAGTAGCTGGGATTACAGGTGCATGCCACCACACCTGGCTAATTTTTGTGTTTTTAGTAGACGGGGTTTCACCATGTTGATCAGGCTGGTCTCAAACTCCTGACCTCATAACCCACCCACCTCGGCCTCCCACAGTGCTGAGATTACAGGGGTGAGCCACCACGCCTGACCTTGAATTTTTACAGCTTATCCATAGTTAAGAATTAGCTATACACTGTTAAATTAGCTTGAACTTATTTGTTTCTCTGCCCCTGTGAATCTCCTATATAAAATGTTCACATACTTCAGTTAGCATGAATCAGAAATGGGGACCTAAAACGGAAAAAGACAGCTTAGTACTGGTTGAGTTGATGAGCTGTTTAATAAGAGAAAGTTAGTAACTAACCTGTTGCAAATTACGTTTTAATGTGTTTATTAGCACATTTAGATATTTTGTATTTCATTCTTCTAATTTCTGCATAGCATACAGGTGTATTAAGGATTAAAAGAAAATCAGAGTGTTCATGTGTCATTTCTGCCCCCTTACTATTCATGCAGCAGGCTCCAGGAATGTTAGAGGTTAAGGAGGTTGGGTTTCTGTACCTCCTATTTCCCACCTGTAGATCCATAGCAACAGTGGATCAGGGCAGGAAGCAAGCACATAAAGTGGAGTTTCCCTTCTAGTTCGTATCTTTGAGAAGAAACTATAGTGTTTCCAGGAGTGAATGATGGCATAGACTAGGACTTAAGAGACATGATGACGTAGCTTTCGTCTGGGTGCCTCTACTGAGTGCTTATATGACCTTAGGAGCCTCACTTTCCTCATCTATAAAGTGGAGTGGCTAGACTGAGTGATTTCTTAAGTCTTTTTTAGCTCAAACATTTTATGATTCTGAGATTATAAATAATACATTTTATATTAAGTTATATTAAATTACCCAGCTGACTTAGCCTGATAATCTGTATTTCTCTTTTCTTTCTTTTACAAAATTATATAGAACTGCTATGATCTTCTGGTCAGAAAGAAAAGACTTATTGTTCTCTTCAGCCACTGGTTACTTCATGCCTATGGAATAATCTCCATTTCCAGAGTGGATAAACTTGAGCAAGATTTGCCCCTTTTGGCTTTGGTACCTACACCAGCCCTTTTTTACTTGTTCACTGCAAAATTTACCGAACCTTCAAGGATACTCTCAGAAGGAGCCAATGGACACTGAGTGTAGACATGTGAAATGCCAAAAACCTGAGAAGTGCTCCTAATAAAAAAGTAAATCAATCTTAACAGTGTATGAGAACTATTCTATCATATATGGGAACAAGATTGTCAGTATATCTTAATGTTTGGGTTTGTCTTTGTTTTGTTTATGGTTAGACTTACAGACTTGGAAAATGCAAAACTCTGTAATACTCTGTTACACAGGGTAATATTATCTGCTACACTGGAAGGCCGCTAGGAAGCCCTTGCTTCTCTCAACAGTTCAGCTGTTCTTTAGGGCAAAATCATGTTTCTGTGTACCTAGCAATGTGTTCCCATTTTATTAAGAAAAGCTTTAACACGTGTAATCTGCAGTCCTTAACAGTGGCGTAATTGTACTTACCTGTTGTGTTTCAGTTTGTTTTTCACCTATAATGAATTGTAAAAACAAACATACTTGTGGGGTCTGATAGCAAACATAGAAATGATGTATATTGTTTTTTGTTATCTATTTATTTTCATCAATACAGTATTTTGATGTATTGCAAAAATAGATAATAATTTATATAACAGGTTTTCTGTTTATAGATTGGTTCAAGATTTGTTTGGATTATTGTTCCTGTAAAGAAAACAATAATAAAAAGCTTACCTACATAAAATTTCAATGTTTTGACACTTAATTGTTGTTTGGCACAATAGTATGGAAGTAATTCAAACTGGTAAATAGTTTCCTCTCATATCTCGGGTATATATACATACCATATTTTATTGATCCAGAGATACTTATTTCACTTTGTGACATCTCTGAATTAGGATGCATCTTACAACTGATGGCTTATTAGATTTAATGAAATACAGAAGATACACAGAATAAAAAGGGTTTTCCTGTGGTTGGTTTGTGGTTTGTGATAGGTGTTCTGTGATGTTTATGCTTTGAAGGCCTTAAGACTCATGGTTGCAACCATGGAAGCAAAATGAAATTTTTAGCTCTTAACCTAACAACCTGACCATGTTTATCCATTTTTATTGTTTAGAAGTTTATTTACTGATACTTGGTGGAGGTTGTGTGAATTAGTTAAATTTTAAATGTTTAAGACTTCTATTAACAGCTGCAAAATATGAAAGTAAGTGCACTCACTTTTCCTGTAGTAGTCTGTCTTTTGAATTCACAGCAGTTGTATCCTTGAGTTACTTTGTTAATGTATTTTTCTCAGTACATTTAACCACTGGGAAATGAACCCTTGTACGAATGTGTTTCTTCTTCTCTGTAGGAATAAAAAATAAATATAAAAATTTTATTTGTATTGCACACATTTGGGGGGTTATTAGTGTTCATTAAAATTCTGAGTTGCCCAAAGAATCCTCAATTGAGTAATTGTATAATCGGGGTAGAGTAGGGAGGGGTGTCATGTGTCTGATTACTAGGACTATATCTTCTGGTCCACTTGGGGCCATTTTTACAATCATTTTTTTCATATGTCCTGTTCTAGCAGAAAAGTATATATGCAAAAGAAGAAATTACAATTACAAGGCCTCACGGGCAAATAATTTCCACAATACTTAATATGTATCTGCATTTTTAATTTGCTTTGGTAAAAATAAGACTAGAACAACTTATAGCCACTGTAGTTGCTAATTTTACTAAATAATTTGTTAAAACGTGGTCATAAGAAATTTAAAAATCAACCCTTGTCTTTGTTAAGTTTTGACTTAGGCCCTTGTAGCACATCACAATCCTTATCACTACAGTGTATGGTACTTTTGCTAACCAGTCCTGAAGAGGTAATTTAAAAGTCAAAATACAGGTTGAATATCTCATATTCAAAAATGCTTGAGACCAGAAGTGTTTCGAATTTCGGGTATTTTCAGATTTTGGAATATTTGCATTATACTTACAGTTCAGTATCCGTAATCCTAAAATCTGAAATCTTAAATTCTCAAAGAGGATTTTCTTTGAGCGTCATATTGGTGCTGAAAAAGCTTTGAGTTTTGGAGCACTTTGGATTTTTGGATTTTCAGACCAGGGATACTAAATCTGTGTTTTCTTGATTAATTTGGGTCAGTTAGTTGATAAATTTAATAACTACCTTGTTATATATTTGTCTAAAACTATTAGTTTGCGAGACTATTGCACATTGAAGCCATCTGGAGAGATTTAAAAAAATAATGCCTGGGCCCCACACCCAGAGATTCATGTTGAATTGGTCTGTGTTTGAGCACAGGGATTTTTTTTTTTTTTTCTTTTTTTTTTTTTGAGACAGTGTCTCGCTCTGTCACCCAGGCTGAAAGTGCAGTGATGCGATCTCGGCTCACTGCAACCTCCACCTCCTGGGTTCAAGTGATTCTCATGCCTCAGCCTCCCAAGCAGCTGGGATTATAGGTGCCCGCCATGACACCCAGCTAATTTTTGTATTTGTAGTAGAAATGGGGTTTCACCCTGTTGGTCAGGCTGGTCTTGCACTCCTGACCTCAAGTGATCTGCTCACCTCAGCCTCCCAAAGTACTGGGATTAGAGGCATGGGCCACCACACCCAGCTGAGCACAGGGGTTTTTTAAAATCTCCAGGTGATTCTAATGTTTGAGAACCACTGATCTAAACTCCTCCTATTTCAGATCTTAATTTTTCCAAGAGACAAGTACTAGGCAAATGATTTTCTTTCTTCTCACTGAAATTTTGATTCTGCTTTAATTATAAGGAGGTGTTTTTCTAGACTTAATCAAAATGTAGATGATTGTATCAAGCCCCTCATCACAATAACAGAGATAACTTTGACAGTTATATACATTGATTTTTTTAATGTTTCTTTTAAAGTACCTCATCCTAAAAATGTCTTCCATAGCCCATGTATCAATATATTTGGTTAATACACAAATTATTTATGTAACCTAACATAATATATGATGTAATACTCAAGGACTTTTGTAATTTTAAGACAAAATTCTTTTTACTTTAAAAATAACTGTACTAAGTTACTGTTTAGCTTACATATACACTAAGAATTAACTTATTTACCTTTGATTTACAAGAAATAAAATTAAGGCAAAAAGTAAGTTTTTAGTAATTAGTTTTCAGGAAGAAGTCTGGCCTTTAATGTTCTGACAAGCCTATTCCACACTTGCTGGTTGGTTCCCCCAGCAGATCTCCACTCAGCCTTGCTACTTGGCAGTTCTTGACCAGCTTATGTCTGTGCTTCTCCTTTGGGAAGATATCCCTGTGTACTCCAACATCCAATAAGACACAGCTTTACCCTCTGATAGCCACTTTCTAGAAGGAATCCAATGTATTTTCATCAGCTCTTCAATTGTCTTGTTTCTCACAGGGTATGCACTTTAAGGTTCAGGGCCTGGAGTTTATTCAACTTTGTCACTGTAACATCTGCTCCAGTGTCAGGCTCCAAAGTGCCCAATGTTAATGAAGCTAGTGCAGTGATCCTGGAGAGGGCAGGACCTGCAGGGCTGCAGTGACTATCATGGCCAGAAGAGGACAGTAGAGGGGTGCTGAACTGAGATAAGGGCTTCTCCAGAAGTCCTGTGGCAGAACCCATTCAACAGGGAACATTCAAAAGCTGGGAGGTTACAGGTGGCTCAGAGATGGCCAAGGACTTGAATAGTAAATTCAGATTTTACTATCACCTCTCCAGGAGGGTGGTAGGTTTCAGGGATCTGATGAGTGCCTAATATGGGTCTGGTGTTTTATAACTCCTGTTAGTTTTATCAGTGGTATTTTACAACTGGGGAGACTGAGGAGTGGAGGTTAGATAACATGTAAGAAGCAGAGCTTAGCTGGCATGGTGGCTCACACCTGTAGGGAGCTGAAGGCCTGTGGGATGTGACCAACTCAGCATTCCGCTGGAGGCTATATGACCAAACAGCAAACTGTTTATCATGAACGCAGGATGTGAGCAAACTCACACTGCCTTGCCACCAAAAGGTTTGCTGAGGGCCTCACTCCCTGGCACTGGGTTCCTTGAAGTTACCTATTGAGAAATCTAGTGCCTATTGTTCTAAGAATGCAGTCTTACAAGCCTGCTGTGAATCAAGCTGCTGGCGGACAATCACCCCCGACCCCCCACACACCTCACTATCTCTTTTGCTTAATAAATACAGAGGGCTGTGTAAAGTTCAGGGCACTTGTCCACTAGAGGCAAGGTGCCCCCTGACCCCTTCTTCCAAATATACTCTCTTGTCTTTGTCTTTTATTCCCGCGTTCGCCCCGCTTTGTTTAGTCCAATAGGTCCATGGCACACACATATAATCCCAGCACTTTAGGAGGCTGAGGCAGGAGGATTGCTTGAGCTCAGGAGGTCAAGACCAGCCTGGTCAACATGGCATAACCTCGTCTCCAAAATACACACACACACACACACACACACACACACACACACACTGCAGCCAGGCACAGTGGCACGTGCCTGTAGTCCCTGCTACTTGGGAGACTGAGGTGAGAGGATTGCTTGAGACTGGGAGGCAGAGGTTGCAGTCCAACCTGGGCAACAGGGTGAGAGGCCCTGTCTCAAAAAAAAAAAAAAAAAAAAGAGAGAAAAGCAAGTAATCCTGGCTGCTATGGTCTGAGAGTTTGTGTCTCCTCCAAAATTCCTATGTTGAAACAATCTCCAGTGTGTATTAGGTGTGGCCTTTGGGAGGTGATTAGGTCTTGGGATTCGTGCCCTTATCAAAGAGGCCCCAAAGTGCTGCCTTACCCCTTAAATGATTTGAGGACACAATGAGGAAGCACCATTCTATGAACCAGAAAGTGGGCCCTCAGCAGAAGCCAAACCTGCCAGTGCCTTGATCTTGGACTTCCCAGCCTCCAGAACTGTGATAAATAAATTCGTGTTATTTATAAGCTACCCAGTGTACAGAATGTTATGGTAGCCCGAACGAACTAAGACAGTGCCTGGCTCCATTGCTATAGCAAGTTCTGCATAAACAGCCTCTGCTTATTCTCATTTGGGTGGTCTTTTTATTTACACACTGCCAGTCTCTACTTGTCATAGATTATCCATCAGACCTCAAAATATATGAAAAAGGAAATATGATATTAGTAATTCAGTGAAACTTTCTCTAAGAGTCTATTTAAATTTGTTGCAACACAAAGATTCCATCGGGTTTCAGATAAAAACAGAAGATTAATTCATGTGAAGACAGTGCCCTTGACACTTACAGATGATTTAGCTCTCAAAATTTTGCTTGATCTATAGTTGGAAGGAATGGTCTGGCCTAGCAAAGGAAATACAAATAGAAGCAAGGCCCACAAAGGATCCTTTATGCATTCGTACATCATAAGTATCACCAGGCTCATCATGATCACCAGGCAGGACCATCAAAATGACTTTGCAGCTAAGAGGGTTTACCCACAAAGTTCTTCATTGGCCACTGAAACGTTATTTCTTCTGTCAAGCAATGCCCCAGAACACAGGTTTTCCCAAATACTGGAATGTTTTTAATCTTATCACTATCCCTCTTTTTACATTTATTTTAAGACAGGGTCTCACTCTGTCATCCAGGCTGGAGTGCAGTGGCACAATCATGGCTAACTGCAGGCTCGACCTCCCAGGCTCAAGCAATTCTCCCATCTCAACCTTCCGAGTAGCTGAGGCAGAGGCACTACCATACCCTGCTAACTTTAAAATTATTTTTGTAGAGACAGGGTCTCATTATGTTGCTCAGGCTGGTCTCGAACACTTGGTCTCAAGCAATCCTCCTGCCTCAGCCTCCCAAAGTGCTGGGATTATAACCATGAGTCACTGCATGCAGCTCTTTTTACTTTTATCCCATTTTACTTTCTACATCCTACCTTCAAAATTGCTTATCTAGTGATTATGCTCTTTAAAATTAAGCCTTGATAAGCACAAATAGATTTGTACACTTGCCAGATGACAGTATTCTTGTTTCATCACTCCATCTCTCTTCTAAACTCTGTTCTCTTTCCTTCTCCCAAGCTCCCTCTACCCCCACATCCCATCTTCCCAGATGATTCTGTCACTGGGACCTCTGGGCTGTACCTGTGCAAGGACTCACCTTCAATTCTCACCACTGCCCTAATCTGGAGAGTTCTGTGGCTATGTCTAACATGACATTATTGTGGGGATTGAGGATGAAGCTGATACGCCTCTGGAGAGACTGGACTGCTTGCTCATGAGTCAAGCATGTTAGATATGATGTGTTAACATCTCAGAAGCCCCCGCAGCCATCACTAGATTTTTCTGAGAAGGTAACAGTTGCTATTTTTAATGCTAAACTCAGTTCAGGAAGAAAATGTAAAATTATATTCAACTTCTGTTTAAGAAGACTAAAAAATGTGTAAAAGAGTTTAAAAAGCCTTCTCTGGAAAAATGTTTAAAATAAACTTTTTAAAAAAATTATAAAGAAGATTTAGTTATCTAGAAAATTCTCTTAGGTGAAAGGCAGAATTGGATAACACTACAAGAGTATTCAACCCCAAATAAGTATCAATGTTCAATTGAATGTTTGTGGCATAATTGGGGATAACTAAGTCACTTAGTTGACACGTTTTTTCTTCTTTTGATGTTACCAGCTATATAGTAAAATAGCAGGAAGTCCCATGTTACCAAAGCTCTAAGCTGTTGCTTACTAAGAAGGTCCATTGGTGATTCCTGTTCCACAAGCAAACGCAGCCCTTCAAGACTCCCTCGTAGCCATGTACTGACATGCTGCATTTTTTCATCTCTTTCACGCAGCTTGTCTGTTAGATTGTTTATGTCTTGCAAGGTCTCTTCACCATTGTCCACCAAGATCTAAAGAAATGGCATTTTAGGCTGTGTCAATATAAATTGCTACAACATAAATAAATACACATTCTAAGTGGATCATGTCCAAAAAAAAATATTATATATGCATAATTGGTATCAGTCATAAAAATAAGTGCTTGTGTACACAGCCAATTCACAAAGTTCTGTACATAATCTTGGAAAAATGGATTATGAAGTGAGAAGAATAATGGAATGCTCACTGAACTCAAATTTTTAAGTGGATAATGGTAGCCATGGTGGTGGCAGCATAAAAAGCTAGTTTCACCCTCAGAGAAGCACAGAGCTGAAGAGATTCAGCCTAACAGAAGGAACTTTGGAATCAGGCAGGATCTGGGTTGTAAATTCCCATACGTTCATGAACTGTTTGGTCTTGGACAAGTTACATAAACCCTCTGGGCCTCCGCAGCTCCATGTGAAAAAGACATTTTAACGCTTTCCTAGTCCAGTGTTTTAATACTTAAATGAGGATTATGTGTAAACTTTAAATACTTAGAAAGTGGCAGAGCCAGGATTTTGACCCCAGCCTATCTGACTCTGAAGTGGGGAGGGTGCAGATGTTGCACTGGTAAAACATGAAGAGGTAAGGAGTCCAGAACTGACAACTTTGTCCTGAACCAAAATGTGTTCATTTGGGGCATGCAAAAAACAGTCTTTCCCACCTTATCTGAGTGGTAGAGTGGGAAGACAGTTTCCCAAAGAATTAAGATTTCATAGTGATATTTGGTAAAAAAAAAAAAAAAAAAAGACACATTTTAGGAGGTGGTGGTCACAGTAGCATCTAGGACTGCAGGGGAGTGAGAGAGCTAGTGTGAATTTCCACCCTGATGCGTGCATGCAGGTGCACACAGACACAAAAGCACACACACTTATTAGGTAGGTAAACATTTTTGGAAATATGATATTTATATGGAGGCAACAGACACACGCAAAACTCACCTTAACTGTGGTCTGAAATTCAGCCCACAAATCCTTATATTGTGCTAAAATAAAGATTTAAAAAATACAATGGTTACTGACACAATCTGAACATTTTAATAAAAGTCGTGTTATTCATTTTTGTTTTTTCAAAAATTATTTTTATCTAAAAATGTCTAGTTCCAAAATGACAGAATAACTGAATTGGACCTGCCCTCCCACTGCAAACAAATAGAAGAAAGAAGCAAAACATATGAAAGAAATGTTTTCAGATGTTGAAGAATGGGCAGCCCAGGACTGTGACACCTGGAAGAGAAACAAAGGAGGTGGGTCCTGCAATCACCCAGCTTTCCACTGGGGGGCACTTTCCAGACCACAGCACTGGCACAGCAGGGTGGTCTTAACACAGACACAAAAAGATTAGCAAACTGAATCCAGCAATAGACAAGAACAATAAAAGCTTTTGAACAAGTGGGCTTTATGCTAAGAATGGGAGCTTGGTTTAAAAGTCAGACTCAATCAGTGCAACTTACCACACGAACAGCATAAAGGAGTAATACTAGCTGAGCATCTCAGTGGCTGTCTGAGCAGCTGAGGCCAGTCACAAAGGCACTCTGTGCCCGCATGACTGACCATCTTCCCGCCCCATAAGTACTCTGGACACTCAAGCCTGGGTGAGCCTCCCTGGTTGGCAACACTTTGTATGTGGAGTCACACGTTGTTGGGGAAATTAAGTGCATCCCTGAGAAGGTTGCTCCAGATTTCCTTCATACTTTGCCCTCTGTGCCTTTTCCCTTTGCTGATTTTACTCTATCTTTCACTGGAATAACAATAACCATAACAATTTTTGAGTCCTGTGAATCATTTTAGCTAATCATTAAGCCTAAGGGTAGTCCTGGGATACCTGATACTACACTACAGCTGCACAATTTTTTTGAGATAAAGACCTAAATAAATGGAGATAAATACTATATTCTTGGATTAGAAAATATAATTTCATTAAAAAGTCTATTCTTCCAACATTGACTTATAGATTCAACACAAACCCAATTAAGATCTCAGCAGGGGTGTGTGTGTGTGTGTGTGTGTGTGTGTGTGTGTGTGTGTGTAGATTAGGTGATTCTAAAATGTATATGGAAATCAAAGAATTTAGAATAGTGAAAATAATTTTAAAAGACAAGCATACAGGTGAAGAATTCTATTACCTGATGTTCAGACTGCATGTGAAGCTATAGTAATTAAGACAGTGTGATATTGGTATAAAGTTAGGCATTTAGAATAAAGGAACAACCACATAAAATTGATTTTTGAAAAGTTGCTAGGGTAATACAATGGCAAAAGCATAGTCTTTTCAAAAATAGTACTGGAACAACTGGATGTGTGTAAGAGAAAACAATGAAATTCAAGCATTGCTTCACATCATATAAAAAAGTTCACTTGAGGGGGGTGGAGCCAAGATGGCCGAATAGGAACAGCTCCAGTCTACAGCTCCCAACGTCAGCGACGCAGAAGACGGGTGATTTCTGCATTTCCAACTGAGGTACTGGGTTCATCTCACTGGGGAGTGTCAGAAAGTGGGTGCAGGACAGTGGGTGCAGTGCACCGAGTGTGAGCCAAAGCAGGGGGAGGCACTGCCTCACCTGGGAAGTGGAAGGGGTCAGGGAATTCCCTTTCCTAGTCAAAGAAAGGGGTGATGGATGGCACCTGGAAAATCAAGTCACTCCCACCCCAATATGGTGCTTTTCCAACTGTCTTAGCAAACGGCACAGCAAGAGATTATATCCCGTGCCTGGCTTGGAGGGTCCTATGCCCACGGAGCCTCACTCATTGCTAGCACAGCAGTCTGAGATCAAACTGCAAGGCAGCAGCGAGGCTGGGGGAGGGGTGCCTGCCATTGCTGAGGCTTGACTAGGTAAACAAAGCAGCCTGGAAGCTCAAACTGGGTAGAGCCCACCGCAGCTCAAGGAGGCCTGCCTGCCTCTGTAGACTCCACCTCTGGGGGCAGGGCATTGCCAAACAAAAGGCAGCAGAATCCTCTGCAGATTTAAATGTCCCTGTCTGACAGCTTTGAAGAGAGTAGAGGTTCTCCTAGCACGCAGCTGGAGATCTGAGAATGGACAGACTGCCTCCTCAAGCACGTCCTTGACCCCCGAGTAGCGTAACTGGGAGGCACCTCCTAGTAGGGGCAGACTGACACCTCACATGGCCGGGTACTCCTCTGAGACAAAACTTCCAGAGGCATGATCAGGCAGCAACATTTGATGTTCACCAATATCCGCTGTTCTGCAGCCTCCGCTGCTGATACCCAGGCAAACGGGGTCTGGAGTGGACCTCCAGCAAACTCCAACAGACCTGCAGCTGAAGGTCCTGACTGTTAGAAGGAAAACTAAAAAACAGAAAGGACATCCACACCAAAACCCCATCTGTACGTCACCATCATCAAAGACCAAAGGTAGATAAAACCACAAAGATGGGGAAAAAACAGAGCAGAAAAACTGGAAATTCTAAAAATCAGAGTGCCTCTCTTCCTCCAAAGGAACGCAGCTCCTCACCAGCAATGGAACAAAGTTGGACAGAGAATGACTTTGATGAGTTGAGAGAAGAAGGCTTCAGACGATCAAACTACTCAGAGCTAAAGGTGGAAGTTCAAACCCATGTCAAAGAAGTTAAAAACCTTGAAAAAAAATTAGACGAATGGCTAACTAGAATAACCAATGCGGAGAAGTCCTTAAAGGACCTGATGGAGCTGAAAAACAAGGCACGAGAACTACATGACAAATGCATAAGCCTCAGTAGCCGATTAGATCAACTGGAAGAAAGGCTATCAGTGATGGAAGATCAAATGAATGAAATGAAGCGAGAAGAGAAGTTTAGAGAAAAAAGAATAAAAAGAAATGAACAAAGCCTCCAAGAAATATGGGAGTATGTGAAAAGACCAAATCTACGTCTGATTGGTGTACCTGAAAGTGACAGGGAGAATGGAACCAAGTTGGAAAACACTCTGCAGGATATCATACAGGAGAACTTCCCCAATCTAGCAAGGCAGGCCAACATTCAAATTCAGGAAATACAGAGAATGCCACAAAGATACTCCTCCAGAAGAGCAACTCCAAGACACATAATTGTCAGATTCACCAAAGTTGAAATGAAGGAAAAAATGTTAAGGGCAGCCAGAGAGAAAGGTCGGGTTACCCACAAAGGGAAGCCCAGCAGACTAACAGCTGACCTCTCAGCAGAAACACTACAAGCCAGAAGAGAGTGGGGGCCAATATTCAACATTCTTAAAGAAAAGAATTTTCAACCCAGAATTTAATATCCAGCCAAACTAAGCTTCATAAATGAAGGAGAAATAAAATCCTTTATAGACAAGCAAATGATGAGAGATTTTGTCACCACCAGGCCTGCCCTACAAGAGCTCCTGAAGGAAGCACTAAACATGGAAAGGAACAACTGGTACCAGCCACTGAAAAAGCATGCCAAATTGTAAAGACCATTGAGGCTAGGAAGAAACTGCATCCACTAACAAGCAAAATAACCAGCTAACATCATAATGGCAGGATCAAATTCACACATAACAATATTAGCCTTAAATGTAAATGGGCTAAATGCTCCAATTAAAAGACACAGACTGGCAAATTGGATAAAGAGTTAAGACCCATCAGTGTGCTGTATTCAGGAGACCCATCTCACATGCAGAGACACATATAGGCTCAAAATAAAGGGATGGAGGAAGATCTACCAAACAAATGGAAAACAAAAAAAGGCAGGGGTTGCAATCCTAGTCTCTCATAAAACAGACTTTAAACCAACAAAGATCAAAAGAGACAAAGAAGGCCATTACATAATGGTAAAGGGATCAATTCAACAAGAAGAGCTAACTATCCTAAATATATATGCACCCAATACAGGAGCACCCAGATTCATAAAGCAAGTCCTTAGAGACCTGGAAAGAGACTTAGACTCCCACACAATAATAATGGGATACTTTAACACCCCACTGTCAACATTAGACAGATCAATGAGACAGAAAGTTAGCAAGAATATCCAGGAATTGAACTCAGCTCTGCACCAAGCAGACCTAACAGACATCTACAGAATTCTCCACGCCAAATCAACAGAATATACATTCTTCTCAGCACCACACCGCACTTATTCCAAAATTGACCACATAGTTGGAACTAAAGCACTCCTCAGCAAATGTAAAAGAACAGAAATTATAACAAACTGTCTCTCAGAACACAGTGCAATCAAACTAGAACTCAGGATTAAGAAACTCACTCAAAATCGCTCAACTACTTGGAAACTGAACAACCTGCTCCTGAATGACTACTGGGTACATAACGAAATGAAGGCAGAAATAAAGATGTTCTTTGAAACCAATGAGAACAAAGACACGACATACCAGAATCTCTGGGACACATTCAAAGCAGTATGTAGAGGGAAAATTATAGCACTAAATGCCCACAAGAGAAAGCAGGAAAGATCTAAAATTGACACCCTAACATCACAATTAAAAGAACTAGAGAAGCAAGAGCAAACACATTCAAAAGCTAGCAGAAGGTGAGAAATAACTAAGATCAGAGCAGAACTGAAGGAAATAGAGACTCAAAAAAACCTTCAAAAAAATCAATGAATCCAGGAGCTGGTTTTTTGAAAAGATCAACAAAATCGATAGATTGCTAGCAAGGCTAATAAAGAAGAAAAGAGAGAAGAATCAAATAGACGCAATAAAAAATGATAACTGGGATATCACCACCGATCCCACAGAAATACAAACTACCATCAGAGAATACTATAAACATCTCTATGCAAATAAGCTAGAAAATCTAGAATAAATGGATAAATTCCTCGACACATACACCCTCCGAAGACTAAACCAGGAAGAAGTTGAATCTCTGAATAGACCAATAACAGGCTCTGAAATTGAAGCAATAATTAATAGCTTACCAACCAAAAAAAGTCCAGGACCAGATGGATTCCCAGCCGAATTCTACCAGAGGTACAAGGAGGAGCTGGTACCATTCCTTCTGAAACTATTCCAATCAATAGAAAAAGAGGGAATCCTCCCTAACTCATTTTATGAGGCCAGCATCATCCTGATACCAAAGCCTAGCAGAGACACAACAAAAAAAGAGAATTTTAGACCAATATCCCTGATGAACATTGATGCAAAAATCCTCACTAAAATACTGGCAATCCGAATCCAGCAGCACATCAAAAAGCTTATCCACCATGATCAAGAGGGCTTCATCCCTGGGATGCAAGGCTGGTTCAACAGACACAAATCAATAAATGTAATCCAGCATACAAACAGAACCAAAGACAAAAACCATATGATTATCTCAACAGATGCAGAAAAGGCCTTTGACAAAATTCAACAGCCCTTCATGCTAAAAACTCTCAATAAATTCGGTATTGATGGGATGTATCTCAAAATAATAAGAGCTATCTATGACAAACCCACAGCCAATATCATACTGAATGGGCAAAAACTGGAAGCATTCCCTTGGAAAACTGGTACAAGACAGGGATGCCCTCTCTCACCACTCCTATTCAACATAGTGTTGGAAGTTCTGGCCAGGGCAATCAGGCAGGAGAAGGAAATAAAGGGTATTCAATTAGCAAAAGAGGAAATCCAATTGTCCCTGTTTGCAGATGACATTATTGTATATTTAGAAAACCCCATTGTCTCAGCCCAAAATCTCCTTAAGCTGATAGGCAACTTCAGCAAAGTCTCAGGATACAAAATCAATGTGCAAAAATCACAAGCATTCTTATACACCAATAACAGACAAACAGAGAGCCAAATCGTGAGTGAACTCCCATTCACAATTGCTTCAAAGAGAATAAAATGCCTAGGAATCCAACTTACAAGAGATGTGAAGGACCTCTTCAAGGAGAACTACAAACCACTGCTCAACGAAATAAAAGAGGATACAAACAAATGGAAGAACATTCCATGCTCACGGGTAGGAAGAATCAATATCGTGAAAACAGCCATACTGCCCAAGGTAATTTATAGATTCAATGCCATCCCCATCAAGCTACCAATGACTTTCTTCACAGAATTGGAAAAAACTACTTTAAAGTTCATATGGAACCAAAAAAGAGCCCGCATCGCCAAGTCAATCCTAAGCCAAAAGGACAAAGCTGGAGGCATCACGCTACCTGACTTCAAACTATACTACAAGGCTACAGTAACCAAGACAGCATGGTACTGGTACCAAAACAGAGATATAGAGCAATGGAACCGAACAGAGCCCTCAGAAATAATGCCGCATATCTACAACCATCTGATCTTTGACAAACCTGACAAAAACAAGAAATGGGGAAACGATTCCCTATTTAATAATTAGTGCTGGGAAAACTGGCTAGCCATATGGAGAAAGCTGAAACTGGATCCCTTCCTTACACCTTATACAAAAATTAATTCAAGATGGACTAAAGACTTAAATCTTAGACCTAAAACCATAAAAACCCTAGAAGAAAACCTAGGCAATACCATTCAGGACATAGGCATGGGCAAGGACTTCATGTCTAAAACACCAAAAGCAATGGCAACAAAAGCCAAAATTGACAAATGGGATCTAATGAAACTAAAGAGCTTCTGCACAGCAAAAGAAACTATCATCAGAGTGAACAGGCAACCTACAGAATGGGAGAAAATTTTTGCAATCTACTCATCTGACAAAGGGCTAATATCCAGAATCTACAATGAACTCAGACAAATTTACAAGAAAAAAACAAGCCCATCAACAAGTGGGCGAAGGATATGAACAGACATTTCTCAAAAGAAGACATTTATACAGCCAAAAGACACATGAAAAAATGCTCATCATCACTGGACATCAGAGAAATGCAAATCAAAACCACAATGAGATACCATCTCACACCAGTTAGAATGGCAATCATTAAAAAGTCAGGAAAAAACAGGTGCTGGAGAGGATATGGAGAAACAGGAACACTTTTACACTGTTGGTGGGACTGTAAACTAGTTCAACCATTGTGGAAGTCAGTGTGGTGATTCCTCAGGGATCTAGAACTAGAAATACCATTTGACCCAGCCATCCCATTACTGGGTATATACCCAAAGGATTATAAATCATGCTGCTATAAAGACACATGCACATGTATGTTTATTGTGGCACTATTCACAATAGCAAAGACTTGGAACCAACCCAAATGTCCAACAACAATAGACTGGATTAAGAATATGGGGCACATATACAGCATGGAATACTATGCAGCCATAAAAAATGATGAGTTCATGTCCTTTGTAGGGACATGGATGGAGCTGGAAACCATCATTCTCAGCAAACTATTGCAAGGACAAAAAACCAAACACCACATGTTCTCACTCATAGGTGGGAATTGAACAATGAGAACACTTGGACACAGGAAGGGGAACATCACATACCAGGGCCTGTTGTCGGTGGGTTATGAGGGAGGGATAGCATTTGGAGATATACCTAATGTTAAATGATGAGTTACAGGGTTCAGCACACTAACATGGCACATGTATACATATGTAACTAACCTGCACATTGTGCACATGTACCGTAAAACTTAAAGTATAGTAATAAAAAAAAAGTTCACTTGAAATGAATTAGAAATCTAGACATAAACACTGAAACTAAAAAAATTATACAAGAAAATATTGAAGAGCCTGGGGTAGGCACAAATGTTTTAGGCAGGAAACAAAAAGTACTACCTTAAAAGACAAAATCGATAGATGGGCTTCGTTCAAATGAAAAAATGTTTACTCTTTCTGAGACACCATGAAGAAAATGAAAAGTCAAGCTTCAGACAGAAAAAGGACTCATTTCCAGAAAACGTAAAGATTTTAACTGGATAATAGGAAAACAACACAAAGCAATGAGTAAAAGATTTGGACAGACATGTGACAGATTGTATTTTCCAAAGATATCCCCACAGTATATTCCATTCCACAAGTTTTTTTCCCTGACATGATGCTGACACTTCTTCCATTGAGAGGTGGTGGCTATGACCCCTCCCCTTGCACCTGAGTGACTGCCTCAACCATTAGCGTATTGTGAAAATAACACTGTGACTGAAGCTAGGTCATAAGACGCCATGAACTTCCACTTCGTTCTCTTGGGATGCTTTTGGAACCCAGCAGGCCAAACTGCTACATGGAGAGGCCATGAGGAGGTGTTCTGGCCAATGGCCTCCCTCGAGATCCAGCTGAGGGCCAGCATCAACTTCAGACACAGGAATGAGTGAGTCTTCAGATGATTTCAGTTCCCGGCTGTTGAATTACCCTCAGCCTTCAAGTTGCCCTGGCTGATGCCATGCAGAGCAGACATTTAGTTGTCTTCAACGAGCTCTGATCAAATTGCCATTTTGTGAGCAAAGTAAATAATTTGTCTTCAGCTACCATGTTTGCAATATTTGTCACAAAAGATAATATTCAAATGGCCAAGAAACACATGAAAAAGTATACTCAACAACATTACTCATTAGAGAAGTACAAGTTACAATCACAATGAAATGCCATTACATACCTATTAAAATGACCAAAATATTAACAATTTAAAGCGTTTTCACCATTTTAAGTGTTGATGAGGATGTAGAGCAATGGGAACTCTTCTCCATTGTTAGTGGGATGAGACACTTAACAACCACTCTGGCAAATTTGTCTGGCGGTTTCTTATAAAGTTAATCATACACTAACCATATATATTTCCTATAAAGTTAATCATACACTAATTGCTATATAATTCAGCAATTCCATTATAGGTATTTACCCAAGAGAAATGAAAACATGGCCATAAAAACACTTGTAAACAAATGTTCACAATAGCTTCATTCATAATTATCCCAAACTGGAAATAATCTAAATGTCTTTCGACTGGTGAATGAATAAATAAAATATGGTATATCTATACAATGGGATTCTACT
Organism: Homo sapiens; assembly: GCF_000001405.40. Lineage (NCBI taxonomy): Eukaryota > Metazoa > Chordata > Mammalia > Primates > Hominidae > Homo > Homo sapiens. The sequence goes on from NC_000014.9 coordinate 59,520,662, forward strand.
GTACAGCTATAAAAAGGAGCAAACTAGTGAGACATGCAACAACTTAGATGAATCTTAAAACAATTTGCTGAGTGAAAGAAGCCAGGTATAAAAGTGTGCACCCTGTCATTTCATTTATATCTCATTATTAATGACAGAAAGCAGATCAATGGTTTCCAGGAACTAGAGATGGGGTAGGTGATCGACGGCAAAGGGATACAGAGAAAATTTTGTAGTCATGAAAATGCTCTATATCTTGCTTGTGGTGATAGTGGTTACAATAGCATGTACATTTGTCAAATTCACTAACCTGAAAATGGGTGCATTTTTTGTATGCAAATCAATAAACTGGATTTAAATGAAGTAAAAACTTTATATGTAAAGAACACTGTAATGGTTAATATTGTCAACTTGACTGGATTGAAAGATGCAAAGTACTGTTCCTGGGTATGTCTATGAGGGTGTTAACCAAAGGAGATTCACATTTGAGTCTGTGGATTGGGAGAGGCAAACCCACTCTCAATCTGGGTGGGAACCGTCTAATCAGCTGCCAGCGTGGCTAGACTGGCTGAGTCTTCCAAGATTCCTCTTTCTCCTGTGCTAGATGCTTCCTGCCCTCGAACATTGGACTCCAAGTTCTTCAGCTTTTGGACTCTTGGATTTACACCAGTGGTTTGGCAGGGGCTCTTGGGCCTTTGGCCACAGACTGAAGGCTGCACTGTTGGCTTCCCTACTTGTGAGGCTTTGGGACTCTGACGGATCCACCACTGGATTCCTTGCTCCTCAACTTGCAGAAGACCTATCATGGGACTTTACCTTGTGATCATGTGAGTCAGTTCTCCTTAATAAGCTCCCTTTCATATATACATATATCCTATTAGTTCTGTCCCGCTAAAGAACCCTGACTAATACAAGCACCCACACATTACTTACCCTCCTGAGCTATTAGTTGCCGAGACAAGTCGCTTGAGGTGTGCATGAGGGCTTCTTGTCCTTCTCTGTATTTCTCTATGTTATTCTTCAAGTATAAAATATACTGAAAATTAAAAGCATGTGATTGCTTTTAGCAGTTTAGTTACTATAGATAAATTATCATGTAGTCATTCAGCAAACATGTATAAATTCCTCCTCTGCGCCACCCACTATTCTAGGTACAGGGGTAACAGTGGGGAATAAAACATACCTTGGTCAGGATTCCATCCTGGGAAAGGAGATAAAGGATTCTGCTTCCTATGAAGCATTTCACTTCAGCATTTAAATAAACATGGCATTCTGAGTATAATTTTCCACCAAAAGAAATTAGAAGGTGTTCTGTCTGAATGCAATATGTCCACAACAAAAATGTTCCTTATGCAAAATGTGTGTACAGTAGATGTCACAAAGCAGTAATGCTGCCAGACTGGCATTCAGTGTAAGACCTCAGAGAGATGATTAATTGAGTCAGGAGACTGCATGGAATTACTTACTCAAGTCAGATGTTCACTGGGTTGGGTGCCAGTGGTGGCAGTAGTGACAGGTGACTTTGAGTATTACAGTCATGGCTTTCTGTTCTGACCACCCAATGCCCAGAAACTCTAAAGTCCCAGGAACTCTGGAAATATGGGCTTTGGGACATAAAACTGGTCCAGTTTCAAGAAAGAAACAAATACTATAAACTATCCATAAAAATCTTTGAAATTGTGTTCAGTGCTACAGATGAGGTAGACATGGGACTGTTACGTAGACTGTTTCTAAGCGTGTATTATAGGGTCTACTCATGTATCTTTGATGTTGTGTCAGCCTTTTCATAGCTTGTTTTCTGATATTATAGTAAACAAAAGTAAAAGCCACCTTAAGCCAACCGCAAGGCCACATTCTTGCCCCTCTTTGACCATGGGTCTGCAGACTTTCCTAGTTCAGCTGGACTCTTGTGCTTCTCCCAAACTCTCTATTTTCTTTCAGTCTCTCTTTTTATCTCCTCTCCACAGCTCACTCCTTCAAAGTTGTTTTTCTCCAGGATTCTGTTCACAGCCCCTAATCTTCTCACTTAACACACTGTCCCTGAAGAGACTCATCCATCTCCCAGGTGTAAATCCTGCCTCTACATTAATGATACACAGTGAGAGTTCTCCTTTGTGTTCTTCACCTGGTGTGGCAAGGTTCCCTTGCTCTGGGGCACTGTATGTGTCTTGTTCAGATTGTTGCACTTAACATACTGAATTGTAATGATCTGTTTCTATGTGCATCTCTTCAGCTAGACCATGAGCTTCCAAAGGGCTGCGGCAGTATCTTACTTATCTCTGTATTTACTGTGTCTTGCCCAGTGCTTGGGACTCAGTGCATGTTTAGAGTAAAGAGATGCAACCAGCAAAACTGAGTGGTGAGTGAATAAGAAAACAGCACAGAGTCATTCGGTGACTAGCAGATGGACACTGAATTTAAAAAAAACAGGACTTTCATAATCAGTCTTTCATCCACACATCCATCTGCTCACCTACTGCCAAAATAGCAATACATATTCCAATTCTTTTAAGAAATAATCTATATCTTGATAGGAAGACAGTCTAGTGGAACAAATCAGTTTGTCTCAAGGTCTAGAAGAATGAAGGTGCATTGCATGTGTGAGGGTTATCAATGATGGTATGTATCTAGGCTCTTTGGAGCACAATTACCTTTTCAAAGTACATTAGTACCTATTATGCCATTTTAGTTTATAAAAAAACCCATGAGAGTGGTGGGATAACTATTGCCATTTAACAGATGAAAAAAATTACCCAGCGAGGTGAAGGATTTTCTTCATGCCATTGGACTAGTCACTGATTTTTTTCTAGCTATTAAAACTTCTAAAAAAAATACAGCTTCAATTTACACATCTATAAAAGGGACACAATGTATTATCCACTTTTTAAGGTTACAGTCTTAAACGTCAAATGAGACTGAATCCCTCTAACATTACAGGCATTGTGCAAAACACTTGGGGTACATTGATAACAGATCTTGACCATGAGGTCATTATGGATGGCTGGAAAAAAAGGATTTTAGAAATGGTATTTCTTTTGCCTTTTCAGTTTATAAAGAAGTCACATTCAGCCGGGCGCGGTGGCTCAAGCCTGTAATCCTAGCACTATGGGAGGCCGAGGCGGGCGGATCACAAGGTCAGGAGATCGAGACCATCCTGGCTAACACGGTGAAACCCCGTCTCTACTAAAAATACAAAAAATTAGCCGGGCATGGTGGCGGGCACCTGTAGTCCCAGCTACTCGGGAGGCTGAGGCAGGAGAATGGCGTGAACCTGGGAGGCGGAGCTTGCAGTGAGCCGAGATCGTGCCACTGCACTCCAGCCTGGGCGACAGAGCAAGACTCCGTCTCAAAAAAGAAAAAAGAAAAAAAAAAAGTCACATTCAACCTGTGAGTAGCAGTTATTCCCATTTTAAGAGGCCAAAATGAAGCTTACAAGTTCAGTGATCTGCCCAAAGTCACACAGTGTCACTGGTGAATGACAGACTCTAATCCAGGTCTTTCAAACTAAAGAATATTATGTAAATTTTTGTTGTTACTGTTTTGTCACAGTATATAAAATGTTGGACTCTATACACTTTAAAAATATGCTTTGAATGCAACAGTTCTGGGCATTAAAAATCAGTATCTTATAAATATCTAATTATTAAATATAACATTTAAAATGTTAAAACGAATACATTTTAAGTATAAATAGACTTTAATTTTAGGGGTTGGATGAACAAATTCCTCTGCTATAAAAAGAGCTATAATCAGTATGAAATAGACAACCTACTTTTTAAAAAACGGGCAAAAGACTTGAACAGTCACTTCACAAAAAAAGGATATCCAAGAGGCCAGCAACATAGAATAGGTGCTTCAACAGTGATCAGGAAAACACAAATTAGTGGGGCACCACTACACACCCATTAGAATGGTTAAATTGAAAAAGACAGTTTTGTGAGAGTGTGGAGCAACTGGTGCTCTCATGCATTGCTGGTGGGAGTGGCAATTGGTGCAACTCCTTTGGGAGACTGGTAGTATGTACTAAAGTTGGAGATACACATCCCTATGGCTCTGCAATTCCACTTGAGATGTACACTCAACAGAAATATGTATGTATGTTCACCAAAAAAACATGAACTAGAATGTTCACAGCAATACTATTTGTAATAGCCAAAAACTAGAAACTCTCTGAATATCCATCAATAGTCGAGTGTATAAATGCATTGTAGTAGTAGTCATACAGTGCAATACTATACAGAACTAAGAATAACAAACTACACTCAACAATAAGGCTGAACCTCACAAACATAATGTTGAGCAAAAGAACCTACACTGTATTGTTCTATACCTATAATGTTCCAAACCAGGGAAAACTAGCCTATGGTGTTAGCATGGTGGTACCCTTAGTGGGGCTGGTTAGTGACTAGAAGGGGCATAGAGGATATCTGGATACTGATAATGCTTTGTTTCTTGATGTGGGTCCTGGTACACAAGTGTGTTCATGGGGCTGTACACTTGCAATCTGGGCACTTTTCTGTGTGTACTTTATGCTCCATTAAACATTTTTCAAGAGCTATTCTCTTCTTTTCTCTTATAACTATTACAGGTCTAGTCAATTAATCAAAGCCATCATGAAAAGGATGGTGCTCTTAAACTTACTTCTTTTAATTTTTTATTTTCCAGGAGCAGAAGATCTGCTTTTTGGTCATTTATATAGAATCCATTTTCTAAGTTCTTTAGAGTTTCAAAATGATCTTTGTTTTTTTTGCTTTCTTGATCTCGTAATTGTTGTAATTCTTGTTTTACATCTTCCTGCTCAAACAGAAAACCCCAAATTATCTCTGAGTTCAAACAGTAGGGCACGAGGGTATTATACTGCCTAGGTCACATTTGGAGCCAGATTCTAAATTAATTTCTGAAGTATCCAGCAGAGGATAGATATTCTTCCTTAGAAAAACCTATCAACCCCACATTTATTCATGGACTCTAGGAAGGGGGTCTGTGGACTTCAAGATAAGAACCCCAGACCTTGAGACAACTTCACAAAATAAAATATACAGTCAGCCCTCTGTATCCGTGGGTTCCGCATTTGTGGATTTGACTAAACATGAATAGAATACATTCACAAAAATAAAAATAATAACAACAACAAATAATACAAATAATAAACAATACAGTATGACAACTACTAACATAGCATTTACATTATATTAGATATTATCAGTAATCTAGAAATAATTTAAAGTATATTGGAGAATGTGGGTAGGTTATATGCAAATACTACATCATGTCATACAAGGGATTTGAGCATCCGTGGATTTTGATAGTCATGTTGGTCCTGGAACCAATCCCCCATAGATATCAAGGGATGACTGTACTTTGATATATAAACAATTGTCCAGCAAAAATAGAGAAGGGGAAATGTATTGAGGCTTTTAAAGGAGGACTTAATGTTTCTTGAAGAAAGAAGAAGATTATGAATTTTTTCAGAATTCTCTAATGTTTTCTCTATTGAATTCTCTATTCAGTTCTCTATTATTATACTATTATAAGTTGCATGATATTTATTATTACATAATCATCACCAGAAGCATCTTATTAAGAAAATGGAACTGTATATACACTATACTTGTAATTTTCTCCTTCATATTTTCCTATATATTCCTTCATATTTTATAACGTATTAAAAGTTACATTTTGAAGCCTGGTGCAGTAGCTCACACCTATAATCCCGGCACTTTGGGAGGCCGAGGCAGGCGGATCACTTGAGATCAAGAGTTCGAAACCAGCCTGGCCAACATGGTGAAACCTCATCTCTACTAAAAAATACAAAAATTAGCCAGAAATCGCTTGAACCTGGGAGGCTGAGGTTGCAGTAAGCCGAGATTGTGCCACTGCACTCGAGCCTGGGCAACAGAGTGAGACTCCATCTCAAAAAAAAAAAAAAGTTACATTTTGATATCAATGCATCTCAGAGAATGTTTCCATTTTTAATTAACCAATTCCACATGCATATGCTTATCACCAACTGTTGATTGTAAATTTTAAAAAGGCACTAAACATCTCTTTACCTGCTGCTAATTCATCCACTCCCCCACTGCAACCTTTGTTCACTCACCCTTAAAAAGCAGAATCAAGTTTCTAACTTATAAATAAGAAAACCGAGGTCCACTCAATGACTGTTCCACAAGTACATGTTAGTTGGTTCTAGTCTCTCTCCCTCTTTCTCTGTATACATATACACATAAGTATACATATATACACATACATACATAGCATATGTGTACAGGTGTATGTGTATACATGTGCATATATATGTGTTATAACAAAGATTGTTAAACATTGATATTGAATGGGTAAGTTTAACAAATGTGGATTTCATGAAAACTTCAATGCCAGGTAAATACTACCATCTGTATATACCACTATTCTAATAATAATAAAAAAAAGAATTAATGCATTGATCTTTTACCATGTTGCTAATGTATCTTGAAAAGTCCCTTGTAAACAGAAAAATGTGATTGTTCAGTAAATCTTCCTCCTGTCTTTGTGCTATTAAAACAAAGAAAAAAATAACTACCTCAAAAATTTAGTTAAAAAATATTAATCAAAGAAGTACCTAGTTTTAAAAATCAAATTATCTCACAAGGTTTATAACAAAAACCAACTGTCAGGCACTCCACAATGCTATGTTTACTCCTGTCTGACTCCTCAGAATCAAACATTTTTAACTCTTTTTAGTTGTTTCCTCTTCCATTTAGCTCAATTTTCTTTAAAAATATGCATATATGCCTATTTTCTGATTTATCATTTTCAGGCATTTTCCATTTACTTAGTCCCATTCCCACATCCTTCTCCCACACCTACAACCTCTATATTTCATCCCTAACCTTCCTATAAAGTTATAGTTTTTGTTTAAATAAATTGTAACCATTTAGATCATTATGGCAATAAGGATTATCCCCGATGAGCCAAATGGTATAATATGATTAGATTTTCTTTTTAGTATAATTTTTGTTTTTTCTTGGAGTTAAAGATTGCTTTGTTTAAAAAATTGCTCAGTGTTTCATGTACATATAATTAATTCATACCAAATCTACAACAGAACTGTACAACCTTTCAAATTTTATTTCACATATAGTCAAACACATTAACATATCTGTGAGTTTCATTTCTCCCCTCTCCCTCAGAACCTCCCTCTGAGATATGCCTTCTGGAATCTTTTCTTTCTTTGTGCTTGCTTTGCAGCTGACTTCTTTGGACTTCCTTTTGCATTTTTCTTTTTCTTTTTTTAAAGGTTTTATTCAACCAGAACCCTTTGTATTATTCTTATGTCGGACCTCCTGTTTCCTAAATTTCTTATACTCTTTTTCTTGATTCATTTATTCTATTTGTTGAAGCAAATTCTAGACATCTTCAGGAAAAAGAGTAAATGGGATAAATGTTTTGAGATCTTGTATATCTCAATATGTTTCTATTCTATATTCTTGATAGTTTAGCTGGGTATCTAATGTTGGAAATTATTTTCTCTCAAATTTTGAAGGCATTGTCTTATAACTTCTACTATAATATTGCTGTTAAGAAGTTTGAAATGATTCTGATTTCTAATATTTTGTGTGAGATCTGATTTTTCTCTCTAGGAGCTTTTAGGATCCTCTCTTTCCATTTTTCCTTCTGAAATTCCACACTAATATGGCTTAGTCTTTTCTTTTAAATATTGTTTTGGGGATTTGCTTGGACATTTAAAAATGGAAATCTATATTCTCTAGTTATAAGAAATATTTTTGTATTATTTCTTTGATAATTTTATTAGTTCTTTAAAAACATGAATATATGGCTATATCTTGATTTATCATTGTCAGGCAGTTTCTACTTACTTCGTCATATATAGTAGAGGAGATTTTAGCATGCTTACTCCCATTCCCACATCCCCCACCCACACCCACAACCTCTACATTTCATCCCTAACCTTCCTATAAAGTTATAGTTTTCGTTTAAATAAATTTTAACTCTTTAGATCATTATAATAATGTAAGCATTATTCACTGATTTTTTTCTGGTCTTGTTTGGTAGATATTTGGCATCTCAGAATAGTTTTTAAATTTTCTTGCCTTTCTCTCCTTTTCCTCATCTCTTTTTGTTGTTGTTGCTCTATTTTTACAGAGATTTTCTTAACTTTTCTTATAATTTTCCTATTGAATTTTAACATTTGTTATTATACTTTTAATTTCTGAGAGCTCTTTCTGTTCTCTAATCTTTAAGCATCATTTTCTTTTTTCAAAAATGCAATATATTTATTTCTCTAAGAATATACTCTTTAAAAGTATGCTTATGCTCTTTGCATTTTCTCTGTTTCCATCAAGTTCTCTTGTTCTGTCCATTTCAGTTTCTCTTTCACACTGGATGCTTCAGATCTTTGTCTGATCCCATTTAATAGTCCTGGGTGAGCTTCAATATACAGTGATCAGGAAGGAACCAGCCATTTGAGGGGACCATCGAATGTCGGTGCTGTTGTGGGGCTTTTCTCTGAATTGTTCAGTTTCCTTTAAGGAAGAATATGTTAGTCTCCTTCCTCAGGTTGGGGTAAGGGATTATGGAAGAGTTCACAACACCACTGGCTGGCAGCATTCAGCAAACTGAGCTCAGAGGGGATCTCAGTGGGGATCTCAGTACAGTACCTGTCTTCTGCTCTCAGCCATATCTGATGCCTTGCGGTCTGAAGCCATCTGGTCCAGTTTCTTTTGCCAGCATTGAGGAGGAGGAGTCACTCAGCTAACTGCACAAGAAGGGGATTTGACCTGGAGCTCTAATTGCTCTTTATAAAGACTTTCAACCAACCTTTAGCCCTGTGACTCATCTCAGCTGTCATAGTTTCAGGGGATGCCACTGCCTATGACTTTACAGCTTTGGGGGAAAGAACTTTTTGCCTTCATCGTGCCCTTTTTGGCAGGCTTTTGGTGTTTATATTTCTCTTTCTGCCTCTATCCAATTACATCTTCCCAAAATTTGTTGATATTATCAGGTAATAAATAAATAATAAATCAGCAGATAGCAAATGTCTTATCTCTTCCAGTGTCTTGGTACTTATGGATTTGTATCTTTTTCAGAAAAAAAAACCTTTATATACATATTTGGGAGTTTTATGAGGGAACAAAGATATATGTACATGCTTTATCCATCAGATTTAACTAAAAGCTTTCTGTGTATGGAGCCCATGCATGCCATTCTCTGCAAGCGTAACTGCTGGCAGGTCAACTTTCCCACTCTTATGTTCCTTTTACTTCTTTTCTCCTGTCTTCCTCTCTTTTATCTACTTTCTTCAGCATTTTCTCCCCTTTGTTTACATTAAGAGATTTAGTACTTGCAATGTTTTTGCTTACTTTTATACTCCTACTGTTTCTTACATCCTCTACCTAGTAAACAAAGGGATAGGAAGAATGGCTGGGAAAGTAGAAAATTGGGACTAGGCTGGGTGTGGTGGCTCATGCCTATAATCCCAGCACTTTGGGAGGCTGAGGTGGACCTCATGAGGCCAGGAGTTCACGACCACCCTGACCAACATGGTGAAACCCCATCTCTACTAAAAATACAAAAATTGGCCAGGCATGGTGGCGCACACCTGTAATCCCAGCTACTCAGGAGGCTGAGGCAGGAGAATCGCTTGAACCCAGGAGGTGGAGGTTGCAGTGAGCAGAGATTGTACCATTGCACTCCAGCCTGGACAACAGAGTGAGACTCCATCTCAAAAAAAGAAAGAAAGAAAGCAAAAAAGAAAGAGACAGAGAGAGAGAGAAAGAAAGAAAAGGAAAGGAAAGGAAGGGAAGGGGAGGGGAGAGGAGGGGAGGGGAGGGGAGGGAAGGGAAAAGAAAAGAAAATTGGGAATAAGAGACATATGTATTGTAAGTCTGGGTAAAAGTGATAAGAGGCCAAGAAAACCTACTTAAGTTGACTAAATGAAAACCTGACAAGAAAGTGGAAAATCATCTGAGGAGTGGGTACCAGGCCAATTACCCATGTATTATTATTATAACATTCTTACATTTTTAAAAATCCACCCTCCTTGGCAATAATCACTATTCACTTCTGAATATTTTTTTATTCTACATTTGAACATATTGGGGTTCCATATGAATGTCCCATTTTGACACAGGCGATTTTAATTCCTATCCCCATATTTGTCTTTGCTAACCAGTAGACAATTTTTGTTCCCATTGTAGTCCTTTCTGTAACTTTTGGTCCTGGCCTTCTGATTCCCATGTCTCTTCTTTCATCATCTAGAAGATACAAATTCTGGAAGTTGTTCCTGCTTAAAGACCTGGGCGGATTCCTTAGATAATGACCCTCTACTCACCAAATGCAATACAAGACTCAAAACCCAAAAAGATGATTCTGGGCCAGGCACAGCACTTTGGGAGGCCAAGGCAGAAGGATCTCCTAAGCCCAGGAGTTTGAGATTAGCCTGGGCAACATAGTGAGACCCTGTGTGTTTTTGGTTTTGTTTAAAAAAAAAAAAAGATTCTGGATATATAAACTTTGGACCTTGGGCACAGGGTTGAATGATTACATCCAATTTTTTGTGGAGAAAATAATTATTTTTATATTAAACATGCATGATTATACCATGTAATATAATTTAAAATATGCATACTTTCGGACATATTTCACGTCCTCTACTAACTCTCAGATCTGAGACAAGCTCTTACCTATCTGTGCCTCAGGAGGAAGTTAGTGAAAAAAAAAATCTGAGGAGTGCTTACTCAATAAATGGTTAAAATCATAGCAGGAAAAGAGATATAATTTGCAAATTCACGGTAAGAAAATACAAAAAAAATTCCACATGGTAGCAAACAAATGAGTTAGTTCTACCTTTCCCAAGTATGGAGAGAAAGAAAATAATATGGTAAAGGACTAAGTCTTAAATAGTTTTTAAAAGAGAAAAGGAAAATTTTGACAATAGCAATGGTAAGATGGTAGTGTGGAGGAGAAATTAGTAGGTGAAGCAAAAACTAGAGAACAGAGGGCTAAAGGTAATGGGGAAAGTTTGGTGAGTTTCACCATTGGCTTGTAACTGATGACCTCCTTGTGTTAGAAGATGACAGTGAAATCCTTACCTGGGATTGAGTTTAATTACTAAATGCTTCATATGTACCTGTAATAATATTACTGAGCTCTTCTAACTTTCTTCTTTTCTCTTTATACTCTTGTTCTGCCACCTGAAGTTGTGGAAGATACTCAACTAGTTCTTCTTCCTTTTCTTTGTTAATTTGTGTTTCCTTAACAAATATTTCCTTTAAAGAAAATAAAATCAATTGAGAAATATAATTTTGGATAATTCACACAACAATTTAAAGTAGAATATAAGTTTTTTGAGGGAAAGAGTTTCATCTGTCTTGGTCTCCTATCCTGAGGTACATAGAAAGACATATGGCATATACTAATCTTTTAATAAATATTTGTTCCCTGACTCACTGACACTCTGACAATCCACAAAGTAAGGAGATTAGATTCAATTGGTTCTCTAAAGATCCCTTCTGCTTTAAACCTCTTCTGCTATATCTCTATGAACACTACCATGTATACAGCCCAAAAACATATCTGAGAAAATTTCCTTCAGTAATATTTTACCAAAAAGAGGCAGATAAACAGAATACACTTCTAAGAAATGTTGGATGTGAGAAATGGGAAAAAGATAGAAGTAATTGGATATAATGTTAAAATAAATGAGTAAAAAGTGCCCAAAGCAAAACATGAAGATGCCTGCCTACTTATTCAAACTCAAGTTTTGTTTAGTTTCAAATGGAATAATAGTTGGACCTTTCTTAGCAAATCAGGATGGATTTTAAATGGTGACTAAGGCAGAGACCACCAGCTGACATTTAATGTTTGTTCTCTTCTCCTTCAATATTAGGGCTCCTGAGTTTCAGCTGAGCACATGGCTTCTGGCTAGAGTGTGGTTTCTGGCCTTCCCTTGTGGGTGGGTGTGACCAAGGAGTTTGTGCATGGAAGTCATGTGTGCCACTTCTGGGCTCTGCTCCTGCAACAGGAACAGCTGTGTGCTCCCCTGTTCCTTTCCTCCCTCCCCTGGCCAGAGGAGAATGAGAATGGAAGCTACTCCTTGACGCACAGATGTTAGGCTCATGCTGAGGATGGCAGAGCCACCCTGCCAGCCCTGGACCCCTTCCCTATGGCCTGGACTGGGAAAGAGAAACAAACATCTCTCTTGCTGTAATGACCCCTTTGAGCATCTTCCCGACTAGATGTTCAGACTCACAAAATTTGATTAGGCTACACTTGTCCCAGTTTACTCTTAAAAACTTTTAGTTTTGGTTTTCATTTTTATCCAAGTTGTATGCACACATAATTGGAAGGAAATGCTAAGTTTTAGCAGGGCAGTGCCAGGCATGCTTCCTTATTGGGAGGTGTCTGCACAAGACAGCAGACCAGTGGCTGTTTCCTTCAAGCCCACCAAAGTGATACTTCAGATGCAAGAGAGACAGAGAGACTCACACAGGTGGGGTTATAGTCTCCCTGGCTTAGAAACCCCATGTTCATATAGGAACTAATATCTCTTGGACGTATCTTCCAGATTTCAAAGGGCATACCCACTTAAGAGAGCCACCAAACCCAGGGAAGCCCAATGCCACAGTTTCCCATGGGTTATTTTTCCAGTCAAGATGCAGCATACAAATCAGGAGTCATTGTTATACAAGCAATGTTGCTTCATAATATAGCTGATATTCTACCTTCATCAGGCTATTAGGGGAAGGAGCCAGAAAGTGGTTAACCCAGGGCCAGTTTCCCAATGAAAAAGGAAAGAGGGTTGTTAACCCTTTTCACATCTTGCTTATGTTCACTGTGTTTTAGCATATCTTTGATAGAGTAGTTTTCTTGCACCTTAACTAATACACCGATATGCTGGCTGATATGTCTCCTCCCAAATTGCCATTAGCATCCTTATGAATAAATACAAAGAAGCTAAAATGCATAGAAAAATACCATAATTCAAAAATATCATAATGCAGAAGCAGGAGTACATTTCTCCAGACTGCAACATTTAAGCAGGTTGAGTTAAGAAACTCAATCCAGCCAGGCATGGTGGCTCACACCTGGAATCCCAGCACTTTGGGAGGCAGAGGCGGGCAGATCACAAGGTCAGGAGATCGAGACTATCCTGGCTAACATGGTGAAACCCCGTCTCTACTAAAAATACAAAAAAATTAGCCAGGCCTGGTGGCATGCACCTGTAGTCCCAGCTACTTGGGAGGCTGAGGCAGGAGAATCGCTTGAACCCGGGAGGCGGAGGTTGCAGTGAGCCTAGATCGCGCCACTGCACTCCAGCCTGGGCAACAGGGTGAGACCCCTTTTAAAAAAAAAAAAAAAAAAAGAAACGCAATCCTGTATTATCCATACTAGGTTTTTTAAACAAGAATAGCCTGTAAATACAAGTTTGTATGTGCATGCATTAATTCATTCCATTGCCTGTATGCAGCTCAGGTTCCCAGGGCTGCTGTGATAAGAAGCCATTCTCTTGTTCCGTTCTCTGAAAGAGACTGTGGGGTACTAGGTTCAGTGTAGCAAGTTGCTTGCCTGTGGGCTCAGGTTGTTGGAGTGGGGCAGCCAGTCAGGTTCACACGGTCTTCAGATCCTTCTAGATCCTTTCTCATTGTCTCTGATTCCTAAGCCACATGCATATTTATAGATCAGTGATGACAGGCTCCAGTTTCTGATCCAGGTCCCCCATCTCCCTGAAGGTGGAGCGTTGGAAAAGAGAGACCAATGCAGATTCCAGTCCACCCTCGCTCATCCTGTGAGTTCTAGTTTGTTTTTGCTTCCATTCACTTCCTGTTGGTCTTTCCATCCCAAGTACCTGCCCTGCTGACTTCAGGCCCCAGCACCAGATGTAAAGCTGACAGCCTCACCAGACTGTGTAACTAGATATCACAGTTGCAGAAGGTCAAGTCCTATAATAAACCCTTTTCCTGGCAGCTCTGCTTCTCTGATCAAATTCTGCCATATACGGGGCTGTAGGACCCAGAAAAGTGAATGGTCCTTGGCCTGGGCTTGTCCATGCTTTATCAGGATGATGTGAAAAATCTGTGGCAAGCTCTGATAGAAGATTTACAACGGAGGGTCCGGTATCAGAGTCAGGCCTATGGAAAAGTCAGCCACAGCACTGCCCTGTCGACAACACATCCCAACACTGGGATGTTTATATTATGAACCAGTGACTAATCTAATTAATATTCAGGGCTGTTTTCCTTAGAATGTATGGGTCAGAGACCCAAATGGTAGTGGGACTTCTCACTATTAAACCTAATGATTTTGCTTTTCCTCCGTGTGACTTTGGGTTCTGTTGATTTAGAGATACTAGTGGGGAGAAAAATGGTTCCACCAGGGGCACAACAATAGTTTCATAAACCACAATGTGAGGTTGCTTCCTTCTAATTTTGGGCTCCTCATGCCACTGAATCAAAGGCAGAAATGGGATTACAATGTGCCTGAGGTTATTGGTGCTGATTATCGAGGGGAAATTGGGTTATTGCTATATAATAATGGTGCACAGGCTGTCATTGGCCCATCCCTTTGTGTGAATTAGGCATGGGTGGACACAGTCCTGCAGTGGGCACACAGCCTGGCAAGCCGAGTGCAGGCTGGAGGCTTGTGTGTAGTGGTTTTGCAGTTGATTTTCTTGAGTTTTGCGATCTACTGATCATCTCATCTGCCAAGTCTTATGCTTCTATTTTATGTATCTTGCCTAATTGCACTGTATAAACTTGAGTAAAAAGTTAAATAGGATCCTTATTCCTTATCCTGTTCATGACTCAAAGGGGATTGCCCTCATTGTTTTACCAGTAGGCATGATGGTAAAATTATCAAAAATATCTGAGATACTGACCGCTTCTTAACACCTCTTTGGTTACCATTTTTGTTCAAGCTACCTTCATTTCTAACTTGGGTTATTGCTTTAGCTCCCTAATTGTTCTTCCTATGTCCACCCTTTTCTTTCCTAAATTCCACTCAACATAGAAGCTAGAATGATCCTAATTAAAGGAAAAACTCAGATTATTTCAGCTCTCCACTCAGAACCCTCCAATGGCTTTCTAGCCCAGACACAACAAAGGACAAAGTACTTATGATGGCCTATAAGGGTGTGCCTGATGCTCCACTTGGATCTCCCCTTGAAGGCGGACTCGCCACACCATTGTGAGGAATGTGTTTAGCTCACACATCCAATAGTTGGCTCCTTCAGGGTCAGCTCAGCTATCTAGCCAATATCATGCTCCTTTGGGGCAGTCCCAGTCAGTGACTAAGCAAGGAGGTGGTACAAGGATGCAGGAAGCCATTTCTGCCCAAGGCAGTCCTCTTCTAACAGGCAATCCTTGCTCCAGAGCTCCCCAGAGAGAGTTTGTCAGGCTACATAATGGCCTGACAGCTTTCCCTGCCCAATCTTGTCATAGATACTTCTCCCTAATATACCTTATCACTCCTAATTCCATCTCAGCATCTGCTTCATGAACATGACTCCCACCACCCCTGGCACTCCCCAGCTCTTATTCAGCAACCCCACCCCCTTGTGATTCCTTAGATAGGAGGGTCCTGCCTCAGGCCCTTCCTGCCTAGCATGCCCTCTGCCCGGAGCCATCTCCTGCAGACATCTGCAGGGCACCCTGCCTTATATTCAGAGCTGGACCCTTCTCTGACTACCCCTATTTACAACAGCACACAGACCATATCACGTGCACTCTCCCTATCCCACTTCCCTGCTTGATTTTTCTCTATGCCATTTATCACCATCCAATATACTACTTGTTCATCTCATTTATTTTCATTCCCCCGTGCTAGATAGAAAGCTCCATAAAGGCAGAGTTTTTGCCTGTTTTTCAGCATTTAGAAGAATGCCAGGCACCTAGACTAATGCTTTCCACCCCGCCTCCTCTCCCCCCTCACCCCGTTTCTTCTAACATTGTAGTCATTTGTGTCATCTTTCCTTCGTTTGTTCCCCGAGTTGCACCGGTTTCTGTTTCACCTCTTCCTATTTTCTGGCCCTCACCTTCTGACATCTCTTCCCTAAGTGTCTACATTTCCATGCTAATAATTTTCCTTTGTACTGCTATTAAATTATTTTTTTAAATTCATAGAAGAATGTTTGATCATAGTATTTTGTTTGTTTGTTTTTGAGATGGAGTCTCGCTCTGTCGCCCAGGCTGGAGTGCAGTGGTGTGATCTCGGCTCACTGCAACCTCTGCCTGCTGGGTTCAGGTAATTCTCTGCCTCAGCCTCCCGAGTAGCTGGGATTACAGGGGCATGCCACCATGCCTGGCTAATTTTTTTGTATTTTTAGTAGAGACGAGGTTTCACTATCTTGGCCAGGCTGATCTTGAACTCCTGACATCGTGATCCACCTACCTTGGCCTCCCAAAGTGCTGGGATTACTGGCCTGAGCCACTGCACCTGGCCTGATCATAGTTTTTATTTGTTCCATGCCACCATTTTTTCTGAGTGTTCTTCATTTGTAGGAAAGTTTGCTCCTCTTTTCAGTAGTTTTTCTCCTAGTATTTTTGTATGAAAAATGTGACTACTTTCTTTTGGTTATTAATATTATTAATAGAAAGAACTGGCTGTCCTTGGGCCAGTCATCTGCAGAGGGTTTCTGCAGGATGTGGCAGGATGGGATGGGGTGGGGGAAGACAACTTGGATCAGGTAAAGACTCTAAATTAGGAAATTTCCAAGCTCCCTATTTTCATCCTGCAGTATGGGGTTATTTCCTTCAAATAAAGCCCCTCTTTGGTGTGGCCAAGACCTCTTCTTCATTTTCAAACCTGATCAAGTTCAGGAAGGCTTCTACCACCATCCCTGTTCTCAGCTGCTCTGCTAATGGCTGCCTCCAGGGTAATATCATCGCCTTGGGAAGGTGCATTTTTTTATTGTGTTTCTGTGGACCTGGCACTTCTGGGTACTTTCAGTGGCTTTTCTCTCCACCTCCCCCAGCATCCATGCCCTGTTCTATCTCAGGTTGGCTTTTGGCAGTTCTCAAGACAGCATGATACCCTCTTTTTAAAGAGCACATCTGAGACTGACTTTACTAATCTCCCTTGCCCCAGCTATTTTCAAGCCAGCTCCAAATGGCTTCCTACACAACTCCACCTGTCTCTAAGGCCATTGCCAACAGTTCTACATAATTTGAAGTGTGATTATTATTATTATTTTTTCTGAAAAAATATTTCTTATTGCTCTGCTTCCTCTTCAGGAAAAGAAGAAAGATCCAGAATGAAATTGTAGCCTCTTTCATACTAGAATATTTATTTTACATTTAACTGATTAGAATAGCATGAAATATTATTCCCCCTCCCCCTCATGTAGTCATCCAAAAGTATTCTTAGATGCAAAATAAAATTTACCTCATACTTGCTTAACTCTTTCATTAACATTTTTTCTTTGTTAACAAATGCTTTCTCCTCTTCTTTTAATTCTGTTGTAAGTTTTTCAATCTGTGCCACAAATCCACTGATCTCCTGTTGTCTGAAACTGGTCTAATTAGAGAAAAATAAGAATTTGTCATTTCTCTTGTAGTGATCAGCCTTACATTTTCGAATAGCCAGGAAATTAATATCTCTTTGCAGGAGGCCTGCTTCTGATTTCAGTTCATATAATTTCTCAGCAACCACTGAGAGGAATATTTTTTTCCTCCAGAAATTAAGTTCTTCACCAAGTGATATTTTTATAAATATGACATGAGGAGTGGGGAGGGTAGAGGACAGTGAGTGAGCAGAGGGTAACTATAAAAGCTTAAAGAAATGATACATGGGCTCATATTTTTAGAGGTAATTCCCCTAAAGACTAACCTCAAGTAAGTTTCTGGTTACATGCTTCAAAAGCATATTCTACTGTATTTGCTAATTCTCTCTAGTTAATATACAGCAAGTGAATACATTTCCTAAGAAAATCAAATAACTCACTCTAAACATGAAATCAGCAGAAAGGAAAATACTTTTTAATAAGATAGGATTTAATTAAATATTAAAGGAGAATTGCTGATATGCAATGTAGGGGACTAATTCTAAGTTCTTTCAGTTCTCTTACCTCGTTAAGTAATTCAATTCGTCTAACTTCTGCATTCTGAATTTTTTCTGTAATAGCTTGTATTTCAGCTTTTATCTTGGCTGTCCAACGTGCATGCTTTTTTCTCAAGCAAGCCATTTTCCACTGAGTTATAACACTAGAGATTAGAGCAAAAAGAATTGCCATTAAATTGACATAGCAGTTTACTAAAAAGATGAAGAAATTCAAAGCAAAACAAGTCATACTATGACTACACAAAATTGTTTGTGCTATTAGTGTTGCAGACTACACACATTGCATGAAAAAGTAAGACAAAACATTAACTGCCTCAATTCTGTCTCTGCAAGTTGCTTCAGAGTAAGAAGTTACATCTACACTTCCAATAGAACAGCGAACAAAGCACACCTGGCAGCTTGCCTCCTTCAGGTAAAGGATAGAAATGAGGAAGGCTTGGGGCAAGTGGAAAATGAGGCCCAGGCAGAAATAGTAATAGAATTACCTAAATTACCGGATGTGCTACTGATAGATTTCAAACTTCTGCTTTCTCAAATTTTTCTCCACCACAACATTAAAAAGCTACATATTTGAAGAATGGTAAAAATGTGCAATTAGGGCCAGGCGCAGTGGCTCACGCCTATAATCCCAGCACTTTGGGAGGCCGAGGCGGGCAGATCACCTGAGGTCAGGCATTCAAGACCAGCCTGCCCAACATGGAGAAACCCTGTCTCTACTAAAAATACAAACAAATTAGCCAGGTGTGGTGGCACAAGCCTGTAATCCCAGCTACTTGGGAGGCTGAGGCAGGAGAATCACTTGAACCTGGGAGGTGGGGGTTGCGGTGAGCTGAGATTGTGCCATTGCACTCTATCCTGGGCAAAAAGAGTGAAACTCTGTCTCAAAAAAAAAAGTGCAATTAGAGTCTTTAAGTGCACATTCAATAATAACATTGGCCAGGCATGGTGGCTCATGCCTGTAATCCCAGCACTTTGGGAGGCCAAGGTGGGCAGATCACTTGAGGCCAAGAGTTTGAGAGCAGCGTGGCCAACATAGTGAAACCCCATCTCTACTAAAAATACAAAAATTAGCCGGGCATGATAGTGCATGCCTGTAATCCCAGCTATCAGGAGAATTGCTTGAACCTGGGAAGCGGAGGTTGTGGTGAGCCGAGATCACTCCACTGCACTTCAGCCTGGGCAATGGAGTGAGAGTCCGTCTCAAAAACAAACAAACAAACAAAATTAACTGGGAGTGGTAGTGCGTGCCGGTAGTCCTAGCTAATCTGGTGGCTGAGGCATGAGAATCGCTTGAACCTGGGAGGCAGAGGTTGCAGTGTGCCGAGATGGCACCACTGCACTCCATCTTGGGCGACAGAGCAAGACTCTGTCTCAAAATAATAATAATAATACTAACAATAACAACAACGATAATAAAATACAGCTAAGTATAAGCAAGAGCTTTTTAGCTGCACTGATCTAAATACAGTATTTTACATGTATCATCTCATTTACATTCACAGCTACTTTATAAGGTAGATACTGTTATCCTTCCCCACTTTATAGGGATGGGAGCAAAGAGAAGTGATTAAATAACTTAGCCTTGGTCACAGAGCTAATAAGGACAGCAACCAAAGCAGGCCATCTGCAGAGCCAGTAGCCTTCACGCCACCTTCCTCTCTTACCATACCTGTCACCTCCCCTACTGGTTCACAAAGAGGCCTGGATGAGCAAAAGGCATTGCACAAATATTAGCAATTTTACTCTTTGGTGACCGCACTTGATTGAAATGGAAAACTTTGATTCTGTTCAATGCCAAAAAAAAAAAAATCAAATTAACCAATACATCTAGATCCGAGAGAATTTACACATAATTTAGGAAAATCATTCCCTTGGGTTCTAGTAACAACAAGTACTCTGCACTGTTCATTAAGATAACATATACTGCTGATAACACAAAACACAAATAAACTTTTTTTTTTTTTTTTTTTTTTTTACCATCTCTGACTTTCTCTTTCCAGGTTAGCACTCAGGATTTTGATTTGTTGCTGATACACTGTTTTTGTTGCTCTAAAAAGAAAAACATATTGGATTTTGCATTTATGGGAGCTGTTAGAATATACAATAGACTCTATACGCATAATTTGTATGCTCAGTAAGGCTATAGTCTAATTGGGAGACAAAATAAGCCTTGTGAAACAACTAAACATTTCAGTGGCAGACTGATAGACAATTGCAATTCTATGTTAGTGCAAACTGATTCTGCAACGGTTGTGGTGAATAGCCAAGGATAGAGAAGAGATTTCTGGGGAGGCAACTGATGAAGGGTTACTAGAGGTTAATGTTTCTCAGAGGGAGGAATGTGGATTGCCAGAATGGAGGTGCAATCTTACCAAGGAAAGGGTGTCATCATTTGCAAATACAGAGGGAAGGAACAGCAAGTCAGGCCTCTGCTATGACTTAAGTTAGGCTTGCTGTATACAGAGGACATGAAGGAAAGAATAACCCTATGACACAAGAGGAAGTAAGGTCAACACATTGTTGAGGAACTCCAGACCCTAGATTGAGCTCTGATTTGATATAATATACAATTCAGAAAGCCAATATAGTTTCTTGAACTGGGGAAAAGTACTAACTAAGGATAGAAGATTTTCTTGTGGTAGGATGGATGGAAATGTGAAGATTCCAACATAGGTAACAGAAGCCTTTATTTTTATCCCCAGCCCCGCCTTTTCCCTATTAAGTGATTCTTGGACAGAAATGAATTGAAAGCCACATAAGTAAAATGCTGCTTTATATCTTTTGAAAGAAATATTCACAAATGAAACTTAGAATAGGAAACACTCTTAAATAAACTAGAAACATACCTGTTCTCGTGTTTCTTTGTCTGTTTGAAACTGTAGTATGGACTCTCAATTTCCTACCAAAATAAATCTAATATCCTCCTCTGGATCTCTAAGGGTCTTCACAATTCACCCCAACCTTACTGATTTTGTTTATTTACATATTTAATGTAATCCATAAAGAACTTGAACCAGTTTAAAATAAAGCAACAATAATATAAAAAAATCCTAAATGGATAATAACATTGGGCCACAAATTTGGCTTTGAGATTCCTGGTGACCAGAGCAATTATGCACAGTAACTGACTATAAAATTTGCATTATTCATGAGGAACATAAAACCTGATTCAGTCCAAATCGATCTTCCTCCTCTTTTATTAGTAGTTCGTAGTTTTCCTTATGAAGCTGACATAATTGGAAACAGATGTTTGAATATATTATTTAACAATATGGGGACAACCATTCAAGCAAGGAACCTATGCTTCCTGTCACATTCCAGATATCTGTTGGTATGTGCTTGAATTTTCATCACCCCCTACCTTAGTTCTATAAGCTGGCTTCTTGATTGTCCTATATTTAAATCATGTGTCTCCCTTTGTGTGGTGATATCATTCTCCCATACAATGAGCACAGAAAAATCTGACTTGCTTTTAAAGGTCTAGTTCAAATTTTAAATCCTATATAACGAAGGACTCCTTGATTTCACTTTCATGCCCGACTGTTTTATATAATTCACTGTCATACATGGTTTATTTTTCACCATCATATGTGGTTCATTAATTATTTCATATGTGTTAGTCTTGCTTCTCTGCCCAACTGAACTATAAGCTCCTTATGCTCAGTCTTAATGTGTACAATGGTAGAATATTTACATAGGTCATTTTGACAATCATTATAAAAGTGAAAAATATGCATCCTCCTTTGATCCAGCACTTCAACTTTTAGGACTTTATTACAAAAAAAAAGTCATATGGGTAGAGAGAGATATGTTAACTTCAAATATTTGTAATATAGGCAACAGACAAAAGTAAATCTCCATCAATAGAGTGCTGGTTAAATACAGTATAGTATAATGTGTATTATACTATAATCTGCATAGAATACTATGCAGTTAGAGAAAAGATTGAGATATATTGAGAATATATATATATTCTCTTTGTTTTGAAATAGTTTTAAACTCAACAGGTAAGCATAAAAAAATAGTACAAAGAATTCCCATATATCCTTCACCAAATTCTCCAACTGTTAACATTTTACCTTATTTGTTTTATCATCCTCCTAGGTATAATTTTAAGTGGAACAAATTCAGTTATAGTAGAGTATAATCCAATTTTTGGATACATACATATAAATATATATTTGAAAGCATATATTGTAAACTGTTAACAGTGATTATGCCTGTGGAGAGATGGAGATTTTAGGGTAACTTTTATTCTCTAAGTTATGCATTTTATATATGAATTTTAAAATCATGTACAGGTATTATTTTTTAATCAGAAAAAAATTAAAATTAAAATGACTTAGAATGCAGAAATGAACATCAATGGGACTCAGTGTTGTGATAATGTTCAGGCACATTCTTGTCACTGCACCCCAACTGGTCCATTCCTGGGGCCCAGGAGCTCCCATAGAATTCAGAACCTGTTTATCCTTTCAATGAAAAAGTCCATGAGAGTGACTTCCAGACTGTGAAACAGAGAGAGCTAGTTCTAAACTTCCTTTTCTGTAGTATGTTAGAAATCAACATAGATTTACTGCTATCATTTATTAAAAAATAAATGCAGAGAAAGTAAAGATAAAAAATTTCAAAGGCAACAAACATACTGTTGAAGTTCCTGGAGTGTGATGAGTCCTTCTTCCATATTTTTGATGTCTACTCTCTTTTGTGACAGAAAGTATTCTTTCTGAGAAATAAATGTCAGCTGTTTCTGATTTCTATCATGAAAAACAGAGTTATTTGTTGAAGGCTGACATAAATATGCAAACACAAATAAGAATTTCAAAAATAGTTTTGAAAGTTCAGATCATGAGCTATTTGCTACATAAATTATTAAAAAATAGAAAGCAAGTCTTTTTGCTAGTGGTAGCTAGATCTAAATTTATGCAAAGGATTTTCTTTTTTTCAAATTTTTTCCCAGCTGATTTTTGTACTTTTGTAGAGATGGGGTTTCCCTGTGTTGCCCAGGCTGGTATCAAATGCCTGGTCTTATGCGATTGGTCCATGTTGGCCTCCCAAAGTGCTGGATTACAGGCGTGAGCCACTGTGCCCAGCATACACATAGGATTTTCATAAAATTTATGAAAATTCCCAAGCCACTGAAAGAATATTCACCACAATAGTAACCACAAAACAACAAGAACAGTTGTGTAGTGCTCCATGTCTCTGAGTGGGTGTGTCTCTCCTAACGTGCTTATCAATTCTGTCATGTTCTTCCATGGAAGGTGAAGGAGTCAGTCAGATTAATTTTGCATATTGGCTCTACCTTTTAATAAGAGTGTGATCTTAAGCTAACAATTAGCTTCACCTGTGAATAAGCTTCAGTTTCACCAGCTATAAAATGAGAATTACAATGCCTAGCTCAACGGATGAATGAATTTAATAAGATGTAAAGTGCTCCTCTCAGCGTGTGGATTGATAAGGGTTTTTTTTGTTTGTTTTGTTTTGAGACGGAGTCTGGCTCTTGTCGCCCAGGCCAGAGTGCAATGGTATGATCTTAGCTTACTGTAACCTCCGCCTCCTGGGTTGAAGCGATTCTCCTGCCTCAGCTTTCAGAGTAGCTGGGATTACAAGCACCCGCCACCATGCCCAGCTAATTTTTTGTATTTTTAGTAGAGATGGGGTTTCAAGTAGTTATTTTTTTGTCTCAAATTGCAGGAGAAAATAATGAGGCTCAGAGAAGTTTATAGTCTTGTTCAAATGCCCAGCTATTGATAGGAAGCTGCCTGTATCAGAAAGTATTTTATCTAAGTGACTCATCTTCCAAACTGCTGTGGACTGAATTGTGCCTCCCCCATCTCCAGAATTTATCTGTTGAAATGCTAACCCCCAACATGATGAAGAAATAGAGAGATTTGGGTAATTTTTACTCTCTAAGCTATACATTTCTATATTTGAATTTAAAAATCAAGTACAGGCATTGCTTTTTTCATGAGAAAAAATTAAAATTTAAAGTGCTTTAGAATGGCAGAAAGGAACATTGTGGGGCATTAGTGTCGTGATAATGCTCGAGCATATTATAAAGATGGGGCCTTTGGGGAAGTGATTAGGTTTGGATGAGGACATGAGGGTGGGACCTTATAAAAGAAAGACACCAGACAGACAGCATGTTCTCTCTCCACCCTGTGAAGACACAGAGAGAAAGCGGCTGGGTGGCTGTAAGCTAGAAAAGGGCCCTCACTCAGACTTCCAGCCTCCAGAACCGTGAGAAAATCAATTTCTGTTGCTTAAGCAGCCAGTCTATGGTATTTTGTTATGGCAGCCTGAGCTGCTGAGACAGAAACCAGTAATGATAGCAAATGTTTTCATTTTTGTCAATAGATTTTAAAACTAGGATAAGTTTAAGTGGAGAGCCACCACTTTGATAGCAAGAAAAGCACCCCATAATGATGGCATGTTGAATCACACGTGTGGGTAAAGACATACTCATCATGAATCTTTTGTTTTTGCAAAAAAGCTTTTTCTTCCTCACTTAAAACAATCTTATATTGTCTGGCAAGAGTTTTCATTTTCTCTCGTAGGTCTTTGTATTCCATACGAGCAGCATGCAGTGTTTCAACCAGCTAGAGAAAAACAAAGGAGGTGAATGAGAGGACTGGCTTCACTGCTCCTCTGAGGCCATCTGCATCAGGTGGCAACTCGGAGAGCACCTGGGATATTGCTTAGCCCACCGTGAATATGCCATAAATGCCGAGTGATTTAATTCTATAGCAAACATACAACTGTATATTTTGAGACCTCTACTATAAATTTTTTTAAGTATAGAAAAATAGTAAACCCTGCTGCAAAACCATAGAGTAATAATCCATATTGAAATGCAAAATGGGATGAATAAACTGTGACTGCTGAGCAACGTTAGTATGTCCTTTTCCAGAATATAAACTATAGAAAATGTAACATCCTCAGAAGCTCTTCCTCAAAACATTTTTGAGTTGATATTATGCTTGCTTCTTGTGAAATATTTCTATTTGAGGACAAAAAATAGTACCCACCAGTGTTCTACATGAGATCAGAATTTTTTGCTTATTAAATTGCTTCAAACGAGGTAAGAAAGTCAAGTTTAGCGGAAACAATGGGCTGAATAGTTCAAAACAACCTTCTATCTGAGGACAACTAAAATAGCTACATGAAAAAATATTTGTAGAAGTGTTGAAGAACTCACAAGATAACAAAGAATTATTCAAAAAACAAAAATAGAATTACTATTCAACCCAGCAATCCCATTACTGAGTATATACCCAAAGGAAAATAAATTAATCTACCGAAAGGATACCTGTGCTCATGTTTATTGCTGCACTATTCAGAATAGCAAAGACATGGAATCAACCCAGGTGCCCATGAACAGTGGATTGGATAAAGAAAATGTGGTAATAATACACCATGGAACATTATGCAGCCATAAAAAAGAATGAAATCATATCCTTTCTAGCAACATGGGTGCACCTAGAGGCCATTATCCTAAGTGGATTAATGCAGAAGCAGAAAATGAAATACTGCATATTCTCATTTATAAGTAGGAGCTAAATATTAGGTATACATGGACACAAAGATGGGAACAATAGACACTGGGACTCCAAAAAGATGGAGGGAAGAAGTGGGGAAGGGTTGGAAAACTACCTATTGGGTATTATGTTCACTACTTGGGTGACGGGATCATTAGCAGCCCAAATCTCAGCATTATGCAATATACCCTTGTAATAAACCTGCACATGTGCTTGAATCTAAAAAAATAAAAATAAAAAATAAAGGATAATAGGTGATTGCTAGGCCTAATTCTAGGAGAATGAAGAATCCAGAGCGGTAAGGCTAGCACTTAAAATTCCTCTGCCTTGAAAACACTTACTAACATAGAAGAAACCACTTGAAAACCAAGTTTTGGGTTTTTTTGCATGGCAAGTGGAACAAAAGCCAACATGTAATGCTCATCCAGGTGTTGAGCCTACATAAACCTCCCACTATTTTAGTCTGGGATTCCAAAGAGCTTCACCCTTTGGAAGGCTGAGGCAGGAGGATTGCTTGAGACTGGGAGGTCCGAGGCTGCAGTGAGCCATGATCATACCACTGCACTCTAGTCTGGGTGACAGAGTGAGATCCTGTCTCAAAAATAAATAAATAAATAAATAAAAAAGAATGCACAATTAAAAGATGAACAAATATCTAGAGCTTCTCAACATTTGAGTAAAATCAATACTGTAAAACAAAGCAATCAAAATCTACTATAGGCCAGGTGTGGTGGCTCGTGCCTGTAATCCTAGCACTTTGAGAGGCGGAGGTGGGAGGATCACTTGAGCCCAGGAGTTAGAGACCAGCCTGGGCAACACAGGGAGAATAGGACAAAAGAAACAGGTGAGGACATAATGGCTGAAAATTTTGCAGAACTTATGAAATATAGAAATTCTCAGATTTAAGAAGCCAAATAAATCCCAAGGAGGAAAAATGAAAAGAAAATTTGGACACATCATAGTGCAACTGAACAGCTAAGGCAAAGGGAACAAAGAAGATCTAAAACAAAAGACATATGCCATGTTAACGGATTGGAAGCCTCAATACTGTGAAAATGTGAAACCCTCTTCAAACTGATTTACAGATTTAACACAATCCCAATCAAAATCCAAACAGGTTTTTTGGAAGAACGTGACAAAATTGAAAAGGTCAAGAATAGCTGGAACACTTTTGAAGAACAAAGGTGAAGGATTTATACCACTGGCCATAAAAACTCATTTTAAAGGTACTAATTAAGACAATATTGTTTTAGTGTGAGGAGAGATGAATAGTTCAAATGAATAGAGTCAACAATCCACATATACATTTATGATCTATACTTGATTTATGACAATAGTATGACCACAATGTAGTGAAGGAAAGGATTGTATTTTCAGTAAATGGTGCTGGTTAATTGGACAACCTTATGGAAAAATATGAATCTTGACCACTATCTCAAAGCACATACACATAAATTCCAGATGGTTCGTAGTCTTAAATGTGAAAGGTCAAACAACAAAGCTTCTCAATGGTAACAGAAGAGAATAGTCTCATGACATAGGACATAGAGAACATTAACTAAAAAGATTGATAAACTGGACTTCATTAAAATTAATAAATTATATTCATCAAAAATATGTACATAAATATTGTATATTTATGGTTTATGTATTGTTCTGTAATGTGTAATATTTTATAATAACAAAGCTAAATCCAACAATGCCACTGCTGGGTATATATCCCAAGGAAATGAAATCAGTATGGCAAAGAGATATCTGTACTTCTATGTTCATTGCAGCACTATTCAGAGTAGCTAAGATGTAGAATCAACCTAGGTGTTCATCAGCCGATGAATGGATAAAGAAAATGTATACATGCACAATTGAATATATTCAGCCTTAAAAAAGAAGAAATTCTTGTCATTTGTGACAACATGGATGAACCTGGAGGACATCATGTTAAGTGAAATAATTCAGGTACAGAAAAACAAATATTACATGATCCCAATTATACGCAAAATCTAAAAAAAAACTGAACTCAGAAGTAGAGAGTAGAATGGTGGTTGCCAAGGGCTGGTGAGGGAGGGGAGATGCTGGGAAAAAAAGGTAAAGTTTGAGTTGAATGTCAATCTTTGAATGTTCCTCCAATAACTCATGAGAATTATGATTGGATGTCACTAAGAGCCCATAGTTTCTACCCTAGTGAAAATAATAAATAAGCAAGAGCCTTGCATTCTTTGAAGTGATCACTCACTTATAACCATGGAATTTGGCTAAGGGCTATGGATTAAAGGAAAACTCTTTGACCAAGTAAGCCATGCCAGTTTAGGGGTCCTAGACTGTTCAGAAAATCATGTGGGCTAGAAAATGTGGAGTTATTGTCAGAAAGTTGTCTACTAGCTTCTGCAGTAGGAAACAAATGGGAGGAAAAATAATATTTTGCTCACAAAATGAAAGACAAATTCGAAACCAACCAACCAGCCAACAAACCAACCTTGTCTGGTTTCTGTCTGTTGTTAGGTATCCTTGCAAATAAAAGAATCACAGTAGCCCAGAGGGGAAGCCATCTCTCATGCTGATAGCTCACAAAAGCAAAAATGGAAAGCATTTAATTGGTACAAATCATTCTTCTGGGAGGGAGCTGCCTTTGATATCCCTGATGAGCCTCAGGGCATGGGTACAGAGGCAGATATTATGCTTTGTAAAAGAGGGAGAAGAATTTGGATGTGGGGTGGTATCCTACAGCAAGAAGATAGATGAGGAACTGTGAGAGAAAGAAAAGGTGGTGAACAAGATGGCTTTGTGCTCTGCAACAGGATTTCTCCCCATGACCACTAAAATTTCCAACAGAGTTTGCAATAGATCATGAAATGCTTAGTGTAATTAAATTTGTTTTAGAAACTAGTGAAAAATGTGAATTTTATATCCTGGTTGACTTGGGCAAAACAAAGATAGAGGATGTAGACAGAGAGTACCTGACCCAAGTCCTGAACAATTAAAATTAAGTATGTGTGGCTAGGGGTGGTGGCTCACGCCTGTAATCCCCAGCATTCTGGGAGACCAAGGCAGGAGGATTGCTTGAACTGAGGAGTTCACAACCAGCCGAGGCAACATAAAGCGACCTGTCTCTGCAAATAATTTAAAAATTAGCTGGGCATGGTGTTGAGTGCCTGTAGTCTCAGCTATTCAGCAGGCTGCAGCAGGAGGATCACCTAGGCCTGGGAGGTTGAGGCTATAGTGATTTGTGACTATGCCACTGCATTCCAGCCTGGTGGGTGGATCATTTCAGGTCAGGAGTTGGAGACCAGCCTGACCAACATAATGAAACCCTGTCTCTATTAAAAGTACAAAAATTAGCCAGGTGTCATGGCACAAGCCTGTAATCCCAGCCACTTGGGAGGCTGAGGCAGGAGAATCGCTTGAACCCCAGAGGCAGAGGTTGCAGTGAGCTGAGATCATGCCACTGCACTCCAGCCTGGGTGATAGAGTGAGACTATGTCTCAAAAAAAAAAAGAAAAAGAAAAAGAAAAAAAAGAAAGAAAAGAAAGGAAATTAAGTTTGGATATATGAGGTGTTGGGAAGAGATACTAAGGATATTTCTCCTTCAATACAAGGGACAAGAAGAATTTCAGTTATGTCTAGTGTGTATGTATATTTGTGTGTATAAGTAATTAAATGGGATCATATCATACATACTGTTGTTTCTCTTTTTTAGAGGGACTCTTGCTCTGCCCCCAGGCTGGAGTGCAGTGGTGCGATCTCAGCTCACTGCAACCTCTGTCTCCCAGGTTCAAGCAATTCTCCTGTCTCAGCCTCCTGAGCAGCTGGGACTACAGGTGCACACCACCACACCCAGCTAATTTTTTATTTTTGTAGAAATGGGGTTTCACCATATTGGTCAGGCTGATCTCAAACCCCTGACCCCAGGTGATCCACTCACCTAGGCCTCCCAAAGTGCTGGAATTACAGGCGTGAGCCACCATGACTAGCCTACTGTTTTATAATATAGTATTTGTCACTCAATAACGTATTATGAGCAATACTGATACTTATTTAACCAAGGCCTTTTGGTTGAATTTTAATTGTATTACTCACCCTCACCCCCAATTTTTCACTATCCTAATGAAGGCTTCATTGAATATTTTGAGGCTAAATCTTGGTTTACTCACATGATTATCTACTTATGATATGATTTTTTTTTAACCTAAGTTTGAAAAATGTCTAGTGAATTTTCCTGGGGGCTAAATCTGACTCAAATACTTCTAAATAAGTATTTAGAATATTATATTATAATATGTGTATTAGTCAGGGTTCTCTAGAGGGACAGAACTAACAGGATAGATGTATACATAAAGGGGAGTTTATTAAGGAGTATTAACTCACACAATCACAAGGTCCCACAATAGGCCATCTGCAAGCTGAGGAGCCAGGAAGCCAGTCCAAGTACCAAAGCTGAAGAACCTGGAATCTGGTGTTCGAGAGCAGGAAGCATCCAGCATGGGAGAAAGATGTAGTCTGGGAGGCTAAGCTGGTCTAGTCTTTTCACGTTTTTCTGCCTGCTTTATATCCTGGCCGCACTGGCAGCTGATTAGATGCTGCCCACCCAGATTAAGGGTGGGTCTGCTTTTCCCAGCCTACTGACTCAAATGTTAATCTCCTTTGGCAACACCCTCACAGACACACCCAAGATCAATACTTTGCATCCTTTGATCTAGTCAAGTTGACACTCAGTATTAACCATCACAATATGATATATAATATTTAGAATATTCTTAAGTGTAGAGCAGGTTGCTGCACTTCACAGGCGTAGCACACAACAGCAAGAAGATTCTAACTTTCTAAATAATTCACATCAAAAATATCCATTAATCCATTAATCATGGATAGTCCTAAGGTACCCATACTCACATGAAAAGTTACCAAAAAACAGTTCCTCTGTACATGGACAACCTTTGCTCTTTGATATAATTAAAGTACTTTGGGAGGAGATAAAATTTTTTAAATTACTACAAACAACCATATTATTGGTCAATGAAAAACATCCTTTTGAAAAATTCTATATTTCTCACATATTTTAAACATTAACTAAAAATGAAATGTAATTATAATGTAAAAGTCATGACTTCTGCCTTCTTACCTGTTTTATCTTGTTCAGGAATTCATTTTTTTCATCATTAGATATATCATCTAGTTTTTCTTTGTTATCTGTGAAAAAACACCTATGAACAAAGGAAGCCAAACAGATTCATATAAGAACATACTTTTGAATTCTAAGGCAAGGTGGCCAAATAGGAACAGCTGCAGTATACAGCTCCCAGTGTGAGTGACACAGAAGATGGGTGATTTCTGCATTTCCAACCGAAGTACCGGGTTCATCTCACTGGGGCGTGTTGGACAGTGGGTGCAGGACAGTGGGTGCAGCCCACTGAGCGAGAGCTGAAGCAGGGCGAGGCATCACCTCACCTAGGAAGCACAAGGGGTAAGGGAATTCCCTTTCCTAGCCAAGGGAAGCCATGACAGACAGCACCTGGAAAATCCGGTCACTCCCACCCTAATACTGCACTTTTCCAAGGGTCTTAGCAAACGGCACACCAGGAGATTATATCCCGCGCATGGCTCAGAGGATCCCACGCCCATGGAGCCTCGCTCATTGCTAGCACAGCAGGCTGAGATCCAACTGCAAGGCAGCAGCGAGGCTGGGGGAGGGGCGCCCGCCATTGCCAAGGCTTGAATAGGTAAACAAAGCGGCCTGGAAGATGGAACAGGGTGGAGCCCACCACAGCTCAAGGAGGACTGCCTGCCTCTGTAGGCTCCAACTCTGGGGGCAGGACATAGCCGAACAAAAGGCAGCAGAAACCTCTGCAGATTTAAACGTCCATGTCTGACACCTTTGAAGAGAGTAGTGGTTCTCCCGGCACGGAGTTTGAGATCTGAGAACAGACAGACTGCCTCCTCAAGTGGGTCCCTGACCCCCGAGTAGCCTATCCAGGAGGCACCTCCCAGTAGGGGCAGACTGACACGTCAACTGGCCGGGTACACCTCTGAGACGAAGCTTGCAGAGGAATGATCAGGCAGCAACATTTGCTGTTCAGCAATATTCACTGTTCTGCAGCCTCCGCTGCTGACACCCAGGCAAACAGGGTCTGGAGTGGACCTCCAGCAAACTCCAACAGACCTGCAGCTGAGGGTCCTGACTGTTAGAAGGAAAACTAAAAAACAGAAAGGACATCCACACCAAAACCCCATCTGTACATCACCATCATCATAGACCAAAGGTAGATAAAACCACAAAGATGGGGAAAAAACAGAGCAGAAAAGCTGAAAATTCTAAAAATCAGAGCACCTCCCCCCCTCCAAAAGAACACAGCTCCTCACCAGCAATGGAACAAAGCTGGATGGAGAATGACTGACAAGTTGAGAGAAGAAGGCCACAGATGATCAAACTTCTCCAAGCTAAAGGAGGAAATTCGAACTCATCACAAAGAAGCTAAAAACCTCGAAAAAAGATTAGACGAATGGCTAACTAGAATAACCAGTGTAGAAAAGTCCTTAAATGACCTCATGGAGCTGAAAACCATGGTACGTGAACTACGTGACAAATGCACAAGCTTCAGTAGCTGATTTCATCAACTGGAAGAAAGGGTATCAGTGATTGAAATCAAATGAATGAAATGAAGCGAGAAGAGAAGTTTAGAGAAAAAACAGTAAAAAGAAATGAACAAAGCCTCCAAGAAATATGGGACTATGTGAAAAGACCACATCTACGTCTGATTGGTGTACCTGAAAGTGACAGGGAGAATGGAACCAAGTTGGAAAACACTCTGCAGGGAATTATTCAGGAGAACTTCCCAACCTAGCAAGGCAGGCCAACATTCAAATTCAGGAAATACAGAGAACGCCACAAAGATACTCCTCCAGAAGAGCAACTCCAAGACACATAATTGTCAGATTCACCAAAGTTGAAATGAAGGAAAAAATGTTAAGGGCAGCCAGAGAGAAAGGTTGGGTTACCCACAAAGGGAAGCCCAGCAGATTAACAGCTGATCTCTCAGCAGAAACTCTACAAGCCAGAAGAGAGTGGGGACCAATATTCAACATTCTTAAAGGAAAGAATTTTCAACCCAGAATTTCATATCCAGCCAAACTAAGCTTCATAAGTGAAGGAGAAATAAAATCCTTTACAGACAAGCAAATGATGAGAGATTTTGTCACCACCAGGCCTGCCCTACAAGAGCTCTTGAAGGAAGCACTAAACATGGAAAGGAAGAACCGGCACCAGCCACTGCAAAAACATGCCAAATTGTAAAGACCATCGAGGCTAGGAAGAAACTGCATCAACTAACGAGCAAAATAACCAGCTAACATCATAATGACAGGATCAAATTCACACACAACAATATTAACCTTAAATGTAAATGGGCTAAATGCTCCAATTAAAAGACACAGACTGGCAAATTGGATAAAAAGTCAAGACCCATCAGTGTGCTGTATTCAGGAGACCCATCTCATATGCAGAGACACACATAGGCTCAAAATAAAGGATGGAGGAAGATCTACCAAGCAAATGGAAAACAAAAAAAAGGCAGGGGTTGCAATCCTAGTCTCTCATAAAACAGACTTTAAACCAACAAAGATCAAAAGAGACAAAGAAGGCCATTACATAATGGTAAAGGGATCAATTCAACATGAAGAGCTAACTATCCTAAATATATATGCACCCAATACAGGAGCACCCAGATTCATAAAGCAAGTCCTTAGAGACCTGGAAAGAGACTTAGACTCCCACACAATAATAATGGGATACTTTAACACCCCACTGTCAACATTAGACAGATCAATGAGACAGAAACTTAACAAGGATATCCAGGAATTGAACTCAGCTCTGCACCAAGCCAACCTAATAGACATCTACAGAACTCTCCACCCAAAATCAACAGAATATACGTTCTTCTCAGCACCACACAGCACTTATTCCAAAATTGACCACATAGTTAGAACTAAAGCAATCTTCAGCAAATGTAAAAGAACAGAAATTATAACAAACTGTCTCTCAGAACACAGTGCAATCAAACTAGAACTCAGGATTAAGAAACTCACTTAAAACCGCTCAACTACATGGAAACTGAACAACCTGTTCCTGAATGACTACTGGGTACACAATGAAATGAAGGCAGAAATAAAGATGTTCTTTGAAACCAATGAGAACAAAGACACAACATATCAGAATCTCTGGGACACATTTAAAGCAGTATGTAGAGGGAAGTTTACAGCACTAAATGCCCACAAGAGAAAGCAGGAAAGATCTAAAATTGACACCCTAATATCACAATTAAAAGAACTAGAGAAGCAAGAGCAAACACATTCAAAAGCTAGCAGAAGGTGAGAAATAACTAAGATCAGAGCAGAACTGAAGGAAATAGAGACATAAAAAACCCTTCAAAAAATCAATGAATCCAGGAGCTGGTTTTTTGAAAAGATCAACAAAATTGATAGACTGCTAGCAAGACTAATAAAGAAGAAAAGAGAGAAGAATCAAATAGACGCAAGAAAAAATGATAACTGGGATATCACCACCGATCCCACAGAAATGCAAACTACCATCAGAGAATACTATAAACACCTCTACGCAAATAAACTAGAAAATCTAGAATAAATGGATAAATTCCTCGACACATACACCCTCCGAAGACTAAACCAGGAAGAAGTTGAATCCCTGAATAGACCAATAACAGGCTCTGAAAGTGAGGCAATAATTAACAGCTTACCAACCAAAAAAAGTCCAGGATCAGACGGATTCACAGCAGAATTCTACCAGAGGTACAAGGAGGAGCTGGTACCATTACTTCTGAAACTATTCCAATCAATAGAAAGAGGGAATCCTCCCTAACTCATTTTATGAGGCCAGCATCATCCTGATACCAAAGCCTGGCAGAGACACAACAAAAAAAGAGAATTTTAGACCAATATCCCTGATGAACATCGATGAAAAAATCCTCAATAAAATACTGGCAAACCGAATCCAGCAGCACATCAAAAAGCTATTCCACCATGATCAAGTGGGCTTCATCCCTGGGATTCAAGGCTGGTTCAACACATGCAAATCAATAAACGTAATCCAGCATATAAACAGAACCAAAGCAAAAGCCACATGATTATCTCAATAGATGCAGAAAAGGCCTTTGACAAAATTCAACAGCCCTCCAATGCTAAAAACTCTCAATAAATTTGGTATTGATGGGACGTATCTCAAAATAATAAGAGCTATTTATGACAAACCCACAGCCAATATCATACTGAATGGGCAAAAACTGGAAGCATTCCCTTGGAAAACTGGCACATCACAAGGATGACCTCTCTCACCACTCCTATTCAACATAGTGTTGGAAGTTCTAGCCAGGGCAATCAGGCAGGAGAAAGAAATAAAGGGTATTCAATTAGGAAAAGAGGAAGTCAGACTGTCCCTGTTTGCAGATGACATGATTGTATATTTAGAAAACCCCATTGTCTCAGCCCAAAATCTCCTTAAGCTGATAAGCAACTTCAGCAAAGTCTCAGGATACAAAATCAATGTGCAAAAATCACAAGCATTCTTATATACCAATAACAGACAAACAGAGAGCCAAATCATGAGTGAACTCCCATTCACAATTGCTTCAAAGAGAATAAAATACCTAGGAATCCAACTTACAAGGGATGTGAAGGACCTCTTCAAAGAGAACTACAAACCACTGCTCAACGAAATAAAAGAGGACACAAACAAATGGAAGAACATTCCATGCTCATGGATAGGTAGAATCAATATCATGAAAATGGCCATACTGCCCAAGGTAATTTATAGATTCAATGCCATCCCCATTAAGCTACCAGTGACTTTCTTCACAGAATTGGAAAAAACTAAAGTTCATATGGAACCAAAAAAGAGCCCGCATCACCAAGTCAATCCTAAGCCAAAAGAACAAAGCTGGAGGCATCATGCTACCTGACTTCAAACTATACTACAAGGCTACAGTAACCAAAACAGCAAGGTACTGGTACCAAAACAGAGATGTAGACCAATGGAACAGAAGAGAGCCCTCAGAAATAATACTACACATCTACAACCATCTAATCTTTGACAAACCTGACAAAAAGAGGAAATGGGGAAAGGATTCCCTATTTAATAAATGGTGCTGGGAAAACTGGCTAGCCTTATGTAGAAAGCTGAAACTGGATCCCTTCTTTACAACTTATACAAAAATTAATTCAAGATGGATTAAAGACTTAAGTCTTAGACCTAAAACCATAGAAACCCTAGAAGAAAACCTAGGCAATACCATTCAGGACATAGGCATGGGCAAGGACTTCATGTCCAAAACACCAAAAGCAATGGCAACAAAAGTCAAAATTGACAAATGGGATCTAATTAAACTAAAGAGCTTCTGCACAGCAAAAGAAACTACCATCAGAGTGAATAGGCAACCTACAGAATGGGAGAAAATTTTTGCAATCTACTCATCTGACAAAGGGCTATCTAATATCCAGAATCTACAAAGAACTCAAACAAATTTATAAGAAAAAAACAAACAACACCATCAAAAAGTGGGCAAAGTATATGAACAGACACTTCTCAAAAGAAGACATTTATGCAGCCAAAAGATACATGAAAAAATGCTCATCATCACTGGCCATCAGAGAAATGCAAATCAAAACCACAATGAGATACCATCTCACACCAGTTAGAATGGTGATCATTAAAAAGTCAGGAAACAACAGGTGCTGGAGAGGATGTGGAGAAATAGGAACACTTCTACACTGTTGGTGGGACTGTAAACTAGTTCAACGATTGTGGAAGACAGTGTGGCGATTGCTCAGGGATCTAGAACTAGAAATACCTTTTGACCCAGCCATCCCATTACTGGGTATATACCCAAAGGATTATAAATCATACTGCTATAAAGACACACGCACACGTATGTTTATTGCGGCACTATTCACAATAGCAAAGACTTGGAACCAACCCGGATGTCCATCAATGATAGACTGGATTAAGAAAATGTGGCACATATACACCATGGAATACTATGCAGCCATAAAAAAGGATGAGTTCATGTCCTTTGTAGGGACATGGATGAAGC
Source organism: Homo sapiens (assembly GCF_000001405.40). Classification (NCBI taxonomy): domain Eukaryota; kingdom Metazoa; phylum Chordata; class Mammalia; order Primates; family Hominidae; genus Homo; species Homo sapiens. The sequence goes on from NC_000014.9 coordinate 59,557,332, forward strand.
TGGAAACCATCATTCTCAGCAAACTATCGCAAGGACAAAAAACCAAACATCCCATGTTCTCACTCATAGGTGGGAATTGAACAATGAGAACACATGGACACAGGAAGGGGAACCTCACACACCGGGGCCTGTTGTGGGGTGGGGGGAGGGGGGAGGGATAGCATTAGGAGATATACCTAATGTAAATGACGAGTTAATGGGTGCAGCACACCAACATGGCACATGTATACATATGTAACAAACCTGCATGTTGTGCACATGTACTCTAGAACTTAAAGTATAAAAAACAAAAAGAAAAAGAAAAAAAAAAAGAACATGCTTTCCAGAAAAGTCATATTTCCTTATGAAATCAAAAAGTTCCAGTCCCCATCTCCCCATATAACATATTTATGTATATATTTATCAAAATAAACAAAAATGTATACTCCTTTGAACTGATGAATTATTTATTTATTTATTCTTTCACTTAAGAAGCAATTATTGAACACATACGCTGCCAGATATGTTTCAGGTACTAGGGATACAGCATATGCAAGGTCCCTACCCTCATGAAAACTACATTCCATGGAGGGATCAGGAGATAAGCAAGTTATCAAAAAATAAGTAATATATCTCAGATACTATTAAGTGCTCCAAAGAACGCAAAGTAGGATAAACCATAAAAGGATCCTGGGAGCAAGAATGCAGCTCTAGACAGGTGGTCAGGGAAGACCTTTTTGGAATGACCTCTGAAAGACTTGAATGTTAAGACAGAGCCAGCAACATGAAGATCTGAAGGAAGAGCTTTTCAGGTGGAAGAAACGTCAGGCGTCAAGACAGAGGCAGGAAAAAGCTTGGTGTGTTCGAGGAAGAAGGATGGTGAGGCTGGAGACATAGACTGGAACTTGATCATGTAGGGTGTTAAGGTCAGGCTAGAAGTTCAGATTTTATTCTGAAGGGAACAGGGGAAGATTATTTAAGCAGAAGAGCAACATGAACCTATGGACATCTTGTAGGGATGACTCTGGTTACTTTGTGGAGAAAGACAACTGTGGAGGAAGATCATGTAGAAGGCTCTGGTGGTGATCCAGAAAAGATCACGGCTGTTCAGGCTAAAGCTACAGTGGTGGCAGTGGTAAGAAATAGATATATTCAGCATATATTTTGAATATGAAGGCAATAGGACGTGACTTTGGATTTGGCTGGAGTAAGAGTTGAGTCAGGGTTGGGTAGTGAGGAAAGCAGAAATGGTAGATGGCCCCTGGGCTTTTGGCTGGACTAACTAGGTAAATGGCGGTGCCACATTAACTGATAATGGAAGACTGTGGGAAGAGCTGTTTCAGGAAGGTGAGAAATCAAGAGTCTGTTCAGGACATGTTATATCTATATAAGACAGATATATAATAGACATCTTCCAAGTGGAGAGGTCAAGTAAGGTGTACAGTATCTGCATTTAGAGCTCAAGTCATTGAGGTAAAGAAAGTATTTAAAGCCACGAGACTGAATAAAATCACATTGGGAGGGTATGAGCAGAGAATAGTGAAGGACTGAGAACTTGAAATTTAGAGTCGTAAAAAAGAATTGGAACAAGTAAAGGATCCTAAAAAGCAGCAGCCAGTGTGATCAGTGAAATAAGAAAACATGATATTTAGGAAGCTAAGTGAAGGAAGTACAAGAAGGTGGAAGTGATAAACTGTCAAATTCTATTATGAATTTGAGAACTTTCAGGAATTGACTAGACCACTAAACTTTAACAGGATGGAAGCCATTAGTAACCGTGGCAATTCTGAAACCACGTTGGCGCAAAAAAGCAACTATAGTCTCCATAACCTCATACACTTTAATGGCAAGGATATACTCTAGGCCACATATTGGATGTCATTTATATACAACATTTAACTTTCACATTTCTCATGTGCTGAAAACCAGCTGAATGCCAAAGAAACCCCATAGCGAATTAGAAAGGTAGGCATTGGATTCACCTTTATCTGTGTAATCACACTGGATATCAATGATAAGAAAGAACAAGGATCAAACTGCAGTGCCTCCTGTCGATCTATGGAGCATTTGAGTTACTCTTATTTGTCCAAACGCACATGGAATTTAAACTTATGGTTGAGTGATTTTGTTTTCCTCAGTATTTTGAATTCAAAATAGGTAACAAGGCTATTAACCAGCTTGCAATTTAAAGATTTAATGAAGGAAAATGAAGGGTTAAGGATTGATAGGAAAGTGTGTCGTGCAAATTATTTTAGTTTCTTGTATAATTTCTTATAGAAATCTTATAAAACAGCACTGATTCTTCAAATCCACCAAGCGGGAACTAGGTTGCCTCTCCCTATCTTCACAGACAGAGGAAACAGCTAAGGAAGAAAATAGAAAGAATACAAGGAACTTTCTTTTAATTTTCCAGGTAATAAAGAGAAAGAGCAAATTTTTTGAATAAAAAGGAGGATCACTTGTATCCTCAACCACCACATTAATATAAAGCACTTTTCTTTGGTGAGATTCTACATGAATCCAAACTCTTAAAAAGCTGGGATTATAGATAATGATAAATCATTACAAATGGAAGATCAATGAATCCTCACACGTTAGCTAACATGAAGACTGCTTATAAATAAAATTTCATCAACGTAGTGAGGTTTTTATTCATAACAGCTAGAAATAATTTGAGGTAATCCATATCTTTCACTATGACTTTTTTGTCTAGTTTTTCTTCAAAATATATGTAAACTAATACTATTGAATCACAAAATAAAAGAGTTTTTTTGAGTTTTAGTTGTGGTATTAATTGAGCTTTCTTAATTTTTAATCTGATACTGAAGATAAAGATTATTGCCTATTTTATGAACTGATGATGGTAGATCAGCATTGTACTCTACAAATCCTGTTTTGAAAGACCTATTATAATTTTAATTACAATATATTCAAATATATATAGAAATGAGCCATGTTATAACAAGATTCTACATGTGAGGTTACTTGTATTTTGGGAATCTGCTCAGTCCACAATTTGTTTCTTAAACTGTCAGTGAACCACTGCAGTAGTCCCCGGAAGCCATGTTATAAGACTCCATCTTCTTGTGCAGAGCTGATTGGATCAGGAACCAAAGCTGAGCCAAACACATTCTGATATGAAATCTGGGGATTTTCGGGGGAGAGAGTGTGTTGACCAATCTTTAAAGATTGTTGGACCTGTGCCAGGTCAATTCGGAGGATTTGGCATAGCCAGACATTGCCATGTGCTCACCAAGAAGAGAATACTGTGTGCAGATAAAGAGAGGAGTAAAACACTTCCACAAAATGAAGCACAGACTGAGGCTTTGGATGGATGGAAGACCTCCTTCAGTTTCTGGTTCCAGTCCCACGTGTAGCAGTTTTTGCCCTGAGGCTTCCCTGTATTTTCTTAGGAAGTTTGGCAAGTATCCTTTGAGTAAGAACAACTCTAACAGCATGGGTAGATGGGTTGTAGCCTATGATATGTCCCACTAATGCCGTCCCTCATGGGCATTTTTGTTTATAGGGAGTTCGGAACTGAAATGAGAATAATATAGACATTCCAAAGAGTCCTTTCCTTTCCCCAAGCTGACAGCATCTTTAATTTTTTCTCTTGATCATCAGCTAATTTCACAATGAAAAGGTGACTCTATAAAGCTTTCACATATATTTTAGTAAACTAAGAGAATATAATTTTCATGTCAAATTAAAGACATGTTTTTAAAAATGAAAACATAGCATATTAACTATATTATATCATATTAACATATCTCGAAACATTTAAGTAAAAATAAAGCATTACACTTACAGTTTCGCCTCCAGAATTGCAAGGTCTTTCTTTAGCTCACTGACCTCTTGTTCCCAATACCTTATTGATTCGTGTAGTCGTGCTATCTCTAAATTGTGATCACTAAGAACCTATTAAAAATTAAACAAAAATATGGCATCCAATCATCACCAAGTGATTCATAACAGCAGTTCAATTCCACTCAATATTCATGAATTACTCATTCAACTTTTACATTAGGAGTGTACTTCAAGGAAAAAAAGCAATCATTATAATTGTTTCTCTATAAAATAAACTTGGACACAAATAATTCTGAAATCATCAGAAAAAAACAAAATTTAGAGGGGAAGATGGCTAAATACAGCAGTGAGAATGTGAAAACTGTTTTTACAAACTTTTGAGACAAGAATTAACTTTGTCTAACACTTAAAAAAATTAAACAAATCCATAGTGTCACAATCATCTTCCTTTATCATCCCAGGATACCAAAATGAGTATTATTTTAAAAAGTCAAAACAAATTGGGTCTTTTGTCTCCCTTGATATCTATGTTTGTGCTGAAAAGAATTTTTATTTCTTAATATTTAATCAAAATTTAGGAAATGGAATAATTGGATACTGTGAAAAAAAGTTATGATTTACAGGAAGGAAAAATTGATGGAGAAAATTCATAATGAAACCGACATTTTTGCAATGCAATTTTGGGACCAAGAAAAGGAAAGTCTAACTTATTCAGCCTTGGGTTTGCATTTCAGCTTGTGAGGGACAATGAAGCTTAGACAAGGCTGATCAAACAAATTCCTCTTCTCTCCAACAGAGAATTACCATGGACATAATATTTAATGCCATCTAACCCTGGACAGCAATGTGGGATCAGAGATACACCTGTGGGGAGAATAGAGGCACTCTCAGCCACGCCAGGTGAGAGAGGTGGGTAAAAGCTACTCAAAATGGTTTCTTTCTCTAGAGCACCCATAGCTAGTTCCAGAGCTAACTGGAATCGTAGAACTACCATCAGAATGAGCTAAATGTTGAGAGGCCTCTGATCAATCATCAGAATTAGGGATACATGCTGAAGGCCTGATAGGCCTGACATCTGTTATCTTTAGTCCTCAGTCCTCCTTGCCTGGACAGGTAGGCCGCCTTAAGGGTCACATGCTATTATTTTTTCTGCCAACAACATATCAATGTTACCTGGCTGCAGAGACGTCCCATGTGAGTTAATCTGAAATTCCTTGTGGTCTCAGTCTATAGCCAAAATACTGTTTTCAAACCTCAGCCAACAACAACGGCAACAAACTACCAAATATAATGCACTTAATAGGCATGACCTCATTTAATCTTTACAAAAATGCTCTGCAGTAGGCAATATTAATACTTCCATTTTATAGATGAGGAAACTAAAGGTTTGTAGAACTAAGATTTGAACGCAGCTCTGTGTGAGACTCAAGTTTGTGCTTCCAAAACTATTCTCTACTGATGGAGGGGTAGGAAGGTGGGCAGGCTGGATTGTGGGAAGTGGGGAAGGACCCGGAGGCAAATTTACTCCTGCCGCCTTCAAAATAATTTGGGCTTAGAGATCTTCGGAGTACAGGCTAAGGAAGACATATTTCATTTTTCCCAAGCTAGTTGGTGGTGCACTCGATTTATGATTTATGAGGCCACAACTGGAAATATGAGCGTGGGCATGCAGATAGAATACGTTTTATATAGCCTTTCTATTTTCCTATAGGCTTAGTGCTTCCTTACTATGTTGAAATTTAAAAACAGATAATAATTTTTCAAATGCACATATTTGGGAGAAAATTTTCATTTTATTAATGCTTTGTAATTGGATATCATAATAGATATATTGTAATTAAAATGAGCAGAACCACCCCATATAAAATATTCAGTTTTACTGTTGTACCAGTATAGGTTTGCATGTGATTTTTCAAGACACATAGAAAAAATACACTAAAGATTCATTAGTTCAATTAATTGTGATAAGAAGTTAACAGGCATTTTTGTTTTAATTAACATACAAGTAGTATTTACATTAACCACTTCAATTATAGTCACCTCCATAAGCTTATGTTTTCTTATCTTTAAAATAAAGATAATCCTCACAAAATACTTACCACAGTGTTGCCTTTCAGTAAATGTTATCACAATTTTTTTGACAGAAGTACAGAGCTCTGATGTATTTTCTAATTTAAATAGACAAATGGTCTCCTTTACATATTAATGTTGCTGTACTCAATAGAGAGCCTAAACTCTGTTCTATTATTCCACATTCAGAATTAAGGACTCAGCCCATGGTTATTCATTTTGTTATACAAAATGAAGCAATCTCATGGAAATGTTATATGTATCAATACATTTGGTTAGTTCTGTATATTTTTTTAAATCAATATTTTAACAGTATTTTGGCCCATCAAATGCAGTTTGTATCTAAGGCATTCCACATTTCCTTCTTCCCATCATATTCCTGAAGAGGAAACCACAATTGCACCATAACGCTTTAAAGAAAGTGTCAGAAAATGTTAACGTGCAGAAAACATCCTCTCAGCATGACATGAAGATGAATTACAATCAACTCCTTTTTTATTGAGGTGCCTAGATAAGGCTTAAAAATATATATAGTTTATTCTTTCTTACCGCTGCGGAAACAGTAACTGTTTCTTTTATTTTTGACATTTTAGTTTGTAATTTATCCAATTCTTTCTTCTTTTGATAAGTCTCCATTCTCTTTACTTCACGGGTATTTTCAAATTCATTAATCTATAGTGACAAGCATAAGAAACCAATTTAAAAAGCCTATTAGCACAACAAAGTTTAAAAAATCTTTTAAAAACAGTGTCAACCTAATTCATATTTAATCTAAGTATAACATATTCAAGTATAGTAATAAGTAAAAAATAAACCTAAAAACCAGGGTTTCCTTATTTTGCAGTATCACAGGAAAAAGCATGAGCCACAAAGGCCAAACTGTAATTATTGAATATTGAAATAGTAAATTTGTAAGAGCAATACTAACAATGATTGTTAATAACTAATTATAAAAGTAATTGCCACGGTAGTGATTTAATAGTAAATCACCACAGCAGTGGTGACCGGATTTACAACGTACTAAGCAAACAAGAAGAGTCGAAGGAAGGATTGAAGAAATTATCTGGGAATCTAAATTCACATTATTTAATGGGAAATAAAACCAGCTAAACACAGAGTAAACAAAATCATCAAAGACAGAGCAGCTTGTAATCCTGGAAAACTTCTTACCATTTTATCACAGTGCCACTTGTTAGACCCTAATGAACGATGTCACCCTCTTATCAAAACCACCTCTCCCCCAGTCAACCAGAGCAGAACAAGGAAGAAACAATCATAACAGATCTGATGCTGAATTTTAATTAACATGGCACAGCAGGCAGTTCAGCTCCTGCAGTGGCAGAAAAAGATGCAGTAGTTATCCCTCCCCCACCCTCACAAATTTTGCTGCTCTCGAAACATTGTTTTCTCTTTAAAGCCCTCAGTTCTGCCTGGCCCCACTGCATGCTGCTGCTCTCTCTGATTCATTTATCAGGAACAGCAGGGCTGGGCTGGTGCCCTATCTGAATACCCTAGTCCTGTCCATACAGACACAGTCTCAGGGTTATCAAAGGCAACTGGATAAGATGGTAGCCTATTCCTTGTCCCTGTATGGCAGCATATAAGCAAGGGGACACCCCAGTGTTACAAATCCTGTCACTTATATTCTTACCCATGAACTGAGATGCTGCTACCAATCAAATGTCTTCCCCAAGAGCAGAAGTGTCCTTGAGTCTCCCGCTCATCCCGTTTTCCCAGCGCGTTCACAGAAGATACCACAGAGGCTGCTTGCCAGCCTTGAGGACAAATAAATTATTTCCCATTTCCTGCTCCAGATTCTATACATTATTGTATTTTAAAGAATAAATCATGCCACTTACCTGTGCAGTCAACTCTTGTTTTCTTATTAGATATTCTGCCCTTTCTTTTTCCATTAGCTCCTCTGCCTCTTGAATACATTTTTTTTGCAATGCTATGTCTTCTCTCTTCAAGTTTATTTTGGTATAAGTCTCATTTATGTAAACAGTGGTGGTGGCTTTTTTCTCCATAGTTTGGTTGAGTGACAGGACAAACCTTGCATGCTTCCTTGCTAGCTCTTCCTGCTTCTCCCTGGGAGGAAAGAATTGCTCACAGAGTGAGAAGCACAGCTCCTAAGAAAGGAATAGTCTGTGTGGTGAGAAGAGCCCTCAGCAAGAGGAAAAGTGTAAGGAATACTTATTTTATGACTGTGTTTATGATTGTCTAAACTTGGTTGAAGGCCAGGTGCAGTGGCTCATGCCTGTAATCCTAGCACTTTGGGAGGCCGAGGTGGGCAAATCACCTAAGAGGTCAGGAGTTAGATTGCAGCCTGGCCAACATGGTGAAACCCTGTCTCTACTAAAAATACAAAAATTAGCCGGGGATGGTGGCGTGCTCCTGTAATCCCAGCTACTCGGGAGGCTGAGGCAGGATAATTGCTTGAACCTGGGAGGCAGAGGTTGCAGTGAGCCGAGATCATGCCACTGCACTCTAGCCTGAGTGACAGAGTGAGTCTCTGTCTGAAATTAAAAAAAAAAAATTGAGATGAGGACAGAAGGAAACACAAAACAAGCATCAACCTTGCAACTTTTACCACTTTTGAATGTCACGTGGCCTTGCCTCGCCCCACCCGTCCCCAGATGCCAGGTAGTGACCACAGGGTATTTTGGGTTAAAGTATACAATGACTCAAAAGTAATTTTGAACAGGATCTGAATGGGATCTGGCCAGATGAGTGTTTTGATATGTATTGTCATCATGTCTATCTTATCATCCTGAGATAGGCTGTTAAGCTAAAGAAAGAGAAATCTCATCACATCTCCAGCCACCCTGGATGCTATAGCCCTGCAGGCAGGGCCCAACAGAAAGCTCACCTTCCTCTGGATAGAAACTAGGGAAAGAAAAGAGTCTATCTTTACTGTTTGAAGGATGCCTGAAACCTAATTTGAGCCCTCTTACCTTCTCCCAGCTGTAGCCAACTCTGAGCTCAATAGGAGTCATTAACCTCACACATCCATTGCGGGCGGTGTCCATCTAAGGAAGACCTTAAGATTGTCTGAGGAAGACCTTAAGATTTTGTCTACCCAGAGGCTAACAACAAAAGGTTTACAAAAGGGACAATTGGTGCCATTTCTCTATTTTCCTTTTTAAAAGCTCCTGCAATGTAAAGACCCTTTTCCTTTTGCTAGTCCTCAAGGCTAGTGAGTTTCAGAGGAATTGTGTTTGAAGGCTCAGGAAAATAAAAGCAGGCTGCTGGGAAGTTTGCTTTCAGAGGTCAAACTCCACAAAAGAAATGCAATAAAAAGAAGTCTAGGTGAGAGGCTCAGTAGGTGGTCAGATAATGGGTGCTTTGTGGATGCAGCAGAGGAAGCCTTCTAAGAATGAATCAACTTGAGGACTGGAGCCTCGGGGAAACAAAGCAAAATAAGTGAAATCAAAAAACCTCACTAGGTGTGTTGTGATGGGCTGAGAAGAAAAGAACACTCACAAACACAGTGTGGAGCCTCAGGAAAACACATTCAAACAGCTGCTCTGTCTGTATCTAGTTTTTGAAATTTGCCCAGGACAGGAGACATACCCACCACCTGTCAGAGTCTGTGAACACTTTGATATTCATTTCTCTTTGAAAAAATGATGCAACAAATGATTGTAGCTTGATGATGCCAACACACCTGCCACCACCTTCTGTTTGTTATTGCCTTTCCGTAAAGATTTGTCTAGAGCAGTGGTTCTCCCAATGTGGTCAGGACCAGCAGCAGCAGCATCACCTGTCAGGAATGCAAATTCTTATCCCCACCGCACTCCTCCCAGATCTGTTAAATCAGCAATTTTGGAAGCAAGTCCCAGTAATTTGTGTTTTAACAAGCCCTCCAGATGATTCTGATGCAAGCTCAAGTTAGAGAATCACTGGTCTATAGGAATGTGATGTTGCTGACCGGTTGATATAAATATCTAGCCTGGGTATTATTTTTCTTGCTATTAGTTTAGGAATAGTCTAGTTTATGTAGCAGGCTCTGGCCATGGTGGCTAGCACGCACCACACACAAATCTGTATTGTGAATCCCCAACAGGGATTAGAGTATGTGGTATTTCTCAAACTTATGTAATCATGAACTTTCTCTTTTGTGGAGCATCTCCCAGCACAGGTGTTCTGAGAGCCTGGTTTGGGATCAATGTCCCTGGGTCTTGAGGTCTCTAGCTGATTTCTGATGTTTATTATCTGGGACACCAGGCAACCCTCTGATTATTTTGGATTCCCAAGAAGACTTTTTTTCCCCTATGATAAGGGCTCTTTGTGAACATTTCTCACTCTGGAAACTAACATGCTGATATTTATGATATTTATTAAAATTTATCAAATTTTCTCATAGGGGTAATTCTTCAAGGGGGCCTATCTTTCAGAATATATCTCTTCCTTTCATGAGCTAGCAAAGTTAAGAGTTGTGATCCCCATTTCACAGATGGAGAAAATGAGGCTCACTAAGAGGTGTCAGATCTTGAGCTATAGGCAGTTTCATATATTATCTCATTTAATTACAGACACAATCTGGAACCCTGTCCTGGGAACCAGCCTCATCCTCAGTCCTTCAGTGGATTACAAATATGACTAAATATCTTCAATGAACTGAACTAGATACAATAGGTCTGGTTTGACATTAGATTTACAATATAATCCCTGCAAGATTTCTTACTTTGGTGGTGGGGGTTTGTAAACTTAATTCTACAAAAATGGAAACTAAACCCATTGTGTGTCTACCTTTGGATGTAGCATTAGAGGTAGTGTGTGATTTACAAACAGTAGTTGCTGCTAGGAAGCTGGATTGCCTCTGAAATATTACAAGCCTCCTGGCTGCTGTGGTTGAAGATTTTCTGCTCTCCTCCTCAGTCCTCTGTAGCCACCACCTTCCCTACCCCATCAGCCTGGGCCATCTCCTACAAGCCATCTTCACCTCTCAACTCGCCCTGCCACAGTTCAGATCAGAGAGTAAACCCCTCCCGACAATTTTCCCACTCCAGCCTCAGACCCCTGCTCCCTCAAATACTGAATATAAGAATACCTACCCCAGAGCTTCATTATATTTTGTCAGGTCAGTTATTTTCTTCTTCAGAAGCTCTATTTCATTCTCTGTCCTTGTAATTCTCATTTTTATTGTATTTATCTCAAAAAGATTTAATCTGCGAGCGTCTCGGACACATTCTTCAAAGTAAGTGGAAATATTACTACATTATTTGAGGAAAAGCACAACTGTAGATACTGACTTTCACGCAAAAAAGCTTTCTTTGAAATATTCTTTTAATAATGTTTTTTATCAAGCATTTCTTACTCCCTTGGTCCCTCTCAATCTTACCTACTAATTATTTCTCTTATTTCTGCTGCTGCTCTGGTAACCAGCTTTCTGTGGGCTTGGATCAATTTCAGACAGGTGCAGTCTGATAGTGCCTGATTCCCGCCCGTTCCATGCACTTCTCACCTCCTGCCTAGGACTTCTGCAACTTCTACATGGGGCTTCTTTATGCACCCACACCCATGCATGTATAACCCAGAAGTACAAGAGGTAGGGCAAGCATCAGACCAGTGATAGACAGGAGCTGGTGCATAAATATTTCTCCCTCTCTCGCACTGATAGATAGTCCTGAGAAGAAGTAACACTGGGTCTTGGGGGCTTCTTCTCATAATTAATTAGTTTCAGTTAGCAGCAGCCAACATCATAATCCACCCCATATTTGCTCTCCCTTGACCTTGCTTTGGTCTCCTTATCCCATCCTCCTCTTTGGATTATACTCCCTAATAAAATAATAATGCAAAAGCCATTGCCTCAGGCTCTGCTTTTTGGGGGAACCCAATGTATTAAAGAAATAATTATTCATCCATAAATAATAAGTCAGTGTAATCACGTATGACTTCAAAGGATTATCTCAGTGCATGACAGATGGTCAATATGCATGAATTTTTGAACACTGCTGTTTAGGAAGGTGCTGGACTACTCATTTCTACACAGCAAACTCCCTAGAAACTAGCTGGTAGCTCTCCTGAGAGAGCTAGGACATTTTTTTTCTAGGCTACTAGTTAAATTGCTTGTTGCAGCAGGCTTTCTCAAACTTTGTGTCTCAAATATGCACATACATCATCTGGAGATCTTCTTAAAATGCAGCTTCTGATACAGTGGGTCTAGGGTGGGCCCAGAGATTCTGTATTTTCTCACAAGCTCTTACATGTTGCTTATGCTGCTGAACCAAAGACCACACTTTGAGTAGCAAGGACTTACGACATAAGGCCAACTAACTAAATTTGCATGGTTAAGCATTTAGCATGTATCAAGGACCTTATAAGCTATTATGGTATTTTCCCCCTTCTAAAATATGTTTTTCTGATTATAAAAGCAACCCAATCTAGAAACTAAAGAACAGCAAACAAAGAAAAAGAAAAACACTCTTAATTCTACCTTTGGTGTAGATTCTTCTAAATCTGATTTTCTTTCCCTGCATGTATAGTTTGTTGTATTTTCCCTGGCAAACTAGACTAACACCAAGCATATTTTTTTAAACCCACTCTATCAGTCAGGGTCCAATTAGGAGATAGAAATCTCACAGTAAATTGAAAAGGGAAAGTTTAATAGAATAAACAGAGGATTAGAGTAATTAGAGTATTAGGGAATGGGTGGTAAGAAGTGAAGAGAACTTGAAAGCATTCAGAAATAGCAGACCTAAGGAGTAGCCACCATCCCTAGGGCTGAGATACGGTGCTCAAGGAAACAGCACCTGGAGACCTGGGAGCTAGGCCTCATTAGAGAGGCTGCGTCTCATTAGATCGTAAAGAAGTTCATGAAATGCTGGGCTGATGGAACTTGCTGGAAATCTGCTCTCTGGGGGTGTTAGGGGTACCTGCCCACAGAGAGGTGCCATGCTTCAGAACTCACTACAAAACTACCCAAGGGGGTGCCAGAGAAGCTCTTCATGCAGAGGTGCCTCATTGGTGGCTGAAGCTACTCAAGGGGTACTGGTGGAAGCTGCTGGGCACTGTGGACTGCTGGATGCTGCAGGACCATGGCCTGGAGAAGTTGCACACACTGCAAGAGTCAGCCAAGCTGAGCACACTGGAATCAGGAAGAGAACCCCTTCCTCCTCCATATCCCTCCTATGCCCTCTGCTGACAAAGCTGAACATTGTGCCAGCTGGTAAAGGGGAAAATTTACAGGGTCCAGCTTCCTTATCACAAAGTAGAGGCAATAAATGGCTAACTGGAAAATCTACCTTTTTTTTTTTACTTATTAAGACCACTCTTTTTAGGTTGGGCTCTCTGGGAAACAGATTATAAAATGTGTGTGTAGAGCATTTATTGGGTAGTGCTCTGAGGAACATCTCTTTGGAGGAAATAAAAAGCTGGGCAGAGGAGGAGGTTAAACTGTGATGAGCTTTGGAGCTATGATGATGCTCTGGAGTTGTTCTACATTGAGGCAAGGGAGCCAGACCTTTATACCCTCATAGTGACCAATCATGAATGCGGGTGGCAGGCACTGGGGAGAGAACATAACTTGGAATTAAGCCTCTCTCTTTTGTTTTTGTTTGTTTTTGTTTTGAGATGAAGTCTCGCTCTGTCACCCAAGCTGGACTGCAGTGGCGCAATCTTGGCTCACTGCAACCTCTGCCTCCCGGGTTCAAGCAATTCTGCCTCAGCCTCCTGAGTAGCGGGGACTACAGGCATGCGCCACCACGCCTGGCTAATTGTTTTTTGTATTTTTAGTAGAGATGGGGTTTCACTATGTTGGCCAGGCTGGTCTCAAACTCCTGACCTTGTGATCCACCTGCCTCAGCCTCCCAAAGTGCTGGGATTACAGGCGTGAGCCACCTTGCCTGGCCCCTTCTCTCTTTTGTTGAAGGTAATTCCTGGAGAAGAACTCAGCCAACAACATTCCTGGCTTCTGGAGAAATAAAGTTTGACCCTTACCCCAAATATGAAATTTACCTAAAAAAAAAAAAAAAAAAAGAGATCGAAGACCTAAACATAAGAGCTTAAACTGTAACACTCTTAGAAGAAAACATAGGGAAAGCCTTCATGGCATTGAATTTGGGAATGATTTCTTGACTGCATCAAAATTTAAAACTTTTGTGCTTCAAATGTCACTATCAACAGAGTGAAAAGGCAACCCATGGAATGGGAAAAAAATTTGCAAATCATATATCTAATCAGTGGTTAACATTCAGAATACATAAAGAACTCCTACAACTCAACAACAACAAAAAAGAACCTGATTAAAAGATGGATAAAGGACCTGAGTAGACATTTCTCCAAAGAAGATGTACCAAATGGCCAATGAGCAGACAAAAAGAAGCTCAACATCTCTAATCACTGGGGAAATGCAAATCAAATCACAATAAGATACCACTTCACAGCCATTTGGATAACAACCAGATAAAACAAAAACAAAAAAATCTGGAAAATAACAAGTATTGGCAAAGATGTAGAGATACTGGAACCCTTGTGCATTGTTGGTGGAAACACAAAATGGTGCAGCCACTGTTGAAAACAGCAAGGCAGATCTCCAAAATATTGAATATATGACTCTGTAAGATCTGACCCCAGTAAAAAAAAAAATTGAATGTACAATACAATCTAGCAATTCTGCTTATGCATAAATATACAAAAAAAATTGAAAGCAGGCACTTGGATACAGGTGGAGTATCCCTAATCCAAAAATCTGAAAACTGAAATGCTCCAAAGAACATTTCCTTTGAGCATAATTTTGGAAATGCTCCAAAACCCCAAACCTTTTGAGCACCTACATTATGATCAAAGGAAATGCTCAATGAAGCATTTCAGATTTATGGATTAAGGATGTTCAACTGGAAAGTATAATGTAAATATTCCAAATTCAAAAAAAAAATCAGAAATTGGAAACACTTCTAGTCACAACTGTTTTGGATAAGGGATGCTCAACCTGCATTTGGATACCATGTTCATAACAGCATTATTCACAACAGCTAAAAGATGGGAGCAACCCAACTGACAATTTGCAGATGAATGGATAAGGAAATGTGATAGATACCAACAATGGAATATTATTCAGCCTTAAAAAGAAAGGCAGTTCTGACACATACAACAGTATGAATGAACCTTGAGGATATTATGCTAAGTGAAGGAAGCCGGTCATGAGGACAAATACTGTATGATATTACTTATATGAGGTACCCAGAGTAGCCAAAACTCAGAGACAGAAAGTAGAATGATGGTTTAGGCCAGCCAAGTTGCCTAATTTAATTGGATAAATACCAATTTGGAATGGGCTGATCCATTTATCTATAGTCTATTTAGAAACCAAATTATATAAATTCAAGTGTTATATATACTATTTCCACTTAAAATATAAAAGAAAATTATTACGGACCTTACTGTGTTTGTGTCATGTATGCTTTCTAGCTCTATCTTACATGAGCAATAACTATGAAACTTATCTTGTTGAAAGTACTTCATTCTGTTATAAGATCAACTAAATTTCTAGAGTTGATAACCTCAAAAGTACCTTCCAATTCCCTCTTAATGCTATTGGGAAGAGTTTCCAATAGATAGTATAGTTTGTTGAGTTCCATGCTTTCAATCTCCAAAAGATCGATTGTGGCTTTTCTCATTTCTTCCTGAAAATTTAAATTACATTTTTAAAAAGTTAAGACACTAAAATAGTAAGATTGATTTCCTAAACAATGCCCTACAAATGTTTTCAGGGGTCAAAATATAATTTCACTAAATATCTTCTGCCATTATTTTTATTTGGAACAGAAACTGGGAAAAGTATCTACAATCACTATTTAAGGTGTCTGTTAGTTTATCTCTTAATTTCTATTGATTTTATTCTACTGAGAAATTATCTTTTCTTTATGAGTATCTGTTTCTTATATGCAGTTTCAATCCATTTAAAAGGAAAGACTAACAAAAATAGTAATATTGAGAAAGAAAGCTACTTATTAAAATATGGAAATTGCCTATAAAAATATGCTTAGGTATAAAAAAAATGGTTTTCTCATACACACCTACAAACCCAAACAAGTAGGTAAAGCTGTTATTATTACTTTTAGCTGAGGCTACTTTAAGAAAGGAAACACTGCTAAGAAATCAGTTGGTGGGAAAAAATAGATAAATCATCTTTTAAATAAACTGTCATAATAGCTATAGCTATTTTATGACCTGAGAAACTGCCATTATATTTTATGAATTATAAAAAGCAGACTATATAATTACATATATAGCATCATCACTTTTCTGTAAAAAATGAAATTCAATGCAGTTATCACCTATACCCTGAAAATAGAAAGTATATTCATCAGCATTAATAGTGATTATTTTAATGTGGTCCTTTTGCTTATCTATTTTTTCTTAATTTTTCAAAGTCAACATGTATTACTTTTAAAAATAAAAGGATTGATCTGGTTTTTTGTTTTTTTGTTTTTTTTTTTTTTGAGATGGAATCTCACTCTGTTGACCAGTCTGGAGTGCAGTGGGTCAATCTCAGCTCACTGTAACCTCTGCCTCCTGGTTTCAAGCAATTCTCCTACAAGCCTCCCAAGTAGCTAGGATTACAGGCTCCCGCCACCTTGCCAGGCTAATTTTTGTATTTTTAGTAGAGATGGAGTTTCACCATGTCTCGGCCAGGCTAGTCTCAGACTCCTGACCTCAAGTGATCCACCCATCCTGGCCTCCCGGAGTGCTGGGATTACAGGCGTGAGCCACCATACCCAGCCTGATCTCTGTTGTTTAAGAGATTTCACGGCTCAGATATTAAATGAATACAGACTAGATACTTTAACCACAATAAATATTTTGGCCTCTTAAAATCCTAGCGAAAGACATAACTGAAAGAAAGAACCAAGCAGGGAAAAATGTTTTCACAGCACCACAGAGCTGCACAACACACATGATCCCTCAGTGTTTACGTGTACCTACTCAAGTAGGATTGTAAAGTATGATTATGTAGTATAGATATATATATGTGTATAATTATATAAAATATAAAGTAGTAAGAGTTTTATCAGCAGTCTGTGGATTCAAACTCATTTACAGCCATATTTCAACATTTTTAGCAATTTGATATGTAGTAAATTCTTATCCAATATTTTTAAATAAAATGGAGAGCCTTCACTACTCTGACTGTGCCAAGGAAGCATTGTCAATGTGATCCTTGGCCGAACAGAGATGTCTGTGACACCTCAGAAGGAAATTCTTTAAATATTTCTTCAACATGTCTTTGATAGGGGCCAGTTAAGTGTAATTGAAAGAGTTTCTCTTTGTTTTCACTAACAGTACCGTCTACTTCAGTGGAACATATGTCAAATAATCTTTGACCAGTTATGCAAGGAATTGCTTACAGAGAACTGAGTTAATTAGCACCATGCTTGCAATTTATTCCAGAGATTGTGTGTTTGTTTGTTTTAAGCAATGCTTATATATTGGTGTCCCAAGCATTTGCCCATGTGGTCCACCTCTTAACTGAACCGTATTATCACCCACATTGCTTTCTCTAAATGAGCTTGCCCTCATCCACAGCCATAAGCCCATAATTTAGTTTTCTTCATGGAAAATCAAGTAACAATCCACAGTTGATCAATAATTGTGCAAATCCTTACAAAATTGAGAGAAAAATATTTTTAAGTTCAGGGTAACTATATTCCCTAGTCATCTACTTAATACTTTGAACAGAATTGGTGCGAAATGAAAGTTTGAAGAAATATGTGGAAGATTGAAGAAATGGTTCTTATAGATAATACAATACCAATTTCTTAACAGCTACAGCAATGTCCTTAAGAAAGATCTTAGCTTCTTCATTACATTTAAAATAGTCACTTTGCAGTGATTGTTCTGAAAAAAAAATTAGAAAATAAAGATCTCTTATTTATCTATCCAAATCCTACTTAACCTTTTATGATCTAGCTCAAATGCTTACTCGGCTGGAAGTTACATCTTCAGTCTCTGAATTTTTATTGTACATTACACTAATCTCTTTTGTACTTATTTCCTATTCCATAATGTTATAATTTAGGTATATATTTTATGCTCCTTGAGGACAAATGTGCTGGAGATTTACATATTAATATTTTATAACTCAGGGCAAGAGGGTGTAATGATTTTTTTTTCCTATGAAATATGTTCTGAGTGTCTAGACATTAACAGAAAAATGTATTTGTACATAAGTACTAGGGTTGCATTGGCATGCCGATCTAGAGATCAAGTATGAAAAGAGTTCAAGGTTCTAGGTCTGTCATTGACAGTGACCTCAGATACATGTGAATAATTTAGGTCTTAATAACTTTAGGTCTCCTCAGTGGGTAACATTCCTTTTTTTTTTTTTTTTTTTTTTGAGACGGAGTCTCGCTCTGTCGCGCAGGCTGGAGTGCAGTGGCACCATCTCGGCTCACCACAACCTCTGCCTTCTGAGTTCAACGGATTCTCCTGCCTCAGCCTCCCGAGTAGCTGGGATTACAGACGTGCGTCACCACGCCCGGCTAATTTTTGTATTTTTAGTAGAGACGGGGTTTCACCATGTTGGCCAGGCTGGTCTCAAACTCCTGACCTCAGGTATCCACCCGCCTCGGCCTCCCAAAGTGCTGGGATTACAGACATGAGCCACCGCGCCCGGCCAACATTCTTCATGATAACATTTACCCAAGCATATTTGCTAAGAATTGTGAAATTAACCTAGCGCATTTAAGAAGGAAAATAAAAACTATCCCAAATTAATAGTAACATTGTAACATAAATCAATACGATTATCTTGAAGAAATGGGATGATTCTAGTGAAGCACTGAAATGTTTTGTTGTTTGGCCTAAACGGTTTTTGCACCGAACAAGAAACACCCTTTCTTGGATTGTCTTACCTTAAGCTTAAGTGACTTGATTACAGGTTCAGCTTTCTAACTGAAAAATACTTTAACCTGGCCCTATCCAAGGTCATTTTCTATTAGAATCTCCTAAACAACCCTTTACATCTAATTTTTCTTGCTCAACACAACAGAAGCCTCTTAAACACTCCCTTTCCTATTTGCTTGTTAAATTCTCCAGTTTGCCACGGCAAAATGTCGGAGGAAGTTAACTTGTAAAGGAACGGCAAGAAGAGAACTGAAATCGAAGGCATAATCTAAATGCAGGTGTGTAATCAGGTCGCAGGCATAGGGCAGTGGCTTGGGAGTCCCGGATTTGTCACCTCAGTAATTTAACTACTACTGAGGGTTGAGCGAAGTCACCTCAGCTGCGCTAGGGCAGGAGATCTGGGCACTTGGTCCCACCCGCCACCTCTCTCTCCCCAGCCTCCAAGGAGCGGGGAGAAGGCTCTGCCCTGCCCAGTGATGCCCTGGTTCCGGGAGGAGAGTCCCCGCTCAGGGTTCCCGCTGAGTGCCTCCTAAGCGCCACCTCTGAGGAGACGTCCCTTCCAGCGCCCGAGGGGCGTCTTACCCACAACAAACAGCTGCTCCAGCGCCTCGACCGCGACCGAGGAGCCCAGGGTGGAGGGTAAGGTGCATAACTCCAGGGAGGGGCCAGTGGAGACGGCAGCCGCCTGCACCAGCTTCTCGCCAGCGCCCAGCCCTGGGGTCCAGGGGCTCAGGGCCATTTTGCCGCTCTACTTGAGCGCCTCCTAAGCCAGAGCCAAGGATTGCCGGTTGCCACGGGCAACGAGGACACCGAGGTCGTGGGGCGCCCCCTCGTGGCCCGCACCTCTAGTAGGTACCCTCCTGGTTCTCTAATTTTATCCACGATAATTAAGCAGTCTGGGAAGAATGACTCTCTCTTTAGCTAATTTTTCCCCTTTCAATTTCCATTGCGTTAGTTCAGGCCTGTATCTTTTTTGTGGGCCACTGGAATCATAATAATGATCACTTTTGAGCGCATCTTTGTGCCGGATACTGCAGGAGAACCTTTATATACAGTAGCTCACTTAATCTTCACAAGGACTTTGTGAGCAGGCTCTTTTAGTACCTCCACTTTTACAGACACGTAAACTGAGGCGCGGGCGACTAAATGAACGGCTCAAGACCACAAGAGGATAATATTGGATTTAAAGTGACGTCTGGGCCGGGCGAGGTGGCTCACGCCTGTAGTCCCAGCACTTTGGGAGGCCAAGGCGGGAGGATCACCTGTGGTCATGAATTCAAAACCAGCCTAATCAACATGGTGAAACCCCATCTCTACTAAAAATACAAAAATTAGCCGGGCGTGGTGGCGCGTGCCTGTAGTCCCAGCTACTCAGGAGGCTGAGGCAGGACAATCGCTTGAACCCGGGAGGAAAAGGTTATAGTGAACCGAGATCTCGCCATTGCACTCCAGCCTGGGCGACAAGAGCTAAACTCCATCTCAAAATAATAAAATAAAATAATAAAGTGAAGTCTGTATGACTCTTTCTACTATGCTACAAAACCTTCTTTTGTACTAATTTAGAACTTTCCTTGTATCTAGTACATCACTGAGCACATTTTGCCTTGAATCATAGTGATTTTTCTCTGTCTTCCCATCGAACTGTGAGCTCTGTGATGACGGGGACAGGAGGATATTATTCATTTTTCTCTGCATCTCCAAAATTCAGCTTAGCATGAGGCTTAGGTTGAGTCTGTCAGTTCCTTTTCCTCTGGTGGGTTAGAGAGAAGCAAAGGTGATTCAACCCTCCTCTTCTTTTCTCTACAGATGGCAAAATTGAAATTAGAATGATAGTAACAATGACAATAGCTATCAATTGTTAAATGCTTATTTTGTTCCAGGCACTGTTTTAAATACTTTGCAGTACCCCATTTAACCCTCACAAATAATCTTTTGAGCTAGGTATTATTGCCTGCTTTGCAAGTGAGGGCACTGAGCTACATCCTAAACCACTGTGCAACACTGCCTTGGAGGGGACACAGCATACCAGTAGCAGAACTAGTTCTAGAATCCAGGCCTCCTTCATCCAGGGAGTGCCATATTTTGGTGTTGGAAACCATCCTGGACAACATCCTCCTTTTTTGCTGGATTTGGTCTATTGGTATTCAAATCTGTTCCTGCCCTTCTGGGCCCTCCTCTGTGTGGCAGGAGTAAGAAGACTGGATATGAAATTTCCTGGATGTCCTTGCCACCTGTTTTCTTGGTAAGTTCCACTAATGGGAAACACTTGAGGGAGATTAGAAGGCCGAGAAATCATGCATTTCTGCCTCCAGAAGTGGTAGTTTCAGGCTACAGTTGACTGTAGGTCCCAGCAGTTTTGGTGGCTCTAGAAGTGGCAGGAGTAGGAGCCAAGTGACTCCAGCAGTCTCCAGCTGCTCAGCACTATATGTGAGCTTGTGCGTACAGTACAGGTGTTATGGCAGCTCTGATGTCTGGGGTCTTCTTTATCTTCTTACCCTTTGGCTTCTATACCCCTTGTAACAAATTCCTTGTGATATACTTCTCTCTTCTGGAAATATCTAGACTGGACTACTTCAAGGCAACCCTTAAGCTGTCACCAGAAGACTCTTCTTACATATCGCATCATTTGGATCACATTGCTCTCCATTATCTATGAATAAAGGCTAATCTTAAGGGGGCATTTTGTGTCCTCCCCACTTACTGGATTTGTTACAGATTTTCTTACATTTCTCTATTTCCCTTCATGTCTCTAATACTTTCTTTTTCCCTGAACTTTGTGAGAAAGTTACATGTACATACACATACATATGTATAAAGTGGGAAAAGCAAGTTGAAAAAGAAACGTACAGTATTCAATTAATATTTAATTTTTATAAATTAAATATTTTGTGAGAGATGATCAGCTTCTAACTTGTCTCATGGTTCCTTTTATATGGGATGCCCTGTACAAAATTCAACCACAATTTTTCAAAGGAAACTTTATAAATTCTGAAATAGAAATCTAGGCAAACAACATGAATCATCACTTAATAAAAGAAAAAAAATTCCGAGAAACATACGGAAAGAACATTTACCCTCATTAGCATTCAAAGAAAAATAATACTCTCATTTTCTCATAATATTAAGATTAAAAAGAATAATACTTCAAAGTATTGACACTGGGAATATGCATACTATCTGAAGGACAATTTGGAAATTTGTGTAAGGAGCCTTGACATACAGTAATTCTTCTAAGAATTGTTCTTAAAGAAATAATCACAGGTTTGTCCATGGGCATAGGTATGAACTTGTTTATTGCAGTCCTGTTTTAAATACTGAAAAATAGCCCAAATGATCTACAGTAGGACACTGTTGTTAAGTAATTTATGGGACATCCATGCAGTGGAACAATCTAGAAGGCAATCCGCCATGTGGTTAAGAGCTTGGGTTCTGGTGGATTTAAATGCGTTCCACTACTGATTGGATGGAGTATCTCCTGAGACAGCCTCCCAGCTCATGCTGCCAGTGTCTCAGCTCTAAAGGGGTGGTGACGGTGATAGGAGTTCTCAGTTCATAGGATTGTTCAAAGGATTAAATTAAGTGAGCACATGGTAGATACTTAAAAAACACTAATGATAAAGTAATAATAGGGTACCTATTAAGAATAATGGGTAGAAATTTACATGTACATACACATACATATGTATAAAGTGGGAAAAGCAAGTTGAAAAAGAAATGTACAGTATTCAATTAATATTTAATTTTTACAAGTCCATATATCTATAGAGATGTATATAGGTATATCTCTATAAACATATGCATAGAAAATGGTCTGAGAAGAATTGTTCACTAAAATGTTACCTGTAGTTATTCCTGGTTAGTGAAATTATAGATGTAATAGGTAAAATAATGCCTCCTCAAAATGTCCACATCCTAATCCCTGAGACTTGTGAATATATTAGGTTACCTGGTAAGGGGTAATTAAGGTTGTAGAGGAAACTAAGATTGTTAATCAGTAAACTCCGAGATGAGGAAAGTAGCCTAGATTGTCCAGGTGGGCCCAATGTAATCACAAGAGTTGTTTTTTTTGTTGTTGTTTTTTGTTTTTTTTTTGAGACGGAGTCTCACTCTTGTCACCCAGGCTGGAGTGCAGTGGCGCCATCTTGGCTCCCTGCAACCTCCGCCTCCTGGGTTCAAGTGATTCTCCTGCCTCAGCCTCCTGAGTAGCTAGGATTACAGGCACCCGCCACCACGCCCAGCTAATTTTTGTATTTTTAGTAGAGATGGGGTTTCCCTGTGTTTCCCAGGCTGGTCTTGAACTCCTGACCTTAGGTGATCCGTCTGCCTTGGCCTCCCAAAGTGCTGGGATTACAGGCATGAACCACTGCGCCTGGCCACAAGAGTTCTTATAACTGAAAGGTGGAGGCAGGAGAGTCAATATCAAAGTCAGAGAAAGATTTGAAGATGCTAAGCCGCTAGTTTTGAAGATGGAGGAAGGGGACCATGAACCAAGGAATGCAGGTGGTCTCTGGAAACTAGAAAAGGCAAGGAAACAGATTCTCCCTTAGACCCTCCAGAGAGAATTCAGCCTTGCTGACATCTTGATTTTCACTAAGAAAGACTCATTTTGAACTTCTGACCTCCAAAATGGTAAAACAATACATTTAAGTATTGTTTTACTTTTAAATTTGCTTTACTTAAAACAATAAATTTGTATTGTTTTAAGCCACTAAGTTTGTGGTAATTTGTAACAGCAGCCATAGGAAACTTTAGAAATAATGGACACATAAAAAAAGATTTCTCAGCCTTCACTACTTACAGCTGGTGTGCACTTGGCCAAAATGCATGTCCTTTTCTCATGTATTTTTACTTTGGTAACACAAACAGATACATTTATCTTTCAGGCAGTATTTTAAAGAGGACTTTTGCTGAACAGCCAGTATGACATTGAGAATCCTCCAGTCTGGTGCTGACATAGATTTTTAGTTATCATAAAGCAAGTTTGTTTCTGTTTAGCCCTTGCTGCTGTTAGAGCCAGGGAAAGAACCCAACTGATCCTTGGAGTTTGGCCCCTAACTTGCACAGGAATGAATACGATCATATGTTCTGGCAGGTTTGCAGTCTCTGTATGTGAGGTCTATATCGTATTTGATGATAACATTGCTTTTACAGCATCTTTGCATAAATCTAGTATCTCTAGGCAAAGTCTAAACTCCTTGGGCCTAGACCCTGAGTTAGATCAAGGCAAGGTTCCATTCTTGGTAGTTGGGTCAAACATCTCACATATAGAAAGTGGTTGCCTGTTTCACTGCTTTGTGCATGTTATCATTTCATCATCAAGCTTGTTGCCTCATGGTCACAGATGGCTGCTGCAGCCCCAGACATCCCACCCTTGTGCAAAGGCAGGGAGAAGTGGAAAGGAGCCACATGTAGAAGCTCTTCTTCCTTTTCCTCAAGGAAGAAAATCTGCTCAGAGTCCCATACACTTCCTTTTATGTCTCAGCGGCTAGAGCTGGATCCCAAGGCCACCCATGAAAAAGCGGTTAGAGGCAGGGCGCGGTGGCTCACGCCTGTAATCCCGGCACTTTGGGAGGCCGAGGCGGGTGGAGCACGAGGTCAGGAGATCGAGACCATCCTGGCTAACACAGTGAAACCCCGTCTCTACTAAAAGTACAAAAAATTAGCCAGGCGTGGTAACGGGCGCCTGTAGTCCCAGCTACTCGGGAGGCTGAGGCAGGAGAATGGCGTGAACCCGGAAGGCGGAGCTTGCAGTGAGCCGAGATCGCGCCACTGCACTCCAGCCTGGGCGACAGAGCAAGACTCCTTCTCAAAAAAAAAAAAAAAAAAAAAAAAAAAAAAAAAAAAAGAAAAGAAAGAAAGAAAAGAAAGAAAGAAAAAAAGAAAAAGAGGTTAGGACAGTGAGAATCTGAATTTCTAGCCTCCCTGGGGAGGCAGTGGGAGAGAAGAGGGTTCAGAAGAGCTGGAGGTTTTTCCACAGGATGTCAGCCATACATATGTTGTCCAAACTATTATTTATGAACCCTGACATCAGTCCCTTGTGATGCTGGGTGACTTACCTAGCTGGCTGGGTGAATCCTTCTTAGGGGCTGCAAAGGCTTCGTCCTCCCACATTGTGTACTAGTAAGATTTCCCCAGTTTAAGCCTTCAAGTTCGCTTTCCTCCTCGATGGTCTGCAAGAGGTTTATATATTCAACAAAGATTTCCTATCCCTTGGGATTCTCACAGCTTCTAAAGTGTCTGTCTTGTGGTCAGGCTATAATTCTCATCTACAGTGACTCCAGCATATGGGTATTTTTGTGGTAAAATGGCAGGAAGATTATGTTCCCCAGGTAGTGCCAGATTGTTAGAGAAGCAAACAGATGGATTGGTGCCTCTGATGGAGTTATGCCAAACAAGGAAAGCAGGGCATCTCTGAAGAAGAACAGACCATGTCGGTGTTTGTAACAACTGACTAAGAGGATCCCTTTTCCATTTTCTTTCTTTGTTTTTATCTATCTCCAGCAATTTCTTGGGGCTAAACAGGTTTGGGACATATATTGGTTGCGTTATTTGCTAGAGG
Source organism: Homo sapiens (assembly GCF_000001405.40). Lineage (NCBI taxonomy): Eukaryota > Metazoa > Chordata > Mammalia > Primates > Hominidae > Homo > Homo sapiens. The sequence goes on from NC_000014.9 coordinate 59,582,596, forward strand.
TTTTAGACTGGCTTAGACTCAAGCCTCCATTCTTCATCTGTACAATGGGATTTTTACATATTGGGATTATGAAGATTAAGCAGAATAAAGATGTGCTTACCGCAGAGCACAGGCTAAGTATTTTTCATCTTTTCCTCCTACCAATGGAAAATAAAAAGCATTTCTTCTGAAATAGAAATGCGACTCTCCTTTCTGCCATCCCTAGGCTTCCTTAAGTCTCTTGGTCGTTCAATCCTTAGTGAAAATTTCTGTAATTAAATCAACCGTCACTGTCACAGAGGTGGGAAATTGGTTTTATTTCCATGCCATTGTCACTGGATGGCGTGTTTGTTGTGTGCCTACTGTGTGCTGTGTCCCGAGCATGTATTATACAAAAGAGACCTATAGGTGGCGCCAGGGGAGGCCCCGCTGAGGAAGAGAGAGGCAAGAGAAAGAGGATGAGGCCTGCCTGGCCAACATGGCGAAACCCCGTCTCTACTAAAAATTCAAAAATTAGCCGGGCGCGGTGGCGTGCGCCTGTAACCCCAGCTACTCGGGAGGCTGAGGCAGGAGAATGGCTTGAACCTGGGAGATCGCGCCATGGCACTCCAACCTAGGCAACAAGAGCGAAACGCTGTCTCAAAAAAAAAAAAAAAAAAAAAAAGGAGGAAGTAGAAATCCGGAGCTGCCAGCTGCTTCCCTTCACATGATCCTCTTTCTAGAGCCCTCCCCATTCCAGGGACTACGAGCTTGGGCAGTGCTGTTTTCCCTAGAGGTTCACTTTCTGTTAATCCGGTCGGCATGTGTGGGGCTTTCTTACATACCAAATAGTCTAATCAGTCATTTGACTAAACACGTGGATGAGATTTGTCCCCTGTTCCTAAGAAGACGGCCTTGAAGGTGGGAAAAGGGAGGATTTTGAAGCACACTTGAGAACCAGGTGCAATTCCCTATGAGAAGTGCGGTACCGTAACTACTGCTCACAACTGCAAGGCATTTTACAGTTTTACAAAATGTACTTGCTTCCATGACTTTATCACAACTCTCTGGGGTGATTATTATCATTATCCTATTTTTTGAAAATTACACTTAGATGAGCGATTCAATAACCTTGAGGTTAACACCCCAATCGTAGAATTGAACAGTGGCATGGAAGGACTTCCGACTCCAGGTTGGAGCACTGCCTGCTCTGCCAGAGCTGTTCTGTGGCCCTACAACCAGGGCAGGGAGTTGGTGCTGGGTTGAGGAGGGCACTCCGCATTCTACAGGATGTTAGCAGAGCCATGGAGGTGTGGCCAGTGAGCGTTAGGTGCTTGGAGAGGAAAAGCAGAAGCCCAGCCAGAAACTTGGGTAGTGACTTCATTGTGAGGAGCCTGAATTCCAAACTGAGGAGTTGGATTTTATGCTGCAGATAATATTGCTGTGAATATGGTGCTGATGAACAGATCAGGCTGCTCCCTGCTGGTAGCTGCTTGGTAATAAATCAGTTTATTTCTGCCTAAGGTAACATTTTATGGTAGGATAGGATATCACTTCACAGGCATTATGATTTTTTTCAAGTGAGAATTTGCAGAGTAATTAGAAACTAAATTAGGCCTGAAACAACCAATGCCATATTTAGCAAAGGTACCTTATTTCATTTTATCATTGTTATCTTAAATTACGTTTCAGGGGCCATCTTTGTAGCAATGATTATTTTTTTAAATGCTCATTTAGCATTTTCACAGACAATTCCAACACTGTGATCTTTAAGTAGCAATATTCTTATTTTCCTTATTTTTGTTCTTATTTTTAAAAAGTGTATTTGATGATTCATCTCAAGATGATTCAGTAAGATTGTTGGAGTAGCTAAACTCTACATATGATTTAAAAATCTGTCTTTTTTCTTTTTTCTTTTTTATTAATTTAAAAATGTCACTGAATGACCTCCATATGTGGATGCAGGTAAGAATTTCCGGAGCTCTTTAGGGAAAGTAAAAATACACATAAATAATTGCAGCTATCACTCCCATTCTCTCCCATCTCCTCAGGGACCTTCCTCAATGAGCTCCTGCTCACCTAGGTCTTCCAAGTGTTCCTCAGACCTCCAGCCCAGTGTTCTCTTACTAAACCTAGGCCTCTCATAAACCCCCCTGCCATGGAATCCCCCTGCTTCCCTTCATTGCCAGACTTCTTAAAAGTGTGGTCTACATCTTGGCTGTAATGCATCCTTTTACTCTGCATTCTAAAATGCCTCCTCCTCATCTTCTAATTGCCTTTGCTCAAGCCTCATTCAACTCCGTCTTCTTTCCTGCAGAATCTGACACCCTCGCCCAGCTCCCTCAACGCTTCTTTAGAAACTCACTCCTAATTGGTTCCCAAGACACTGTGCCATTCTACTTTTCTCATTCTGGTTATTCCTTCTTCACATCCTTCACTGGCTCCCTTGTTTTCTTTCTTCTGTTTGCTAAAAGGGGGCATTCTCCTTGGGCTCCATCCTGGTCTTTTTATACTCTCTAAACTCTCCTCTCGCATAGAGGTAAATCTTCACAAATAACTCTCGAGTTGCATCTCCTGCCCATCTTCTCCCCTAAGTGTTAACCTCGAAGAGTAAATATTCTCACTTGGCTATGCTGCAAGCATGTAAAATTTCAGCCTGTTCAAACTCAAAGTCTGCATTGCAGATGGTTTCTCTACCTCTTATTATCCCAATAATCTCTGAGTTTTCAAAGCACTTTGTTCAAACTTTTCATAGGTGATAGTTATCACAGGCTGAGTGGATTTATGGTTTTCTGTGTAATAGCCTTCTTACTTAATATCTTTATAAACTTTATGCCTCAATTTTCTTGTCTGTAAAACTGGGCCTTCATTGTAGGATAATCATGAGAATTAAATCAATTAACATAGTTAAAATGTTTAAAACAATGCTTGGAGCAAAATAAGCCATACCATAAATCTGCATCTCTTGCAGCACCTAGTACAGTCATTTGCACATAATAGATATTTACAATATTGTTGAAAACATAATAGAAAAGATTCATGTGTTCAGAATTTTAAAAAGTATAGGGCTTAATATCTTCTGCAGTTCAGGCCTAGTATTGGAAAGAAAAAAATACTAGGGAAAAAAGCAACTTCCACAGGGTCTTTCACACCACTCTTGTATCCAGGCCAGTATGGCAAGAACTGACATTCGCAATGGTCTTCCTGATCATTACCATTACAAGATGCTGAAGGACATTTTGAATCATCAGATTACATTGTGCATAAAGGTTGCTTCTAAGTAAATTTTATGGCACCAGAATTATTGCCTAATTACTATTTTTAAAGAGGTAAATCTTAGTTAACTGTGATTTTAGTTAATGAGAACTCCTGATTCTCAGCTCTGCTGGATAAATGAGCTTCCGGAGTTACGGAATGAATTGTCACCATGACTCCAACTGTTACGGCTGCTTTTCCTGTTGCAATGTAGATGTGTATTCTGGCTCAGGATGAATGTGTATATAAAATTAAGTCATTATATAAAGCTGCTTAAGATTTGCGTGCTTTCTTTTCTTCCTCTATTCATGGCAGGATTGTTAGGTAATGCCTGGATTTAAGCACTTCCGTCTTTAACCACAAAGGTCAAAGCAGCAAAATTGTGTGTTGAGAAAAATACTCCATCCCCTGCAGTTAAGCCTTTGGATTTTGTTGTGTTCTTCCAGTAAATGCCCATTTATGGTTAATATACTTTAGTGGGTTTCTATTACTTGCAACCAAATAGTCGCGCTGAGAAAGTGTTGTTCCTGAGCTAGAGACAGTAGGGAGAGGGGCCAGGAAACACTAGAAAGGCAGTATGGCTCAGCGGAAAGAGCCCAGCTTCAAAAACAGACAATCAGGTCTCATTTACTGGCTGTGGAAACTTGCGCCAGTTACGTTGAGATTTTGTTTCCTCACTTGGAAAATAAAAATAAAAGTACCAATCATGTAGAATTTTGAACTTCTGAAGGTTAGAAATAATGTTTGTAAAGAGCCTGGCACAGTCCCTGGCTCAATGATGCTATACAATTCCTAGGAAATTTTATCCTGATAGCCTCAAAATAACCTTATTGACTAATATATCAAGTAGCTGAACTATATAATTAGTTAATTGGCTAGATATATGTAATATAATACCCAAATAAAGAATTAAAGAGCAAAATGAAAATGAAAGTAAAGTTTTGTAAAAAGGGGAAAAAAGTAAGTGCATTTTATCTAGTAAGAAATTCTGTAACAGCCAGAAGAGGATGCCCTTGGCTTAGCGCTATTCTTCCCAATGGAGGTTACAATTCTATCATAAACTGGGGGCACAGAAGGGCTCATACAGATAAACTACCATGATATAAAGGTCCCTAAAGAAAACTCCATTTATTCTATTGGGAATATATTTTGTGGTAGCAAGCATTTGAATGTTCTTTCCTACTTAGGGGAAGAAAAGAAAACAATGAACTATATATTCTATTGAGCAAAAAGGTAGACAGGATCGATTTGCCACTGAGAGATTATGGTGTGGTAAGTTCTCTTTGAGAAAAATTTAAGAGTTTAAAATTTTCAAGTTAGGAGTATTTCAAACATATTTATTGGATGGAATGAGTACTACGGAGTTTCTGGATATTCTTATGAATGCCCCATGAAAAAATAACAATACTGCCTATTTAATAGTTATCTCAGACTAGATGCATCATAGTCATTGCTGAGCAACTTGTCCTTATACGAATTTACATGCTGAGGTGCTATATTTGTACTGAGCCCTCAATATGTGAGTAGTATCAGAAAGAAAATACAGACAACATAGTAGTTTCTGACAAGTGTATGCCCTGATGGAGGAGAGAAAACACCCTACCAAACTGAGTGGTAGTATTTAATTTTTAAATTTTCAAAGTAACTTTTTGAATGGAGAGCCTGTGTCTGAGACGGCTGTAAGAAGAGTGAAAAGGTTGTTTATTGCTTGGGCTTTCTCCCTGTAACCTTCATGGAAGGCTGGCTGCAGCCTTCCTCTGAACCTCAGCTCCTGTCAGGAGGCCCTGGCTACTTTCTCTGGTTTAAGTGTGCATTCCCTCCTTTTGTCCCTTCAGGTGTAAGGGTGGTAGAGGCTCCCACTCTTGCTAGACCACAGGCACCGCATCATCTCTTGTTCGTCTTCCTAAACTCTGCCCTACTTTTTCATTAAACTCCATTCAATTACTCTTTTGAGTGTGCTGTTACCTGCTAGGCTCTGATTGATGGATTGCATTCACAAAAATTAATAGAGAAAAATTCAGTTTTGTTTCTTTTTAAGGACAATATAGACTCCAAACTATATTTTTAAAGGTGTTGCCTAATAGTCCTCATAGATGGCACATTTTAATGAATAAATAGGTCTTGTCATCATTGTTGGCTGTTGTAAGTAAAGTCTATTGGCTTTTGGTATAAAAAGACCTGGATTGAAATCTACTCTGTCTATGGGACACAGGTACTTCCAATCCATTCCCAAGAGGAAAACAAATGGTGGCAAAACTTGTATCTTCCCTCTACCCTTTCTTCATTCTTCTCAAAGGAAGAAGCGTGATATTGGAGAGGGAACTGAGGAAGCCTGGCCTCATCTGCTCTCTCCCTGTCGGCCTGGCCTGCCCCCCAGACTCACTGCTGCTCTGCTTCCTTGTATTGTGAGCTCTGTCCAGTGCAGGGGTAAGGTGCACATCCTCACTTGGTGTTGAGGGAATAGAAATCACAGGAAGCCTCACTCTGGCCATAGTTAAGCAACTTTATCAGTAGCAGAACTGGTCATCTGATCTTCATTCAGCCGGTTCCTTGGCATGGTTCTCAATTGACTTGCAACTTAGAGATAAAATGTGATTGAATAACATTCTCAAATCCAAACCTCTGTCTTTAATACTGATCTTAGGCAAGATTTGAACTAGGAGTTCATTTATATATAAAATGGTATACCTCTTTCTATAGGCCTAATTTGAAGATGAAATGAAATAATAAATGTAAACAGCACAGTGCCTTTTATGGTTATAAGCTGTCATGTTTCATTTGAGAGGAGTTTTGGGCTTTAAAAGTCTTTCAAATACCATACTAAATTAAAATGTAATATTACTAAGTAAAATGAAAGACTTGAGATATATCCATAGCACAAATATTAGTATTTTTATCATTTTCTTAAATTTTGGTTATAAATAAGAGGACTGGTCAAATAGAAACATGAAGGGCAATTAGCAGATCATAATTCAAGAACTGGTAGCAAATTTGATAATATAAGAAAAAAGAGAACTTATTCTTAGAATGTTTCCCCTATATTTAAAAGTTTTGATACCTTAAAAACATCCAGTGTGTTTGAGAAATCTAATACATTATTTTGAGTAAGAAAGATACCATAGAAAAATGTATATGAAATATATTTGTTATTTTAAATTTAAAGGCAGAATTCAAAAATTATATAGATAATAAGAATTCAATTATTTTTAAATGTCTAGGGAAAAAAAGGCTTTATCCCAAAATGCCAATGGTGGTTTTCTTTGAATAGGAGAATCTGCATCATTTAAATATTCTGTAATTAATATATATTACTTCTGTTATTGAAAAAAATAAAAAACTTAATTTAAAAACAACAATGGCAGCTGGGTGCGGTGGCTCACACCTGCCAGCACTTTGGGAGGCCAAGGCGGGTGGATCATGAGGTCAGGAGTTCAAGACCAGCCTGGCCAAGATGGTGAAACCACATCTCTACTAAAAATACAAAAAATTAGCCAGGTGTGGTGGCGGGTGCCTGTAATCCCAGCTACTCAGGAGGCTAAGGCAGACAATTGCTTGAACCTGGGAGGCAGAGGTTACAGTGAGCCACTGTACTCCACAAGTGGCACAAGATTGTGCCACTGTACTCCAGCCTGGGGGACAGAGTGAGACTCTGTCTCAAAATAAATAAATAAATAAATAAATAAATAAATAAGGCAGAAAGAAATTAGAACAATTATTAGTTATATAAAGCAAATCAACAATGTTAAGAGAATAAACTTTGCTTTGAAACATATAAATTCCATTCTCCTTTGACACCCACCAGTTAGTTTACCTATTAGCAGCAAAGAGAAAGGCATGGGTGCAGGTATGAACCAGAGATGCAAGTAAGAAAAATCTAAATTTTGATTTGAACAAAAATGGGCCCAAATGAGAGAATAATATTTACTGGGGGGTGATTTTTCACTCATTTTCATAGCTTTGGTTTTGATAGGTATGGGGTTTGGAACAATATTTCAATTTTTAAAAAATGAGAAAAAGACACCACAGATAAAATGTAAACAATCTAAAACCTTAAAAAGCACACACACAAAGAGAAAGGATGATCTTTCAAAGTCTTCCCTGAGGAAAGATAATTACATTCAATATTTGTTGTATGCCCTCATATTTTCTATGTTGATTTCATTTTACAGATTAATGTTTCCCTGTGCATTTCATATTATTTTTGTAGCTTACCTTCTTCACTCGGTGCTATATTGTGAACAATTTTCCATGCCAGAATATCATTCCCCAAGATGATTTAAGTGGCTATATGGTCTTTCATTAGAAGGTCTATAATTTACTTATTCAATTGCTTGATACTTGGCATGTTAGGATTGTTTTCAATATTTGCTATTGTAAAAAACATTGTCTGTACACCTTTGGGAATATCCCTGATAATGTTATAAAGATTTGATAATAAAATCCTTCGTTTATTGTTGCTAGCTAATTGGAAGTAAGGGCCTCACCTGCCTTTCTGGAGGACAGACACTCACAGAGTTTCTGAGAGGAAGAAAGCCAAGATTGGCTAAGATGCAGCATGGTCTTCCCAAGTCTGCTGTCATGATGCAGCCCCCTTTCAAGGGTCAAAATCTATTTCATCTCCCAGCCAAAACTGCCTTCGTGGCATCTTGAGCACTGAAGACCACGTATCTCAAACTAGGGTTACTTGGTGTAAAAAGAAAAACATGGTATATTCTCCTTGAGTCAACTTAATGCAGAAGTATGGGGAAGAATTTTTAAATTAAGGTAAATGCAAAGGTCTTATGCAATGACAGACAAGTTCACATTAACTTCTAAGATGAAATATGTGATTAAAGAAATTCTTTGCTTGCAAAGCTGGCTTCTGAACCATCTCCACTGAAGGGGTATACATTCACACTCTACTCCCAGTGGGAAGCTTCCCTGATAGGGGAGAAGTGGGAGCTTGAAGCGCAGTGGGCTTCCACGTGGTTGCATGTGCCTCTTGAACCACAGGGATGTAAAAGCATTCCAGGAACATGTCTTAGGGAAGTGTAGAGCTTTGGAGAGGCACTGTGGGTGAGGACTGGCCAGGTATTCCTCCAGAATGTTCTGCTGAAAAGATGAAGCACTGCTCCAGAAAGCTGGAGGCAAATCTGTGTACCCCATTTCGTATGTTCTTCCCTGTTCATTTCTCTCTGTCTCCATGACACACACACCCTTTTTATTGACTGGCCCTGGATTTATAAGTCAAGGGAACAAAGACAAAAAAGAGAATTATCTATTCACTACTTGAATTTTGACAAAGTACATTTTACCTTCACCTTGATTCATAAGCCAAACATAAGCATTTCCTCCATTGAGCTTATTAAGTACTAGAAAAATGGCTGGGAGATGCTAAAACCATATTTTATTAAAAGACAAGTTAAATTTAATTTTAATAATACATTTAAGAAAGCAGTCTTAAATATCTTGATTCTGACATGTCAAATGCATCATGAAAAAATCACTTTGGGGAAGATATAATTCAATGTGATTGTTTTGTTACAAAATGCTAGTTACTTAAAATGTTTGAATATTTTTTTAAAAAAGGTTAATGTCTCGTCCATTATATTTGGCTACCTTATTTCTGTTAGAGATGGCTAGAAATAAAGGTTGAAAAAAAGTTACCCTTCATATGAACTGTTTAATTTTTGAGTATTATTTTGACATAGGCTGCCATTAGTCACTTAAGAATTTGACTCCTGTCATAATTTAGTGATGACTTCTCTTGTTTTATAAAGACATAAACATACAAAGCAAAATCCAGAGCAGTTGTATGTTTAGAGAAAGCAGGCCAAGATGAAGTGTTAATTCTTCAGGACCATTTTATCATTTTAGGGAGAAACTGTTGCAGGCCGAAAGTGTGAGGGTTGTGATCAACTCAGTATACCACTGGAGGCTGTATGAGTAAACAGCAAACTGTTCTCATAAATGCAGAATGTTGGCAAACTCACAAACTGCATCTGCCACCCAGAAGGAATGCTGAGGGCAGACATGACCCAGGCACAAGTGTTTCTTATGATTAGGCAAATCCAAAGCCTGTTAGCAATAATATGCACCTGTCATCAATCAAGCAGCTGACCAATCGTTAGCTCCTCCTCCCTGCTCTTCCTACCCAATAAATACGAAGGGCTGTATAAGCTCAGGGCTGCTGCCCTTGCTCACTAGAAGCAGGGAGCCCTCTTCTTCTTCCCCTGGCACCTTCCTTTAAAACAGTTTCTTTTGTTTTTTTGTTATTATTTCTACGTTCATCCCCCTTCATTCAGTCTCGTAATGATGGTCTCAAGTAGTAACAGTAGTAACTGTCATAGTGATAGTCTCAAGTAGCAATTGTGGCAGTCTGCCACAAGAAACCAGAGACAGCTGATTCTAGCAGAATTGCTTTCAAAGACAATAATGGTCTAGAATGCAAATTAATTCATTTCAATGTACTCATCAAAGAAAATGTGGCCAGCCAGACTGATTTTGTAACATAGAATTTAATATTAAATGTATTGAATTAAGGAAAATTTAAAATCATAAAATAAACCACAAAAATAAAATTATACAATAAAAATCTGATTAAGGAGCTTGAGGAGGGTGCCAACATCAAGCACTAGGGAAGCCGGTCAGCGTCTGAAGGCAGGTGGCCCTTCTGCCTGGATCAGCAGAGGGGACTTAGTCCCCCTCCAACTACGAACGCATTTGGTATGAGCTCCAGTGGTGGCTCCTCTGTCTCCCCTACGTGCTTCTCTGCACACAGAAGAGAGTGCTAACCTTCTGATGCTCAGAGCAGCCCTATTCAAGGACAATGTGGTGATTGCTGGAACCTCACAGCTGTGAAGCAAGGCCCAGCAATCAACCACACCCCACGTGCATTTGGGTGAGGTAGAAAGCTGTGGGACTACTTCTCAGCAGTGATTCCCTAGAGAGAGAAACAAAATGCAGAGATAGGTTTGGGATCTACACCAGGAGGAAGTCTTTATAATAGGGTAAGGGACCATATGAGCCCTGAGGTAGTGTCAGGTGGAACTGTGCACCACCCTTAAACCAGATATGTTGAAGCCCCAAACCCCTGTACCTCAGAAATGTGACCTTACTGGAAACAGGGTCTTTATAGAGATAATCAAGTTAAAATGAGGTCCTTAGGGTGGGCCCTATTCCACTACGACTGGTGTCCTTATTCAAAGGGGAAATTTGGACACAGAGGGAAGACAATATGACACAGGGAAGCGGCACCCAGTGACTGGAGTATCCCATCTGCAAGCCGGGAGCACCAAGGATGGCTGACAAATGCAGACATTAGAAGAGGCAAGGAAGTGTTCTCCCTTAGAGCCGAAAAAGAGAGCAGGGCCCTGCCAACACCTTGATTTTGGACTTCTAACCTCCAGAACAGTGACAGAATAAATTTATGTTGTTTTAGGAAACCCAGATTTTGAGGCTGGGCCTGATGGCTCACACCCGGTAATCCTAGCACTTTGGGAGGAGGCTGAGATGGTGGATCACTTGAGGTCAGGCGTTTGAGACCAGCCTGACCAACATGATGAAACCCTATCTCTACTAAAAATATAAAAATTAGCTGGGTGTGGTGGCACGCGCCTGTAATCCCAGCTGCTTGGGAGGCTGAGGCAGGAGAATCACTTGAATCCAGGAGGTGGAGGTTGCAGTGAACTGAGATTGTGCCACTTCACTCCAGCCTGAGAGTTTAAAAAAAAAAAAAACCCCAGATTTTGATACTTTTGTAGAGTAACCCTAGGAAACTAACATGGGTGGGGAAAGAGCAGAGGACATAGAAACTATCATGCTTTATCCGTTAGAATACTGCAGCTTCTTCATTTGCTCTTACTGCTTTCACTCATCCATATATGGGCTGTAAGAATTTTCTACTGTTCACAGCTTTCAGAATCACCTCACTCACTCTGGATTTTCCAGGGGCTCTGCTCTTGGTCCTCTTCTCATCTGTTCACATTATTTCCATCATCTTGAATATCACCTGGGCTGATGCTCCCTGTAGAAACAGGGTATAATGTGCCCCATGTTCCATTTGTGAAAAATCTACATCCATACCTACTATTTTGGAAGCCTGGAGTTTCCTTAGGAAACTTCTCCACCACTGCCAGCAAAGAGAGTTCCTAATTAGACCTTCCTAATGAGCAGCTGCCTGTGAGAGGAATTCTGGGTCTATAGTATGAGGACAATGTTGCAGATACAGATATTGAAGATTAATTCTATACAATAAAGCCATGTAGAAGAAACTTTGTCTAAAAGGTTGGAGGCTGAAAAACATAAAGAAAAAAGAAAATCCTCTTCTAAATCTAGTAACCATTAAAAAAAAAATCAGGCACCAAACTAAGCTTAGTATCTTCTTTCCCCAAATAATCTCTTCTGGGCTCTCTGTCCTGGAAAATGGCATTGCATCCTGCTGATCAGCGAGTCTTAGTGCTGGGCTAGGGTGAGGCAACCGAGCTTCCTTGGGTGCAAAATTCAAGGAGGCACTCATTCTCAAGGCCAGCTTTCATCTTGAAGCCCCGCAGCTAGTTGGTTACCAGCTCCAGTCCAATCTCCCTCCACATCATCTGTTAGCTGCACCTTATCCATGGTGGGTGCTTGGCATGCTGGGCTATCAAGGATCAGGGACAGGTGAACATCTTTCTATTCTTTCTGTGGCTGTTCTAGTAAAGACCTAGTCATTTGGCACCTGGGTGGAGTTAGGTTACAATTATCACTCTATTTGTCTAGCCTTCAGTATCTTGTACCTTTGTTGTGTCTATGTGACTCTCTGAGATGTAGAGAATAAAGCCCAAACTCCTTGGCACAGGCATCCAAGTTTCTTCCCATTGTGATCTCAACCCACCTTTCCAGCTTTATCTGGCACTATCATTCCCACCCCAAGAACTTTACAACCCATCTAAGCTTGTTTAACTCACCATTCTCTGCATATGCCTCACACTCCACATCTTGGCACTTTAGCTCATGTTCTTTCTTTATCTCGGGCTGGACCTTCTTCATGTGGCAAAAACCAAACCAGGACCCAGCCGTGAAGTTCACCTCCCCTGAGAATCTTCTGTTGCTCAAACCCTGCATCATGGCTCGTTTTTTTTTTTTTGGAGACAAAGTCTCGCTCTGTTGCCCAGGCTGGAGTGCAGTGGTGTGATGTCAGCTCACTGCAACCTCCGCCTCCCAGTTTCAAGCGATTCTCCTGCCTCAGCCTCCTAAGTAGCTGGGATTACAGGCAGGTGCCACCACACCCAGCTAATTTTTGTATTTTTAGTAGAGACAGGGTTTCACCATGTTGATCAGGCTGGTCTTGAACTCCTGACCTCGTGATCCTCCTGCCTCAGCCTCCCAAAGTGCTGGGGTTACAGGCGTGAGCCACCGCGCCCTGCCAATGGCTCTTGTTTTATGCTACCCTTTGCTCAGTTGGCATTTCCACATAGCCACCTGCCCTTTCCCCAGCACAGTGATGAGAGTTTCTGGCTGTTGGCACAGTGCCAAGTGACCCTTGTAACCTTCACGCCACTTTGTATAGAAGGATAACTCCACAAATATTCACTGAACCCAGGTGTAAAACTGGTAAAAGGCAGCTTTTTATAAGCAATCATTCCTTTTTTTCTCCAACTGCTACTCCTTTCATTCACTTCTACCTCTTCGTCTTTGATGTTTGATTGTAGCAGTGAAACAAAATATGCAATTGGACTTGTATAAAAAGCAGTGAGGAATTATTAGAAGACTTCACATGGTGAGGGCAGGAATTGTCATCTTTCTTATTCACAGCCCTATTCTAAGTGCTTGGCACACAGTCAGTGCTTAATAAGTAATTACTAAAACGGTGAGTTCATGGCAATTACAATTGTTTTTGCCAGTGTTTTGTTGCATATTGCCGTACAGTTTATGTAAGAATTTATATCACTTTCAAGTTTTTAAAAACTATCTTAAATATCTGCATCCACCTGACAGAGTACAATATGAAGAGTGATTGACAGTTTACCACTTTTCAGTTTTCTATTAATGACCCAGAAAAACCGTAAGCCAGGTTGCAGTTTGACTCCACAGTCCTAGAGAGAAATAAGGTGAGCATTTGCTCTCAGCCCTCCTAGAATGTCATCGAGTGACTTCATCACTTCGAGCTTTTGTGTTTTCTGGTAAGACCATGCATGAGAAGAGAGGGAGAACATTCTACATTTAGTAACATTTATTTATGCATTCAGTATCAAGTACATAAGTGCAAATATCCAGAGTCCGTAATTGAATCCATTAGGAACTACAGAGAAAGTAATACAAATTGTAATAAAGTTAACATGCTGGTACTTTTTAGTAACCATACATGTAAATCAGCCCACCAATCCCATACAACAAAAGTACTGCATGTTTGTTTTGGATTTATTCATTTATTTAATTATTTTAAGTTATACAAAACTGATTACCATAAGTGCGGTCGACTGCTTTTATTTTTACGTTGTGTGTGTTGGAAAAATGCTAAAACATCAGTCTACAATTCTATATATTGTTATTAAAGATTAATCCAACCAGCAACCCAAGGACATATAAGCGATTTCCACTATTGCATCAGAGCACTCGGCAGGAAAGGCCTAGCCACGGGGAACATTAGAAGCTACAGAAGCATTGCAGAGAAGAGAAGAAGAACACCGAAGAGGGAAAGATAACTTGGGCTCTCACCATCATGCACTTTTTTTAGCAACACAAAATTAAAAACCACATCTAATACACTTTTCTCTATACTTTAGTGGTTGACACAAGTGACTCAAATATCCTAAGAGTACAAGGAACAGCCTAAAAACAGCTGTTTTAAGGTTTGTCTCTAAGATTATGGTACTGGAGGGAGGGGGGAAAGACAATCAATTTGCAGTAATGAGTAAGAAGAGAGCTGTTACCACTCCAGACATTCCTGTTTGTGTCCAGTCCCCGGTGGGAAATCAGTTTACTCAGCATGCCTCTTAGCGCCTGGGATTTTAGCCTGAATCCTAAAAAGACAGTATCAAAAGGTAGTAAATCACAAGTGTTATTAATGAAATCATTTTATGTGTTGTTGCTTTAATTAGCTAAGTGACCAAAGAACTTAATATTCCAGAAGATATTATAGTCTTTATGTAAGTACATCTGCAAATACTCTTCTATAAAGCAATAAGAAGGAAGTAAAAACTGGATAATGAAAATAACAGCAACAAAAAAGAGAATTGGAAGAAAGCCACATTTTTTAGATCTTTTTAGGTGGAGGAACATATTGACTTATTTCAGGATTACAGAAACTGTGATATAGTTAGGGTGATTATTTATCCCCCATCTGGGACACTTCAGAAAGAGAGAGAAAGTGCTATTACTGACTATGCCAGGAAGATGAGCATAAGTAGGGATGGTTATATAACTAGGGATATAATCTGTTCCTATGTTGGACATAGGAAAAGGAACCTATGTTCACCCTCAGAGTAGTCTAATTACCCACAACTGGAATTTAAAAAGCTGGGTCCTAGTCTCAGCTATTCTATTAATTAGCTGTGTGGCATCCGGCAAGCTAAGGGACTTTTCTGGTCCTAAATACTCATTAAAATGTGGGCATAGACTAGATATCTCCAGGGTCCTGAAATTCTGTGATGCTCACAATGTAGCAGCATGATTTTCGGACAGGTTTACACTGGAAGTGTTTTGTTAATTTGAAGATTTATGAGCTTATCGTGCAGATTTTGATTGAGACCTCCCTCTGTGCCATGAGGTACCCTTCCATGTACTGGAATTCAGTGGTCAACAAAAGGGAGGAGATGCTTGCTCTCATGGAGTTTTCATTCCTGTAGGAATTGAGGAGACAGAAATAAACTAGAAGACAAGAGAAGTTTAGATGGTGATAACTGCTATAAAGAAAAACAAGGTGGTATGGCAGGCAGTGAGGGGCACAGTGGTAAGGTGTGTACCACCTCTTTTAAATCCACTCATCTGAGAAACTGATCCTCAGAGGACAGGAAGGGACCATCAGGCAAAGATCTGGATGTGAAGTGTTTCAGGCAGAGGGAGTAATGAGTGCAGAGGCATCACAGAGAGGACAAGCTGGCGGCAAGGAGATGAGAAGCCCGTTTGCTTGGGGTATGGACAGGGGAGGTCTGAAAGGCAGGCAGGGACCAGATGGTGGGTGTTGGAGTTTGTGGGATGCGGTGAGGAGTTTAGATTCTACCCTGTGTGATGGGAAACCATTGATGAATTTAGGCAGGGGAGTGACGTGATCTGATTAATGTTGTAAGAAGATCATGATGGTGGCTGTGTAAAAAAAAAATTGGGAAATGAGAGTAGAAGCAATGAACAGAGGGAGAGAAACCCACAGCAGTCCAAGTACCCGAAGGCAATGCCTGGATTGTATGGTAGACATGGAAATGAAGAGAGGGGAACAGTCTCAGGGTTAGTTTAGAGATGAGGCTGCAGGACCCACTTGATCTGTTGATAAACTGAATGCATAGGCTAGGATTAGAAGAAGAGTAATCAAGGAAGATTCTTTGGTTTTTAGCCTGAGGAACCAGGTGAAAATGCCATTTACCAAGATTGTGATAACTGAAGGAAATACAAGTTCTGGGGTGAGATTGCACGATGTGTGGCTAAGTGAATCTGAAAGGTCTATCAGACACTTTAGAGAAACCTTACATAAATAAGTGGATAGACCTGGTGCTTAGTTGAAGAGGTCTGGGCTGGAGACACAAGTTTGCAGCCCTAGACATGAGATAACCTTTAGGGTCACAGGACCAGAAGGGAGTTGGACAAGAGGAAGAGGTGCCAGCAGAGGACATGTGCAATGGTGACCATCTAACTTCTATTTGAATACTTGAATGAATGTCAGGGTACTCACTCCTTCATGGGGCAGATGGTTCTATTATTGAGCAACTCTAATCATTACTCTTTTCCCTCATATTTCATTCAAATCTCAGAACTTCTAAAATTTCCATTCACTGCTCTTGAGAGAAAAAGGGAAATCCTACTCCTTTAGCAATGTTAGACCTCCAAGTATTTGAGAATGGCTATGGTGTCCTTTTAAAGTCATCTATTTTCCAGGGTAATCATCCCCAGCAAAGTTTGCTCTTCACTGCCCATTACTATCAGATTTCTAATACCACAGTACCCTGGTCATCTTTGTGGCATTACTCCAATGTATTAATGCATCTGTTAAAATGTCCAACCCTGAAATTGAACACAGATATGGGATGGCCAATATGGAATATAATATGACTGTTGCCTATGTTGATTTAGACTTTGTACTCCTACTAATAACAACTCAACTTGCATTGATTTTTTAAAGATGCTTCAGCACATCATTGACTCACATTTGGCTGTGACCAATCAAGCAATTAAAACCCCCGAGGTATTTTTTACATACACCCTTATTGTTACCCTCTCTCATCTATCCCTCGCCGCATTCTATATCTGTAAAGTTGACTTTTTAGAAACCTAAATGTAGGACTTCACTTTCCTTATTAATTTCATTTTATTGATTTCAATTCGGCATTCTCGCTTACTCAAGATCCCTTGATTCATTTTGAATCTTGAGCTTGCCATCTTCTGAATTTGCTTTTGCTTCAAACTGTACATCATCTGGAACTTTGACAAAGATATTTGATTTGTCTTCACATAGTCATGAGAAGTAATGGGGTTGAAAGTAATGGGATCAAAGGCAGAGCCCTGTGTCACATACCTTGGCCCAGACACATATTGGATGGATTAATGAACATCTTTAGGGTCTATTATTTCAATCTTCTAGAATTCTACCACCTGTGCTATCATCTGGATCATACATCTCCATTTTTTTCCACAAGGACACCAAGAAGACTTGCTGACTACCCCCACTAAAATCAGAATACTCACTGGCTAGGGAAGTCCATCTCATCTCAGGGTTTAGTGAAGATACACTGATCTATTCTGAGTATCTACAGTTTTACTAATTCATTCTGGATTTTTGCTTGAAATTAGGCCTTCAGTTTATCAAATATAACATCTAGAATCTTTCTTTCTTCTCATTTGAAGATCGTGACAGCTCCTTTCCAATTTGAGTTTTCAGGATGTCCTTTATTCCATGAGATTTATCAAAGGTCACCAAGAGAGCTTCTAGGTAAAATTACAAGCTACTTTGTCATTCTAAAACATAACTCACCTAGACATAGGGAATTGTATTCACTTAAAGCAGATTTCTTATTATGGTCTCACTTACTCGAAGCTTTAATTTCCTCTACAGTGTTTATTTTGCCTTTTGAAATTTGAGGCTTTTTTCCTCATTTTCAAAACTCTAAGAAGTGTTATTATGCATTATTAACCCCTATTTTAAGCTGGAAAACTGAGACAAACAAAGGTGAAACGACCTAGACAGGGTCACTCAGTATGGAGGAGAGACTGGCCCTGGTGTCTACTGGCCCAATCTGGGACTGTCCTCTACCTCCAAGCCCCATGAACCGATCTCTAAGCAGTAATCGGATGATGATGATGATGATGACAATGATATATAATATTGAGGGTTTCCTACATCCAAGTAAGAATACTTTACAGACATTACCTCATTTAATCACCAAGAACCCTGTGTGGTATTAACATTTCCAATTTACAGATAAGGAAATAGGCTCATAGAGTCAAATAACATTTATGATGAGCTCATACAGCTAAAAATGCCAGAAATGGACTCAGTCTGTCTGATTCTAACAATCATGTTCTTAACTGTACCACTAAAGTGGTGTAAGTTCTTTTGCTGGAATTATTTATTCTAAGGTGGAATTACAATTTCAGAGGTTGAAGAGGACTTAGAGTTAAGATCCCACCAAGAAATTTCCTTCAAAATGTAGTGCCAGGCAAAACAGGTTATTTGGAAGAATTGTTGTTTCCTCCTCTCTGATAGATAGTGAGAACCATGTGACTTGCCTAGTTTCTCTTTTTGTCCTAGCTACCAGGAAATTCAGAGCCAACTCTGCCTGAAGCTCAATTACAGAAGCCATATTAGTCATAGGTAACATTTCCTTTCCATTCCTTTTCACAGCATTGATTTCCAATTGTAATTTAACAAGTACATTGTATATACTTTATATTCTCTGCCATCTCTCTTTTCCCTCCATTTTAACCAGGCCATGCCCTTGTCACTTTTATTTGAATTATGATAACCTCCTAGCTGATGGCCACATCTCTAGTCTCTCCCCTCTCCAATTCTTTTCTCACTAGACTGCCATAGTGATCTTTAAAAAACATAAATCTGATGATATCAATCCCCTGCTTAAAAACATCAAGGGGTGGCCATTTCCTGCTGGGTTGGAATCAAAACTCCACAGAGCATTCACCACCTGGCCTCAGCCTCTCTTCCTACATTCTTTCCAGTTGATCTTTCGACTCAGTTAAGCTCTAGACATACTGGTTGACTGTTGCCTATTAAACATGACTTACATTTTCATGCTTCTCTGTCTTTGCTTTATTACCTCTTCCTCTTGCAACGTCTTTCCCCTTATCATCCACGTGATGACTGTTTACCCATCCTTCAAGGCCCAGGTTGAATGCCACCTTATCTTAATGGCTTTCCACTATCCTGTCCAGGAAGGAACAATTGTTTCCTCATCTCTCTGACTTTAGTATTTCATATAGCTCTACTGTACTTATTATATTTTATTATAGTTATTTCTGTATAATTTTGTCTGCACCACTGGGCTAAGAGCTCTTTTAGGGCTGAGATCATTTCATTTATCTTTATACCCTCTGTACCTATCATATGAAGTGTCCAGAACATAACAGGTACTCCTCTTTTTGGACTCAACCAACAAACCAAATGAAAAAGTAATAGGTATGATTTGTGATACTCAAACTAAGTATTGGACAACTTAGGTCTAGAACTTCTATCTTCCAGTTTCCAAACTCCTATTCTGGTATTCTTTGCTATAGTTTATGAACACAGTTCTAGTTGCCAAAAAGTCACCTGAAGAGTTCATTAAAATATACATTCCAGGTTACCAATCCTAGACATTCTAATTCTATAGGTCTGTGTGGAGTCTTAGCATTTGTATTTTTAAACAGGCTCCTCAGGTTCGGGTACCACCAAGTCTCATACTGTGCTATGATACCATTTCTTAATACAAAATAAAATGATTATTTTATGCTTAATGTGTTGATTTTCATTAGGTATTGGTTACACCTGGGTCCAAGCTGATACGTTCAGGCATTTTGAAATGTGTTGTAGATCTCTCAAAGATCCAAATTCAACATAGAACCCTATGAGTTCCTAATGACTTTAAGAGGACAAATGTAAATAATACACAGTAAAAAACAAAAGTTTATAAACTTCAGAGGGAACTGAAGCACATCACATATAATCTAAGAGCAGAGGAACTTTAATGTGATTGGCCTTTCTTATTTTGTTATTACACATCTTTAACTACCTAAAATGCCTCTCTCTAAATCTGACCCTCACCTAGGTCCAGCCACATTATTATCAGATAATTAGATAGAGTTTTTGTGAAAAAGTCTAGTCCTTTGGTGAAATATATTTATAGTTAAAGATTAGGCTAGCTTTTTAATAAAACAAAATATTGAATAATAATGCAATATAAGAGCTATCACTTTAGATGACTACATACCTAAAAATAGTAATGTAAGAATTAGGGAAAACTCCTAAGTTTAATGATCATGTTAGCTATGGGTATGTAAAACTGAAATCTCTATCTCCTAATATATAAGGGAGCCATAAAGTAAGGCTGAAGACTCAGGTTTAAAAAGCAGTGGTATTAAACACATACACACAGTTGTCGAGTTAAAATGGTGTGATGTATTTAGTTGGCAAACATTTTATGTATTTTAAAGTTCTAAAAATAATTCAAAGTTTTAAAAGTAATTTAAATGATTTTTAAAAAATTAGTGCTATTCATTGTTTAAAAGATTAAAAATGTTAACTTGTTTTTATTTGAATTAAACTGTTAATTTTACTTTTTTGAATCAAGTTTCCTTCTTTCCTCCAATGCATCTTGTTCTTGTACATGGGCCAGTCCTTAGAGCTTAATATCATGCATTCATTAAAACTTATTATGAAACCTGAATAAACCACTGGGTTTAATTTAATTGAGAGTTTAAAAACTTATGCTTATTTTCTAAAATAACATAATTGAGAAGAGAATGAATATATGATTCCAGTAAGTGAATGACCATAAATCAATCTATCATTTTACTATCTTCTCATTACCCCTATCCTAATCCACTCAAATGCTGATGTAAGAGAGTCTCTCCTTTTATGCATTGCACTATGTGACTTACTTTGCCACAACAGCATTTATGTGAGTCCTCACAAGTCCCAGATATTGGTCAATCTGTGCCTACATAAAGAAAAAAAAAATAATGAGCATATCCAAAGATGATGAGGTCAAAATTCAATGCCATTTTTTGACATCACATAGAACTTACCTGGTGCTTAACATACACTACAGGTAGAGTAAACATTGAAACCACAGCTGGGATGAAAAACAAATATAGTATTAAAATTCTGAGTTATCAATAAGAATACGCTTATAGACACATTTTTATATGGTTATATGATATTATAGCATTATTTGGAATATACAGCATTTTATTTTATTTTTTATTCCCTATTTTGAGAAGCAATATCCAGCATTCTAGATAAAAGATGACAGGGCAGTTCATAGGGAAAATAAAATGATGCTGAGCCCTGTACAGGTATTTTGTAATTATTCCTAGAATTAGGATAAACTCTCCCCTCCCAAGATGAAAATGAATCCATCCATAGCTGCCACTGTAAACAGATCCAAATATATATATTGATCCAAATATATATATTACAAGCCAGAAAGAAGCCAGTTATGTTTGAAGAAAAAAAACCCTTTAGACTTAGGAATTCATTATTAGTGTATAATATATATTATACTCTTTAATTGAACTATGATGGTAAGAGAAGTGCTCTGCACTCAGGGATATCTGGCATTTGTTCCTAGGAATCTCTTTAAACAAACAAAAAGCTTACAGCCTAGGAAGCAGCGTTTTCACAGAGGGGGTGAAGGAAGACGTATACAGTCTTATCTGCTCTTACCCATGAGCAGCAGGGTCAGGCCATTGAAGAGAGCGCCAACGTAGGTCAGGAGCCACATCAGGACTGCAAACTGAAGAACGAAAGCATTATTAGAGCTCCTAAAACCCTTCCTGACAAGTTAGAGTCTCATATCATTGACTTTTACCTAGATTTGAATTTGAGTCAGAATACATCATGATTTCGATAGTCAATGAAAGGCGTTGAAAGCTCATCACAGAATCAATGAAAGAGGATCCAGTCCTTAGTTCTCTTGGAACTATTTGGATCACTTTGTTATAAGGTTTGAGGGACTCAAGGAAATAATAATCTACGAAGCTGTGGCCCTTGACCGGTTTTTGCATAGGCCCACGAGTTAATAAAGGTTTTTACATTTTTAAATGTTCAAATAAAATCAAAACAAGATTAATATTTTCTAATATATGAAATGATATTGAATCAAATTTTTAGTGTTCAGAAGTCTTATGGGCACACAGTCAAGCCCTTCCTTTTTGTACTGTCTTTTTCTGCTTTTGTGCTACAATGGCAAAGTTGAAAAGGTGCCACAGATGGTGTGGCTTGCAAAGCCTAAAGTATCTACCATCTGTCTCTTTACGGACAAGGTTTGCTGACCCCTGTTCTGGCCCACAATTTTTACATTACAAATACAACCATGGCCTTAAAAGCACTAAGGTAAGTAATTATAATTGCCCTGGTATCTCTCTTCAGTCATTATATGGCAAGTCATTATTCCAGTAAAGCATTTTGAGGGTCAAGACCACATTTTTCACTTTTCCTTCTGCCCTTCTTTGAACAGTTACCAGACAGCTCCCAGTACAAGCCCCTGCCAGGGTGTGTATAAAGTGCTGTGAGAGCACAGAAACTTCACAACTACCTTGTCTGGGCTTCCCCAGCTCTGCTTATGACCATGCCGAATCACGATTGACTAACTTTGATTCCACGTGTAAGTCACCAGGAGGCCAAAGCAACTTATTCAAAGGAACCCAGCAAATTCAGTGAGAGCCCCAGGTGCCCCTGATCCTCATCAAGTGAGAGGCTGGGCATACCTCTAGCCTCAGAGCTGTAACTACATAAGCACACTTGGAGGGCTTACTATTAATATTAGTAGAATCTAGAGTTTCCTTCAATGCAAAAGTATATATGGTTTTCACATTCCCTATCTAGATTTTTTATCTTAATATTAATTTTGGGAAATTGTCGGAGGAACTAAAAATGGTTTAAGGAGACAATCTGGTGTGTTGTAAAGACTATAGAGCTAGAAGCTATGTGACCTGGGTTTGATTCCAGCTCTGCCAGTGACTCACTGGGCAACCCTGGACAAATGTCTCAGCCACATTTTCATCATTGGTACAATGAAGGGATTAGACTGGTTCATGGTGCCATACAACTGGAGGTCTTCTGACTCTAGAATATAATTAGCACTTGCTTTTTATTCTTCTTGATGTAGCAGTTTACAGTATTACACCTTTAGGGAAAATAACAGTCAAGACTGTGAAGTGAACAGCTTAAGCAACTATACTTTTAAGGAATCCACCAGGTCCTGGACAAGGAAGAGCCTCCTCAGTTCCTTAAGTGTGCTGTTCACGTAGAACTGCAGGCAGTCCGTGTACTTCTGAATCTGCTCCTGAGAAAGGGTGATCTCAAGCTCCAAGTAGGCCCTGTCAACAAACCATTCCCACAGAAAATTCCGTCAGAGGGAATCATGAGACAGGCTGCCGAACCCCAGTAACAGCTAAGCGTTCCTACTCTCACTCTGAGGGTGAGAGCAGGAGTCATCTCTGGGGGGTTATGCCAGCCAGTGAGGGCCACAGGGCACCGTACACACCTGCTTCCATGCACTGAGAACACAGAAAGCATGGTTCTCAGTGGAGCATTGTGACTGTTTCTGGCTACCTAAGACACAGCATGGGTGGGCTGAAAATTCAGAGAAACCAGCTGGGACCAGAGAAAAAAAATTAGTGCCAAATCAGCTCATTTGCTGAATTCTCCACACATGACTTCATGGAGATAAATTATCTTTTTTTAAGTAGTTGAGATAGCTCAAAATCCTAGCTGCCAACTGTTCCTCATCAGATCTCTAAGAATTCATGTTTAAATTCTAGAATTTACTTCCAGGTTTATAGAAAGAGCATTGAAAACTCAAGTGACCTGGGCCATATTAAAATACTTATGGGTTCTACTGAGTGGTATTTTTAATAATGACATTTTTCATTAGTTCAAATGGTTAAATTTAATTCTTGGGTGGGAAAAACATGATATATATATATATATATATATATCATACCAGCTTAAGCCTCCTCTGCTTGGCCAAGCTCCTCCACAGAGGTCCATCCTTCCTCTCTCCTTTCCTGCCTCCCCTCTGCTCTAAGACTGCACCTGTTATCTACCTAGAGGATATTTCTAGAGTGCTTTAAGTGCTTACTTAACCCTGTGAATTGAGATAAAAAGAGTAAAGCAGTATTTGGCTTGAGTTTTCAGGAGTGTTATGGACTGAATGTGTCCTCCCCAAATTCATGTTGAAATCTTAACCCCCTATGTGATAGTGTTAGGAGGTGGGGCCTTGTGGGGGTGATTAGGTCATGAGTGCACAGCCCTCACAAATGGGATTAGTGCCCTTAGAAAAGAGGCCCAAGGGAGCTTGTTCACTCCGTCCCACAGTGAAAGTGAGGACACAGTGAGGAGCTGGCAATCTGCAACCCAGGCAAGGGCCCTCAACAGAATCCTACCCTGCTGGCACCTTGATCTTGGATTTCCCAGCCTCCAGAACAAGCACTCTGTCTATGGTATTTTGTTATAGCAGCTGGCAGTGCTAACACCTCCCTCTGCCACATGTCATATATCCGCTTAGTTAGTAGATTGCCCTTTTATTTTTGTATTTCCTCCTCTTCAATGTGCATTCAAATCAGGTTTCCCCAGTATAAAAATGTAGAGGAGGATACATGAGAAGACTGTTCATGAACCCTGCACCCCCACCAGAAGGTTGGCCCTTTGGTGTTAAACTTCTAGAGAAAGCATGGAAATAAAGACCCAAATACCCTAGTCCTGGTTTCGTGCTATTTACTGGCCACCTGGCCTTGAGCATGTCATGTCACTTCTCAGAACCTCAGTGTTCCCACCTGTAAATAGGGACAAAAATGCCTGCTGTGCCTTTCTGATATTGCTGAGAGGATTAAGTAATTGTTGGATTATGATTACTGTTAATAGTAAATACATATGAAAACTCAACAAAGCAATAAGTATTGGAATAAGAATAATCGAGTTTGTTTCAGAAATTCACCAGAAATGTTAGATATTCAAAGACAGGGTGTTAGGGGAGACTCTAAGAGGTCTGTTGGGTCTCAGAGAAACATGACTCAAGTGCATCTGTGAGCTGAAATACAGGTGAGGGTAAAAGCCCCTGGTCAGTGGGTGAGGGCTCCTCAGCTGAGGCACTCACTTGAAAGGGTGGCCTTCGTCGGTTTTCTGCACTGCTTGTAAAACAGACTTGTAGATGCGGAAACTGATGGTGGCTGAGAGTGCGGCCAGGGCCAGGTAGGCCACGACGCTCACCACGCTGAACTGGGTCAGGGAGAAGAGCAGCAGCAGGAAACTCCCAAACACGATGCCCGTCTGCTTGATGTCCCGCCAATACAACAGGTCAATAGCTGCAGGAGACACCAAACACACCCAGCTGAGCTCCCGCAGTGCCGCCACATGAGCCGCTGTGGCTCACTCCACCAAGCTGTGGTTGCTGTGGGTTCTCACCTGGCATCTGGATTCCTAAACACAAGTGAGCAGACAGATGGCTGTGCCAAGGGCACTTACTGTCATTCCACTTTGGTTTGGAAGAATCTTTTCCACCCTTGAGGATAATTCACAAATTCACATATAAGAAAAGACTATTGAATCTCCATTGACCATATCGCGATGGGTGTAGCTCTGTGGGCTACACCATCCATACAGTGGCCTGAATTATGTGACTTTGAAACAAACTTGAAAATATAGAGGACTCTGTGAAGTACCACTTCACTCCACTGCACTCCAGCCTGGGTGACAGGGTTAGACTCTGTCTTAAAAAAAAAAAAAAAGAGAGAGAGAGCCCCTGGAGCTGACATGTGGACTAAACCATTTTGTTCAACATGGTTTGTTTGCTTACATTCTGTGATTTAAAAATCTGAAATGAAACCTTTAAAATCTACATTGCATCCACCATTCAGTTATTACCCTCCTTCAACTTAGAAACAAAAAATTACATGCAAAAGAGTAGTCATAGTGCTTCAAATGTCATGCAAAATGGAAATACTTTAAATATTCCAGTCCCGGGATATAAAAAAAAATAGCATAAAACCCTTACTGAAGGATCTATGCAAATTTACCCTCCAACTGGGTATGTGACAAATGGTTTTTATAGAATTCTATGCCAATCAATTTTAAGGAAGAGAAATAAGATGCAAAATTCCCATCTCACAACCAAATGTAAGTGGTAGTGGTTTGTACTGCTAGCTTCACCTGCAGTGTACCTGCAGACACCTGGTTTACAGAATTAGACTCCAGTCATTTGCTCATAGGAAGACAGAAGTGATCAGGTTGAAGAGAGCAGGGAGCTACTCCCATTTTACATGGGTGTGTAATTAGCATGAAAGAACAATATTGAAAAAGTCACATGCCCTCATGACAATGCAAGGCAATAGAGGTGACATAAGGAATTTTTGCAGAGTAAAGTACTAACCCTCTCTTTGGCTACAGACTTACCTCAGGCTGGCTGGAGAGTAAATCAGGTCTAAAAGAGTCTCCTTCATAACAGGCTGAGGATACTCCCAGCAATCTGAAGCCGGAGAGAGAATTCACTCCCCACAAACTCCCCACCCACCACCACTACCTGGTCCATCAGGGACATTAACTCAGAAAGACTCCAGTAGGCAGACCTTTGTTGGGCAAAATTTGTTCCCTTTCCTCTATTACATTTCTGCCATGTAGGAAATAGAGAAGAGGCTCACAAGCATGTTTTGGGGGTGAAACAGATCTTTTTTTTCTCTTTTGAGTAGGACTGGTCCTACAAATAGGTTTCCAGAGGCAAAAATAAAAAATAAAAAAAAAGTACTGTGCTCTAAAGCCTCTCTCTTCTCCCTATCCTGACCCCAGTCACACTGTCTGACCATTAGAAATTCATTTCTGGGCTGGGCATGGTGGCTCATGCCTGTAATCTCAGCACTTTGGGAGGCCGAGGCAGGTGGATCATCTGAGGTCAGGAGTTCGAGACCAGCCCAGCCAACATGGTGAAACCCCGTCTCTACTAAAAATAACAAAAGTAGCTGGGCATGGTGGCAGGCACCTGTAATCCCAGCGACTCGGGAGGCTGAGGCAGAAGAATCGCTTGAACCCAGGAGGCAGAGGTTGTAGTGAGCCAAGATGGCACCATTGCACTCAGCCTGGGAAACAAGAGCGAAACTCTGTCTCCAAAAAAAAAAAAATTCATTCATTCATTTGGCCTAATCCTTTTCTTTTTTTTTTTTTGATGCAAAGATGCTAGAATAGAATAATGTGTTAAAGATTTGCTTGTCCTTAACAACAAAACATGAATGAGTTCACCAAATGATTTTTCTTTTAGAAGGGTTTGTTTAGAATGAAGCACCAAAAGCCATAATCTTTTTCAGGTGGAGAAGAGGGATCTTTTGGAAGACATGACCTGCAATAAACCCCTGGAACTCTGAGAGTAGAGGGCAGAGTGGGAGAAAAGGGGCTCTCCACAGAAGCCCAGCAGCTCCTGGGTTGAATGGATTGGAGACAATAAATTGGGGCAAGCCTAGGCTAAAGGTCTAAAGCCAAGGCAGCAGGGCTAAAGGTCTTTGACGGTCCGGGGCCTCCAGGTATTTACTCTCTTTGTGCAGGGGAGGGGCAAATGGGAATTAAAAGGAAACTAAAGCATCACCACTAACTGAAGTGTTACCTCTTACACATCTGTTTTCATTTATTGAGCAGGAACTAAGTGCCAGGCTTTGTGCTGGAGGTGGGGATATAAAAATAAGTGAATTATACAAAACAAACACACACTCACACAAATGGATAAGAAATAAATGGTAATCTGTTTTATGATGCTCGTACATATTTGGAAACAAATACATTATAAGACAGAATGATTTGTGCTGAAGGGGGCACTCCTTAGTGTGAAGGAAGATGCTTACCCACTTGTGAGACGTGAAGGGGCTCAGAAGAGCCTGAAAGGAGTTTTCAGACAAAGAGAAGATAGAATTTGCTATTTTCAAGTGAATCCCCTCTGAATGAATTGCTTTATACCTGGTAGAAATGGCATGCCCTCTAGGGAAGCCTCCTAAATCTCCAACCAGGAGGCCACCTGCTCAAGAAGTCTGTGAATGGCAGGCACTTCATGGACTTTCCTTGAAGAAACTGTGGGCAGAAAGCATTAGCTAAGTAACATGAGTTTGGTGTAGGGTCGTCTCTTAGCAGATCTTTCAATTACTTGCTAAGATTGCAGGAGGTTTCTAATAAGGAGGTTAACAAAAGGACTGTTATCTTAAAACAACAGGCTGTTGGTTCTGGACACTTTGCAACAATATTATCTATTTACATTGATTCTGAAATGTTCAAAGCACTCTCATATGTTATCTCACTGAAATCTCAGAATAAACTCCATTATATAGGTATGTCACAGGTGAGGAAACTAAACTTTTAAACTTGTAAAACCACCTTTGCAAAATTATGACTGAGACAGTGAATGAGATCTAATTAACTAACTCTTGCTTCTAACCTCCAAGCTGTCCTTGTTCATTCCTGGGCATAGGCTCAACTAACTTTAGGAGAAATTTAGTTTATAGTTTAAACAAAGATGGTAACTGCCCTTTCCCAAAGCACACCTCCTTCTTGCCTGGGGACTAGATTGCCTTTGTAGGA
Source organism: Homo sapiens (assembly GCF_000001405.40). Classification (NCBI taxonomy): domain Eukaryota; kingdom Metazoa; phylum Chordata; class Mammalia; order Primates; family Hominidae; genus Homo; species Homo sapiens. Next base: position 59,610,737 of record NC_000014.9, read on the forward strand.
CTAACATTAGCCACAAGATAAGAAATTATGGTTTAGGAGTCATGCAGCTGGAGGCTACAAGATTCTGACCCTCCCTAAACTGCTCCTAAGATCAGTGCTTGAGATACTTTGCAGACCCTGCACTTGATGAATAAGCTGGCCCCACTCAGATCAATAAACAGGCTCATCTGATCTTGTGGCCCCCACCCAGGAATTGACTGAGCACAAGAAGACTGCTTTGACTCCCTATGATTTCATCTCTGACCAATCAGCACTCCTGGTTCACTGGCTTCCCCCCACCCACAAAGTTATCCTTAAAAACTCCGCTCCCTGAATGCTCAGAGAGACTGATTTGAGTAATAACAAAACTTGGTTCTCCCACACAGCCGGCTCTGTGTGAAGTACTCTTTCTCCATTGCAATTCCCCTGTCTTGATGAATTAGCTCTGTCTAGGCAGTGGGCAATGTGAACCCCTTGGGCAGTTACAAATTTGGGGGCTCATCCAGGATTGCCCTTGTGGCTACCTGCCTGTGGTTCAATGGCCCCCCTCCAGTGATGGATCCAGAAGCCAGCCCAAGTGGCCTCCTAGTTCTCTTGGACTGGCGGCTGACTCTGGTATTCTTTCTACTGGCGTGGCACTGCTGACCCAATGTGCATGAATTTAATTGCAATGGAGAAATAGTCCTGGGGAGATGTCCTTTAACTGTTGCCTTATCACAGGGTGACTGTAGCCCCATGGTGGGGTGTCTGTCTGTAGCCCCATTGCAGGGTGTCCAGATTGGTGAGTATCCTAGGTGCTGCCAATGCCTCCTTTCTTCTCCTGACTGGTAATGTAGCCTATGGGGGGTGTCTGTAGCCCCATCGTGGAGTGTCTGTTTCTAGCTCCACCATGGGGTGTCTGTGTCTGTAGCCTCATTTGCAGGGTGTCTGTTTTGCAATTTGGGGGGTCTCAGTTGGTTCTTTCTAACTAGTATGAAGAGTCTTGGTTTGGGAGACTT